>NC_000023.11:115838949-116198364 GCF_000001405.40 Homo sapiens
CTGAGCTGCTTGGCCGTTTGCATGGAGAAAGCAAAGGATTTGCAGCATGAGAGCCTGGCATGTTTGGTTCCATCCTGCCACCTTAATTCACCTTGGCAAAACCATTTAGCCTCTGTAGACCTTGGTTTCCTGGCACAATGAGTGCTTATTGAATCTGTCCGTTCAGGGAATGTAGACAGAAAAAAGGCTATGACTTAGTTCTCTGTGTCAGGCGATGGACATTCCTCCCTTAAATAAAGGAGGAGAAAGACAGGGAAGTATCCAGAGAGGGGCAGCTGAGATTCATAGCTCAGTTACTTTTTGGGTAATTCCACCTGGGGTGAGGGGAAAGCTCTTTTCAGTTTCCATTTTCTACAACGTGGAGTTGTGGCAGAGCCTTAAACCCTCCCCCAACTCTCCCCTTAGCAGGTGAAGGCAGCTGCCTGACAAGAATAAAGCATCACCTGTGCCCATTTATGCTCCTCCTCCCCCCACCTCCTGGTAATTCCCACCCACCTCTGCCCAAACCGCAAGGGAATGAGTAAGAGAAAAGGTCTGGGAGTATCTGGCAGCAGGTGGTCTTGGGGTGGGGGTGGCGGACTGAGAGTGTGAACGTCAGTTGGTGAGGAGTGAAATGGAGCCAGGAAATTCTGAGAAGTTGGAGCTGGTCAAAGACCAGTTGTAGTGCCCTCAGAGGCCTTAGATTTCTTTTTAAGTGTCTCTTTTAAGGTGAGTTCACTGGAGAGTGTACCTGGGCAGGAATGACTTTGGTTCCCACTGAAAACACGTTTCCATTTGTGAAAAAAAAAATTCTCCCAAAAACCAATCAAGGACTACATTGTGAAGAGAAAAAAAAAATTCCACAACATCTTCACAGTCAAGTTTTTAAGCAACCCGAATAGCTTGCATGATTCCCATGAGCCTTGGGAACTCACCAGGCTATTATTTTTAAAGGACCTTTATTTGCATCTCCCCTCCCCTTAGGGAACAAGGTGCTGGGAGGATGCATGCCCCAAGTTAACACTCCTCAGAGTACTGTCATCAACAGATTATCTTCATTTTCCTTAATACGCTACAGGTGTCTCCATTCTGCAAGAGCAGCAAGTCCCTTTTTTTTTTTTTTTTTTTTTTTGAGACGGAGTTTTGTTCTTGTTGCCCAAGCTGGAGTGCAATGGCGCGATCTCGACTCACCACAACCTCCGCCTCCCAGGTTCAAGCGATTCTCCTGCCTAGGCCTCCTGAGTAGCTGGGATTACAGGCATTCGCCACCAAGCCCGGCTAATTTTGTATTTTCAATAGAGACAGGGTTTCTCCATGTTGGTCAGGCTGGTCTCGAACTCCCGACTTCAGGTGATCCACCCGCCTCGGCCTCCCAAAGTGTTGGATTACAGGCGTGAGCCACCGCGCCCGGCCGCAAGTCCCTTTTTTCAAAAGAAAATATCAATCAGAGGACTGGTCAGGCAGGGGAAACCTGCGAGTCGCTGTCACTCCTTCGGCCTCAGCACATCCCCACCCACCTAGGCGGCATACGCGCCACCAGCAGCATCCCCTGGAAGGCTGCAGAAGCAGCGCTGGGCCCCTAGCAGTTCCAGAAAAAAAGTGGGAGGTGACAGGGCACCGGCAGTGTCTGGTCTTGGGAAGACGCCTCTCACCTGGGGAGGGAACAATTGAAGCTTTCAATAACGTCAGGCATACAGATGATACAAACTTATAACATCGCCTGAAAGTGTACTTGCTTAAGCTTCTTTTTCCTCTAAACCGTTTTGTGAATGTTAAACAGTAAACTTTTCATTTTCTCGATACATCAGTCTCCTTTGCCCTCTTGCCAGCGAAGACCTTACTCAAAGGAAACAAATGGGACAAATAGGTACTCCTCAGCAATTAGCTAAGACAAGAGGTTTCCCACCCAACTTTCCCAAAGCTGCCTCTCTCCGCCCCTTCTTGCACCAGGAGCAGGCTGAGGACACCCCACTCCTACCCTGGGCGGAGCCGGCTCTAGGAAGACCGGATTCCTCTCCCTTCCCCTCCCCGGATTCTTTCAGCCCTCACCTCCCAGGAATGGGGAGGGGGCATCCTACCCCATATCTGAGGTGCGACTGCGGGACGTAGAGCGGACTGGGCCTTTCCCGTTGGCGCGTGGCCTCAATCAGGTAGGTCTCCTTCGCCTTTTCTTTCCTTTATTTGCCTTTCCTTTCCTTGACACAGGACACGAGATCAGGGTTTGTGCCATGGGCAGCCTTTCTGGTGCAGAGGACCTTCCCTGCCCTCCGGCTTCTGGGCAGCCAGTGCCGGGCGCGCGACCTTGTGCAATGGCGGCTGCAGCCGAGCTGGCTCCAGCGTCCTGCAGGCATCGGAGGGCTTTCGGGCGCGTTTTGGACGCCGAGTTTTTGCCGCTGCCTAAGTTTTAGTTCTGGCAAGTGTAGGGAGGTCCTTCTAGTAGAGCCTTTCTGGCCTTCCCCGTCGGGAGCCTGGAAGCGTCTCCTGTGGCAGGGCGGGCAGAGGGAGAAGGGTGCGCCTGCAGATTTCTTCGCCCCACTGGTGTTCTCCCCACCTACATGGCTGAGGAGGTGTGCGCTCTCGTTCGGTTTAGATTGAGTGGTTGTTAAACCACGTGGCTGCCCTGCCCACAGGCAGGGCTCCCCGTAATGTAAAACTGTAGAAGAAACATTTCCTCTAACGAATAATTGAACAAAAAGAAATACAGCTTCAGGCCGGGCGCAGTGGCTCACGCCTGTAATCCCAGCACCTTGGAAGACTAAGGCGGGAGAATCACTTGAGACCAGGAGTTCGAGTCCAGCCTGGCCAACATGGTGAAACGCCGTCTCTAAACAAAAATTAGCCACGCATGATGCCGCGGGCCTGTAGTTCCAGCTACTCTGGAGGCTGGGGCGGGAGGATTGCTTGTGCCCAGGACTTTGCGACTGCAGTGAACTGGGATTGCTCCATTGCACTCCATCTTGGGCATCAGAGCCAGAGCCCTTCTTTTAAAAAAAGAAAGAAAAACGGCAATATACTTCATTTCCATATATGCACTTAACAACGTGGAAGGACAAGCCCTCAAAATTTTCAGGGACTTGCCTGGGCGAGGTGGCTCACACATTTAATCCCTGGACTTTGGGAGGCCAAGGCGGGCGAATCACAGGGTCAGGAGTTCGAGACTAGCCTGGCCAACATGGTGAAACCCCGTCTCTACTAAAAATACAAAAAAATAGCTGGGTGTAGTGGCGGGTGCCTCTAATCCCAGATACTCGGGAAACTGAGGCAGAAAAATCGCTTGAACCCGGGAGGGGGAGGTTGCAGCGAGATGATAACCTGCCAATGCACTCCAGCCCTGGTGACAGAGTGAGATTCCGTCTCAAACAACAAAAATTTCAGGGCTTTCACATTTTCATCTTTCTACAGTTCTGTAAAATAGGATTTGAAATGGCCGTGATTATTAATGAAATAAAAAGAAGATTATAAAGAAATAATTTAAGGTATCAAAGATGATAGAAGATAGTCATAATAATACAAAATATCGATACAAGTTGGACAAATTATGTAGACAAAGAGTCAAAAAGGAAAGAAAACACAATTACATTGGTTATTTCTAGAGGGCAGTGCTCAGTGTGTGTGTGTATTTGTATGTGCATATGTTTCTTGTTACTGATACTGAGGCAAAAGTTTGGCTTTCTTTTCTCTTCCCTTCTCTGATTCTTTCCTCCTTTCTTGATAGGGAGTCTTCCTCTGTCACCCAGGCTGGAATGCTGTGGCACCTTCAAGACTCACTACAGCCTCAACTTTCTGGCCTCCAGCAATCCTCCAAACACATCCTCCAAAGTAGCTGTTATTACAAGTGCGCACTACCACACCGGGATAGTTTTTGGTTATTGTTTGGATGGGTCTTTTATTAATATTACTATTTTTTGCAGAGATGGGGTTCCGCCATATTGCTCACGCTGGCCTAGAACTGCCGAGCTCAAAGAATCCACCTACCGTGACGTCCCAAAGTTGTGGAATTGCAGTGCTTCACTGGCCCCGGCCTTATTTCCAAAATGAAATAACTCACATAAGTTCTGTGGTGACATGTAAAAACCCAATTCCCGTAACAGCTTTCCCAACGTTGATTTTTTAGACATGATGAATGTTATGTGTTCTTATTAATCCATGTCCCCTTTAAAGGCACATGTGGGCAAGAAGAACCAGACAGTCCAAGAAACCCAATCATGTTGAGACATGGAGAGCAGAAAAGGAAGCGAGCCCGGAAGAAGTGGGTGAGAGGGCGTTGGACCTCAATGTCGAGAGAGAGAGAGTGACAGAAAGAGAGAGAGAGAGAGAGAGAGAAAGAGAGACAGAGAAAGAAGAAACGGTGCTGTAGAAAACAACAATGGAAAGTCCATGGAGGTCAAAGAGTCCGGCAAGGGACAGGGAGTTAGCAGCCTGGCGTAGTGTCTTCCCACTGTTTTGTCTGTCTTGAGAATAGCATTCAACGCGACTGTGTTCCCGCAGCAGACGTTAGGCCGCTGCCCACGCCTTGAGTGCCGGACGAGGTCAACATAGGCTTTCCGTCACAGAATATGTTTGGGCAGGAAGATCGGAACACTTGGGGCTGGGCCATCTACCGCTCCCCCACGGCACACACGAGTCGTCAGGGAAATGCCCGCCTCTGTGTGTGTTGTACGTGCAGCCTTCTGGGCAGAGCCGTGGAGAGTTGGACGTAGGCCAGGTGTGAGGAGGAGAGGTGTGTTTGGGGTGGCCACTGGCTCCCTTCCTGCGTGACGTAGGCTGGCGTGGGCTCTTCCCCCAGCCCCTTGCCGGTGCTGCCACGTGAGAAGGGCCCGGGTGCCGGTCCCGCTATTCCGGAATTGTGGGTTCACCTGAAGTTTGAGGCCAAACCCCCAGCGGTCAGTGGGACGCCAGTCGCCTTTGACCTCTTGGTCAAGCTGGCCTTGCCGTGACCCGTGAGAATGCCCAAGTGCCAATGTGTCCCGGGGGGCAGGGCCGGGGCTGGGATCCTCGTGTGTGCCCAGTCTCCTTCTCGTCCCTGCGGGTTCCACCATCCTCCCATCCTAACGCATCGTTAGGGATGCGGTTAGGTCGGGTCCATCCCCAGGGCGGTCCAAGGGGACCGCTTTCTGGTTTGTCAGGAAGGCAGGCTAGTAAGAAGGGTCCCGCCGAGTCCCATCTGCCAAGGACAGGGTCCCGCAGGTGGGCCAGGGCTGGCCCAAAGCGGCCGAGATGCTGATCCGCCATGTGCGGGGCGCTGTTGGCGTTTTTTCCTCAGCAAAGGGCGGAGGGAGTGGACGTGGGGGAAGGGCAGGTGGGCATTTCTGGAGCAATACTGCCATCAAGAGGAACTGGCTTGGCAATCCCGCGCACCCTTCGCTGTGCTCGCCTGGGGAGGAGTGGCTTGGGACTGTCCTGGGGGACCAGGCAGGACTAGGGCAGGTGCTCGGACGGATCCGAGGTCTCTGGAGGTCCGAGAGAAGCAGGCTCCGCCGCGGGGTCGGGCGGTGGAAGCCCCAGAGAGAGGCGCCAGGACTAGCTGGACAGCCAGGACGCCGGGCCGTTCCCGGACAGGAAGCCATGGCTCGGGAGCCTGGTGGCGGCCATGATCTGGGCGGGACCAGCGGAGGCCTCCGCCAGGGAGCCTGGGCTCGGGGCCTTGGGCAGTTTGCCTGGTGCCCCTTCCCGTGGGAGCAACCGGGGTGACGGCCTAGCTGGGTCCTCGGCCCGGGAGGCTCCGTCGGCCACACTGCACGCCTGCGGCGTGAGGAGGGCCGACTGCCAGTGCTGAGTTCCGTGGCCATTGGCGCCGGTGCCCGCCGCTGCTGGCCGGCGCCGGGGCGTTCCTCCTTGCGTCCTAGGGAGGAAGGTGGGCCGCGGGGCATCCCGCGGGGCCCGTACCCAGACGGTTCTTGACGAGGTGGACGCAAGGCCAGGCCCGGCCCGGCCCGGCCCGGCCCGGCCAGGCCACCCTTAGACGCCGCGCACCCGCCTTGTTGAGACTTGCCACCCTGTCTTGTTGTGTCCATGTCCCCGAGGTTGTCTTGGAGGCGGGCCGTTCCCCGTGGTGCTCATTTCTGCCTGGGGGCCTTCCGGGGACCCCGCTTGTCTTTGGGGGTGCGCAGGCCCTTGCCCTGCGATCAGAGGCGCACCGACCGATGAGTTCGGTGGCAAAGCTTGAGAAATGGAGACTCTCTGGGCATCGGCTAAGGGGGCCCGGGGCCTTCCCAGGCCTGCTGGAGTCCGGGAAGCCGGGGGCACCCAGAAGGAAGGACCCGTCGGACTCTGCCTGGGGACAGCCTGCTCCGCGCCAGAAGGGTCCGCTGCTCAGGCAGCATCCCCGTGCCTCTCCTCCAGTGGGTCCCTCAGGTAGAATCGGGGCAGGCCCCACTGGACGTGCAGGGAGGAGGCTCGGAGGATGCATCCTTTGCAGGACCCGGTCTGGTACAGCAGCAGACGGAGCCATCTCCCGGGGCTTTCTGGCTTCTCCGAGGGTGTTCAGGAGTCTCCCAAGTGCACAGGGGCTCGTGCCCAAAGGGTGGAGGTCGGCACCGCTTCGCTCAATCCAGGAGTGGAGAAGGAAGCTAGAGGACCCTCTGGAGGTGGCAGGTTTAATGTCCTGCTTTTTTATTTATTTATTTATTTATTTATTTATTTATTTATTTATTTATTTTGTAATCAACTGAAAGAAGGCAGAAGGAGTCGATGGGCCTCTTAGGCCGGAAACCTTACAAGCATAGGACCAAGGCAGAAAAGGGCCAGAGGGTTCATGGTCCTCCGTTCCACCTGAATCCAGCTAGAGAGCGAGCCAGGGGGATAGGTGTGCCCCTCGTCGCCCGTGCGCTGAGGCACTGTCACGCAAAGAGACATTCACCTTCCACGTCAACGCACCTTTAAGGGCGAGAGCGGTCCGCCGTGCCCAAGAGGAACGGGATGACATTCAACTGGGACTTGCCTCACCTTGGCTTGGGGGACCTCGAGAGCGGTCCCGTGGGGGCGGTGTTACTCGTGGTGGTAGAAGTGGAGGGCGTGTCCGGGTACTTGAGTTCATGGGCATCTCTCCCGCCGCCTCTCAGCCTATCTGCACCATGTCTCACACGTTCAGTTGCAGCTCTTACCGTTTTGAAGGCGCACGTGGGCAAGAAGTCCTGGGCAGCACAAGAAAGTCAATCACGTTGAGACAGAGAGAGCAGGAGAGGAAGTGGGCCCCAGTAGAAGTGGGCGAGAGAGCGTTGGGTGGGAACGTGGCACGAGAGAGAGAAATTATGAGATTGAGAGAGAGAGAGAGAGAGAGAGAGAAAGAGAAAGAGAGAGAGAAAGAGAAAGAGACAGAGAAAAGAAACTATGTTGTTTAAAATGCCAGCGGAAAGTCCATGGGGGTGAAAGAGTCCGGCAATGGCCAGGGAGTTAGCAGCTTGGCGTAGTGTCTTCCCACTGTTTTGTCTGTCTTGAGAATAGCATTCAACGCGACTGTGTTCCCGCAGCAGACGTTAGGCCGCTGCCCACGCCTTGAGTGCCGGACGAGGTCAACATAGGCTTTCCGTCACAGAATATGTTTGGGCAGGAAGATCGGAACACTTGGGGCTGGGCCATCTACCGCTCCCCCACGGCACACACGAGTCGTCAGGGAAATGCCCGCCTCTGTGTGTGTTGTACGTGCAGCCTTCTGGGCAGAGCCGTGGAGAGTTGGACGTAGGCCAGGTGTGAGGAGGAGAGGTGTGTTTGGGGTGGCCACTGGCTCCCTTCCTGCGTGACGTAGGCTGGCGTGGGCTCTTCCCCCAGCCCCTTGCCGGTGCTGCCACGTGAGAAGGGCCCGGGTGCCGGTCCCGCTATTCCGGAATTGTGGGTTCACCTGAAGTTTGAGGCCAAACCCCCAGCGGTCAGTGGGACGCCAGTCGCCTTTGACCTCTTGGTCAAGCTGGCCTTGCCGTGACCCGTGAGAATGCCCAAGTGCCAATGTGTCCCGGGGGGCAGGGCCGGGGCTGGGATCCTCGTGTGTGCCCAGTCTCCTTCTCGTCCCTGCGGGTTCCACCATCCTCCCATCCTAACGCATCGTTAGGGATGCGGTTAGGTCGGGTCCATCCCCAGGGCGGTCCAAGGGGACCGCTTTCTGGTTTGTCAGGAAGGCAGGCTAGTAAGAAGGGTCCCGCCGAGTCCCATCTGCCAAGGACAGGGTCCCGCAGGTGGGCCAGGGCTGGCCCAAAGCGGCCGAGATGCTGATCCGCCATGTGCGGGGCGCTGTTGGCGTTTTTTCCTCAGCAAAGGGCGGAGGGAGTGGACGTGGGGGAAGGGCAGGTGGGCATTTCTGGAGCAATACTGCCATCAAGAGGAACTGGCTTGGCAATCCCGCGCACCCTTCGCTGTGCTCGCCTGGGGAGGAGTGGCTTGGGACTGTCCTGGGGGACCAGGCAGGACTAGGGCAGGTGCTCGGACGGATCCGAGGTCTCTGGAGGTCCGAGAGAAGCAGGCTCCGCCGCGGGGTCGGGCGGTGGAAGCCCCAGAGAGAGGCGCCAGGACTAGCTGGACAGCCAGGACGCCGGGCCGTTCCCGGACAGGAAGCCATGGCTCGGGAGCCTGGTGGCGGCCATGATCTGGGCGGGACCAGCGGAGGCCTCCGCCAGGGAGCCTGGGCTCGGGGCCTTGGGCAGTTTGCCTGGTGCCCCTTCCCGTGGGAGCAACCGGGGTGACGGCCTAGCTGGGTCCTCGGCCCGGGAGGCTCCGTCGGCCACACTGCACGCCTGCGGCGTGAGGAGGGCCGACTGCCAGTGCTGAGTTCCGTGGCCATTGGCGCCGGTGCCCGCCGCTGCTGGCCGGCGCCGGGGCGTTCCTCCTTGCGTCCTAGGGAGGAAGGTGGGCCGCGGGGCATCCCGCGGGGCCCGTACCCAGACGGTTCTTGACGAGGTGGACGCAAGGCCAGGCCCGGCCCGGCCCGGCCCGGCCCGGCCAGGCCACCCTTAGACGCCGCGCACCCGCCTTGTTGAGACTTGCCACCCTGTCTTGTTGTGTCCATGTCCCCGAGGTTGTCTTGGAGGCGGGCCGTTCCCCGTGGTGCTCATTTCTGCCTGGGGGCCTTCCGGGGACCCCGCTTGTCTTTGGGGGTGCGCAGGCCCTTGCCCTGCGATCAGAGGCGCACCGACCGATGAGTTCGGTGGCAAAGCTTGAGAAATGGAGACTCTCTGGGCATCGGCTAAGGGGGCCCGGGGCCTTCCCAGGCCTGCTGGAGTCCGGGAAGCCGGGGGCACCCAGAAGGAAGGACCCGTCGGACTCTGCCTGGGGACAGCCTGCTCCGCGCCAGAAGGGTCCGCTGCTCAGGCAGCATCCCCGTGCCTCTCCTCCAGTGGGTCCCTCAGGTAGAATCGGGGCAGGCCCCACTGGACGTGCAGGGAGGAGGCTCGGAGGATGCATCCTTTGCAGGACCCGGTCTGGTACAGCAGCAGACGGAGCCATCTCCCGGGGCTTTCTGGCTTCTCCGAGGGTGTTCAGGAGTCTCCCAAGTGCACAGGGGCTCGTGCCCAAAGGGTGGAGGTCGGCACCGCTTCGCTCAATCCAGGAGTGGAGAAGGAAGCTAGAGGACCCTCTGGAGGTGGCAGGTTTAATGTCCTGCTTTTTTATTTATTTATTTATTTATTTATTTATTTATTTATTTATTTATTTTGTAATCAACTGAAAGAAGGCAGAAGGAGTCGATGGGCCTCTTAGGCCGGAAACCTTACAAGCATAGGACCAAGGCAGAAAAGGGCCAGAGGGTTCATGGTCCTCCGTTCCACCTGAATCCAGCTAGAGAGCGAGCCAGGGGGATAGGTGTGCCCCTCGTCGCCCGTGCGCTGAGGCACTGTCACGCAAAGAGACATTCACCTTCCACGTCAACGCACCTTTAAGGGCGAGAGCGGTCCGCCGTGCCCAAGAGGAACGGGATGACATTCAACTGGGACTTGCCTCACCTTGGCTTGGGGGACCTCGAGAGCGGTCCCGTGGGGGCGGTGTTACTCGTGGTGGTAGAAGTGGAGGGCGTGTCCGGGTACTTGAGTTCATGGGCATCTCTCCCGCCGCCTCTCAGCCTATCTGCACCATGTCTCACACGTTCAGTTGCAGCTCTTACCGTTTTGAAGGCGCACGTGGGCAAGAAGTCCTGGGCAGCACAAGAAAGTCAATCACGTTGAGACAGAGAGAGCAGGAGAGGAAGTGGGCCCCAGTAGAAGTGGGCGAGAGAGCGTTGGGTGGGAACGTGGCACGAGAGAGAGAAATTATGAGATTGAGAGAGAGAGAGAGAGAGAGAGAGAAAGAGAAAGAGAGAGAGAAAGAGAAAGAGACAGAGAAAAGAAACTATGTTGTTTAAAATGCCAGCGGAAAGTCCATGGGGGTGAAAGAGTCCGGCAATGGCCAGGGAGTTAGCAGCTTGGCGTAGTGTCTTCCCACTGTTTTGTCTGTCTTGAGAATAGCATTCAACGCGACTGTGTTCCCGCAGCAGACGTTAGGCCGCTGCCCACGCCTTGAGTGCCGGACGAGGTCAACATAGGCTTTCCGTCACAGAATATGTTTGGGCAGGAAGATCGGAACACTTGGGGCTGGGCCATCTACCGCTCCCCCACGGCACACACGAGTCGTCAGGGAAATGCCCGCCTCTGTGTGTGTTGTACGTGCAGCCTTCTGGGCAGAGCCGTGGAGAGTTGGACGTAGGCCAGGTGTGAGGAGGAGAGGTGTGTTTGGGGTGGCCACTGGCTCCCTTCCTGCGTGACGTAGGCTGGCGTGGGCTCTTCCCCCAGCCCCTTGCCGGTGCTGCCACGTGAGAAGGGCCCGGGTGCCGGTCCCGCTATTCCGGAATTGTGGGTTCACCTGAAGTTTGAGGCCAAACCCCCAGCGGTCAGTGGGACGCCAGTCGCCTTTGACCTCTTGGTCAAGCTGGCCTTGCCGTGACCCGTGAGAATGCCCAAGTGCCAATGTGTCCCGGGGGGCAGGGCCGGGGCTGGGATCCTCGTGTGTGCCCAGTCTCCTTCTCGTCCCTGCGGGTTCCACCATCCTCCCATCCTAACGCATCGTTAGGGATGCGGTTAGGTCGGGTCCATCCCCAGGGCGGTCCAAGGGGACCGCTTTCTGGTTTGTCAGGAAGGCAGGCTAGTAAGAAGGGTCCCGCCGAGTCCCATCTGCCAAGGACAGGGTCCCGCAGGTGGGCCAGGGCTGGCCCAAAGCGGCCGAGATGCTGATCCGCCATGTGCGGGGCGCTGTTGGCGTTTTTTCCTCAGCAAAGGGCGGAGGGAGTGGACGTGGGGGAAGGGCAGGTGGGCATTTCTGGAGCAATACTGCCATCAAGAGGAACTGGCTTGGCAATCCCGCGCACCCTTCGCTGTGCTCGCCTGGGGAGGAGTGGCTTGGGACTGTCCTGGGGGACCAGGCAGGACTAGGGCAGGTGCTCGGACGGATCCGAGGTCTCTGGAGGTCCGAGAGAAGCAGGCTCCGCCGCGGGGTCGGGCGGTGGAAGCCCCAGAGAGAGGCGCCAGGACTAGCTGGACAGCCAGGACGCCGGGCCGTTCCCGGACAGGAAGCCATGGCTCGGGAGCCTGGTGGCGGCCATGATCTGGGCGGGACCAGCGGAGGCCTCCGCCAGGGAGCCTGGGCTCGGGGCCTTGGGCAGTTTGCCTGGTGCCCCTTCCCGTGGGAGCAACCGGGGTGACGGCCTAGCTGGGTCCTCGGCCCGGGAGGCTCCGTCGGCCACACTGCACGCCTGCGGCGTGAGGAGGGCCGACTGCCAGTGCTGAGTTCCGTGGCCATTGGCGCCGGTGCCCGCCGCTGCTGGCCGGCGCCGGGGCGTTCCTCCTTGCGTCCTAGGGAGGAAGGTGGGCCGCGGGGCATCCCGCGGGGCCCGTACCCAGACGGTTCTTGACGAGGTGGACGCAAGGCCAGGCCCGGCCCGGCCCGGCCCGGCCCGGCCAGGCCACCCTTAGACGCCGCGCACCCGCCTTGTTGAGACTTGCCACCCTGTCTTGTTGTGTCCATGTCCCCGAGGTTGTCTTGGAGGCGGGCCGTTCCCCGTGGTGCTCATTTCTGCCTGGGGGCCTTCCGGGGACCCCGCTTGTCTTTGGGGGTGCGCAGGCCCTTGCCCTGCGATCAGAGGCGCACCGACCGATGAGTTCGGTGGCAAAGCTTGAGAAATGGAGACTCTCTGGGCATCGGCTAAGGGGGCCCGGGGCCTTCCCAGGCCTGCTGGAGTCCGGGAAGCCGGGGGCACCCAGAAGGAAGGACCCGTCGGACTCTGCCTGGGGACAGCCTGCTCTGCGCCAGAAGGGTCCGCTGCTCAGGCAGCATCCCCGTGCCTCTCCTCCAGTGGCTCCCTCAGGTAGAATCGGGGCAGGCCCCACTGGACGTGCAGGGAGGAGGCTCGGAGGATGCATCCTTTGCAGGACCCGGTCTGGTACAGCAGCAGACGGAGCCATCTCCCGGGGCTTTCTGGCTTCTCCGAGGGTGTTCGGGAGTCTCCCAAGTGCACAGGGGCTCGTGCCCAAAGGGTGGAGGTCGGCACCGCTTCGCTCAATCCAGGAGTGGAGAAGGAAGCTAGAGGACCCTCTGGAGGTGGCAGGTTTAATGTCCTGCTTTTTTATTTATTTATTTATTTATTTATTTATTTATTTATTTATTTATTTTGTAATCAACTGAAAGAAGGCAGAAGGAGTCGATGGGCCTCTTAGGCCGGAAACCTTACAAGCATAGGACCAAGGCAGAAAAGGTCCAGAGGGTTCATGGTCCTCCGTTCCACCTGAATCCAGCTAGAGAGCGAGCCAGGGGGATAGGTGTGCCCCTCGTCGCCCGTGCGCTGAGGCACTGTCACGCAAAGAGACATTCACCTTCCACGTCAACGCACCTTTAAGGGCGAGAGCGGTCCGCCGTGCCCAAGAGGAATGGGATGACATTCAACTGGGACTTGCCTCACCTTGGCTTGGGGGACCTCGAGAGCAGTCCCGTGGGGGCGGTGTTACTCGTGGTGGTAGAAGTGGAGGGCGTGTCCGGGTACTTGAGTTCATGGGCATCTCTCCCGCCGCCTCTCAGCCTATCTGCACCATGTCTCACACGTTCAGTTGCAGCTCTTACCGTTTTGAAGGCGCACGTGGGCAAGAAGTCCTGGGCAGCACAAGAAAGTCAATCACGTTGAGACAGAGAGAGCAGGAGAGGAAGTGGGCCCCAGTAGAAGTGGGCGAGAGAGCGTTGGGTGGGAACGTGGCACGAGAGAGAGAAATTATGAGATTGAGAGAGAGAGAGAGAGAGAGAGAGAGAAAGAGAAAGAGAGAGAGAAAGAGAAAGAGACAGAGAAAAGAAACTATGTTGTTTAAAATGCCAGCGGAAAGTCCATGGGGGTGAAAGAGTCCGGCAATGGCCAGGGAGTTAGCAGCTTGGCGTAGTGTCTTCCCACTGTTTTGTCTGTCTTGAGAATAGCATTCAACGCGACTGTGTTCCCGCAGCAGACGTTAGGCCGCTGCCCACGCCTTGAGTGCCGGACGAGGTCAACATAGGCTTTCCGTCACAGAATATGTTTGGGCAGGAAGATCGGAACACTTGGGGCTGGGCCATCTACCGCTCCCCCACGGCACACACGAGTCGTCAGGGAAATGCCCGCCTCTGTGTGTGTTGTACGTGCAGCCTTCTGGGCAGAGCCGTGGAGAGTTGGACGTAGGCCAGGTGTGAGGAGGAGAGGTGTGTTTGGGGTGGCCACTGGCTCCCTTCCTGCGTGACGTAGGCTGGCGTGGGCTCTTCCCCCAGCCCCTTGCCGGTGCTGCCACGTGAGAAGGGCCCGGGTGCCGGTCCCGCTATTCCGGAATTGTGGGTTCACCTGAAGTTTGAGGCCAAACCCCCAGCGGTCAGTGGGACGCCAGTCGCCTTTGACCTCTTGGTCAAGCTGGCCTTGCCGTGACCCGTGAGAATGCCCAAGTGCCAATGTGTCCCGGGGGGCAGGGCCGGGGCTGGGATCCTCGTGTGTGCCCAGTCTCCTTCTCGTCCCTGCGGGTTCCACCATCCTCCCATCCTAACGCATCGTTAGGGATGCGGTTAGGTCGGGTCCATCCCCAGGGCGGTCCAAGGGGACCGCTTTCTGGTTTGTCAGGAAGGCAGGCTAGTAAGAAGGGTCCCGCCGAGTCCCATCTGCCAAGGACAGGGTCCCGCAGGTGGGCCAGGGCTGGCCCAAAGCGGCCGAGATGCTGATCCGCCATGTGCGGGGCGCTGTTGGCGTTTTTTCCTCAGCAAAGGGCGGAGGGAGTGGACGTGGGGGAAGGGCAGGTGGGCATTTCTGGAGCAATACTGCCATCAAGAGGAACTGGCTTGGCAATCCCGCGCACCCTTCGCTGTGCTCGCCTGGGGAGGAGTGGCTTGGGACTGTCCTGGGGGACCAGGCAGGACTAGGGCAGGTGCTCGGACGGATCCGAGGTCTCTGGAGGTCCGAGAGAAGCAGGCTCCGCCGCGGGGTCGGGCGGTGGAAGCCCCAGAGAGAGGCGCCAGGACTAGCTGGACAGCCAGGACGCCGGGCCGTTCCCGGACAGGAAGCCATGGCTCGGGAGCCTGGTGGCGGCCCTGATCTGGGCGGGACCAGCGGAGGCCTCCGCCAGGGAGCCTGGGCTCGGGGCCTTGGGCAGTTTGCCTGGTGCCCCTTCCCGTGGGAGCAACCGGGGTGACGGCCTAGCTGGGTCCTCGGCCCGGGAGGCTCCGTCGGCCACACTGCACGCCTGCGGCGTGAGGAGGGCCGACTGCCAGTGCTGAGTTCCGTGGCCATTGGCGCCGGTGCCCGCCGCTGCTGGCCGGCGCCGGGGCGTTCCTCCTTGCGTCCTAGGGAGGAAGGTGGGCCGCGGGGCATCCCGCGGGGCCCGTACCCAGACGGTTCTTGACGAGGTGGACGCAAGGCCAGGCCCGGCCCGGCCCGGCCCGGCCCGGCCAGGCCACCCTTAGACGCCGCGCACCCGCCTTGTTGAGACTTGCCACCCTGTCTTGTTGTGTCCATGTCCCCGAGGTTGTCTTGGAGGCGGGCCGTTCCCCGTGGTGCTCATTTCTGCCTGGGGGCCTTCCGGGGACCCCGCTTGTCTTTGGGGGTGCGCAGGCCCTTGCCCTGCGATCAGAGGCGCACCGACCGATGAGTTCGGTGGCAAAGCTTGAGAAATGGAGACTCTCTGGGCATCGGCTAAGGGGGCCCGGGGCCTTCCCAGGCCTGCTGGAGTCCGGGAAGCCGGGGGCACCCAGAAGGAAGGACCCGTCGGACTCTGCCTGGGGACAGCCTGCTCCGCGCCAGAAGGGTCCGCTGCTCAGGCAGCATCCCCGTGCCTCTCCTCCAGTGGGTCCCTCAGGTAGAATCGGGGCAGGCCCCACTGGACGTGCAGGGAGGAGGCTCGGAGGATGCATCCTTTGCAGGACCCGGTCTGGTACAGCAGCAGACGGAGCCATCTCCCGGGGCTTTCTGGCTTCTCCGAGGGTGTTCAGGAGTCTCCCAAGTGCACAGGGGCTCGTGCCCAAAGGGTGGAGGTCGGCACCGCTTCGCTCAATCCAGGAGTGGAGAAGGAAGCTAGAGGACCCTCTGGAGGTGGCAGGTTTAATGTCCTGCTTTTTTATTTATTTATTTATTTATTTATTTATTTATTTATTTTGTAATCAACTGAAAGAAGGCAGAAGGAGTCGATGGGCCTCTTAGGCCGGAAACCTTACAAGCATAGGACCAAGGCAGAAAAGGTCCAGAGGGTTCATGGTCCTCCGTTCCACCTGAATCCAGCTAGAGAGCGAGCCAGGGGGATAGGTGTGCCCCTCGTCGCCCGTGCGCTGAGGCACTGTCACGCAAAGAGACATTCACCTTCCACGTCAACGCACCTTTAAGGGCGAGAGCGGTCCGCCGTGCCCAAGAGGAACGGGATGACATTCAACTGGGACTTGCCTCACCTTGGCTTGGGGGACCTCGAGAGCGGTCCCGTGGGGGCGGTGTTACTCGTGGTGGTAGAAGTGGAGGGCGTGTCCGGGTACTTGAGTTCATGGGCATCTCTCCCGCCGCCTCTCAGCCTATCTGCACCATGTCTCACACGTTCAGTTGCAGCTCTTACCGTTTTGAAGGCGCACGTGGGCAAGAAGTCCTGGGCAGCACAAGAAAGTCAATCACGTTGAGACAGAGAGAGCAGGAGAGGAAGTGGGCCCCAGTAGAAGTGGGCGAGAGAGCGTTGGGTGGGAACGTGGCACGAGAGAGAGAAATTATGAGATTGAGAGAGAGAGAGAGAGAGAGAGAGAGAGAGAAAGAGAAAGAGAGAGAGAAAGAGAAAGAGACAGAGAAAAGAAACTATGTTGTTTAAAATGCCAGCGGAAAGTCCATGGGGGTGAAAGAGTCCGGCAATGGCCAGGGAGTTAGCAGCTTGGCGTAGTGTCTTCCCACTGTTTTGTCTGTCTTGAGAATAGCATTCAACGCGACTGTGTTCCCGCAGCAGACGTTAGGCCGCTGCCCACGCCTTGAGTGCCGGACGAGGTCAACATAGGCTTTCCGTCACAGAATATGTTTGGGCAGGAAGATCGGAACACTTGGGGCTGGGCCATCTACCGCTCCCCCACGGCACACACGAGTCGTCAGGGAAATGCCCGCCTCTGTGTGTGTTGTACGTGCAGCCTTCTGGGCAGAGCCGTGGAGAGTTGGACGTAGGCCAGGTGTGAGGAGGAGAGGTGTGTTTGGGGTGGCCACTGGCTCCCTTCCTGCGTGACGTAGGCTGGCGTGGGCTCTTCCCCCAGCCCCTTGCCGGTGCTGCCACGTGAGAAGGGCCCGGGTGCCGGTCCCGCTATTCCGGAATTGTGGGTTCACCTGAAGTTTGAGGCCAAACCCCCAGCGGTCAGTGGGACGCCAGTCGCCTTTGACCTCTTGGTCAAGCTGGCCTTGCCGTGACCCGTGAGAATGCCCAAGTGCCAATGTGTCCCGGGGGGCAGGGCCGGGGCTGGGATCCTCGTGTGTGCCCAGTCTCCTTCTCGTCCCTGCGGGTTCCACCATCCTCCCATCCTAACGCATCGTTAGGGATGCGGTTAGGTCGGGTCCATCCCCAGGGCGGTCCAAGGGGACCGCTTTCTGGTTTGTCAGGAAGGCAGGCTAGTAAGAAGGGTCCCGCCGAGTCCCATCTGCCAAGGACAGGGTCCCGCAGGTGGGCCAGGGCTGGCCCAAAGCGGCCGAGATGCTGATCCGCCATGTGCGGGGCGCTGTTGGCGTTTTTTCCTCAGCAAAGGGCGGAGGGAGTGGACGTGGGGGAAGGGCAGGTGGGCATTTCTGGAGCAATACTGCCATCAAGAGGAACTGGCTTGGCAATCCCGCGCACCCTTCGCTGTGCTCGCCTGGGGAGGAGTGGCTTGGGACTGTCCTGGGGGACCAGGCAGGACTAGGGCAGGTGCTCGGACGGATCCGAGGTCTCTGGAGGTCCGAGAGAAGCAGGCTCCGCCGCGGGGTCGGGCGGTGGAAGCCCCAGAGAGAGGCGCCAGGACTAGCTGGACAGCCAGGACGCCGGGCCGTTCCCGGACAGGAAGCCATGGCTCGGGAGCCTGGTGGCGGCCATGATCTGGGCGGGACCAGCGGAGGCCTCCGCCAGGGAGCCTGGGCTCGGGGCCTTGGGCAGTTTGCCTGGTGCCCCTTCCCGTGGGAGCAACCGGGGTGACGGCCTAGCTGGGTCCTCGGCCCGGGAGGCTCCGTCGGCCACACTGCACGCCTGCGGCGTGAGGAGGGCCGACTGCCAGTGCTGAGTTCCGTGGCCATTGGCGCCGGTGCCCGCCGCTGCTGGCCGGCGCCGGGGCGTTCCTCCTTGCGTCCTAGGGAGGAAGGTGGGCCGCGGGGCATCCCGCGGGGCCCGTACCCAGACGGTTCTTGACGAGGTGGACGCAAGGCCAGGCCCGGCCCGGCCCGGCCCGGCCCGGCCAGGCCACCCTTAGACGCCGCGCACCCGCCTTGTTGAGACTTGCCACCCTGTCTTGTTGTGTCCATGTCCCCGAGGTTGTCTTGGAGGCGGGCCGTTCCCCGTGGTGCTCATTTCTGCCTGGGGGCCTTCCGGGGACCCCGCTTGTCTTTGGGGGTGCGCAGGCCCTTGCCCTGCGATCAGAGGCGCACCGACCGATGAGTTCGGTGGCAAAGCTTGAGAAATGGAGACTCTCTGGGCATCGGCTAAGGGGGCCTGGGGCCTTCCCAGGCCTGCTGGAGTCCGGGAAGCCGGGGGCACCCAGAAGGAAGGACCCGTCGGACTCTGCCTGGGGACAGCCTGCTCCGCGCCAGAAGGGTCCGCTGCTCAGGCAGCATCCCCGTGCCTCTCCTCCAGTGGCTCCCTCAGGTAGAATCGGGGCAGGCCCCACTGGACGTGCAGGGAGGAGGCTCGGAGGATGCATCCTTTGCAGGACCCGGTCTGGTACAGCAGCAGACGGAGCCATCTCCCGGGGCTTTCTGGCTTCTCCGAGGGTGTTCAGGAGTCTCCCAAGTGCACAGGGGCTCGTGCCCAAAGGGTGGAGGTCGGCACCGCTTCGCTCAATCCAGGAGTGGAGAAGGAAGCTAGAGGACCCTCTGGAGGTGGCAGGTTTAATGTCCTGCTTTTTTATTTATTTATTTATTTATTTATTTATTTATTTATTTATTTATTTTGTAATCCACTGAAAGAAGGCAGAAGGAGTCGATGGGCCTCTTAGGCCGGAAACCTTACAAGCATAGGACCAAGGCAGAAAAGGTCCAGAGGGTTCATGGTCCTCCGTTCCACCTGAATCCAGCTAGAGAGCGAGCCAGGGGGATAGGTGTGCCCCTCGTCGCCCGTGCGCTGAGGCACTGTCACGCAAAGAGACATTCACCTTCCACGTCAACGCACCTTTAAGGGCGAGAGCGGTCCGCCGTGCCCAAGAGGAACGGGATGACATTCAACTGGGACTTGCCTCACCTTGGCTTGGGGGACCTCGAGAGCGGTCCCGTGGGGGCGGTGTTACTCGTGGTGGTAGAAGTGGAGGGCGTGTCCGGGTACTTGAGTTCATGGGCATCTCTCCCGCCGCCTCTCAGCCTATCTGCACCATGTCTCACACGTTCAGTTGCAGCTCTTACCGTTTTGAAGGCGCACGTGGGCAAGAAGTCCTGGGCAGCACAAGAAAGTCAATCACGTTGAGACAGAGAGAGCAGGAGAGGAAGTGGGCCCCAGTAGAAGTGGGCGAGAGAGCGTTGGGTGGGAACGTGGCACGAGAGAGAGAAATTATGAGATTGAGAGAGAGAGAGAGAGAGAGAGAGAGAGAGAGAGAAAGAGAAAGAGAGAGAGAAAGAGAAAGAGACAGAGAAAAGAAACTATGTTGTTTAAAATGCCAGCGGAAAGTCCATGGGGGTGAAAGAGTCCGGCAATGGCCAGGGAGTTAGCAGCTTGGCGTAGTGTCTTCCCACTGTTTTGTCTGTCTTGAGAATAGCATTCAACGCGACTGTGTTCCCGCAGCAGACGTTAGGCCGCTGCCCACGCCTTGAGTGCCGGACGAGGTCAACATAGGCTTTCCGTCACAGAATATGTTTGGGCAGGAAGATCGGAACACTTGGGGCTGGGCCATCTTCCGCTCCCCCACGGCACACACGAGTCGTCAGGGAAATGCCCGCCTCTGTGTGTGTTGTACGTGCAGCCTTCTGGGCAGAGCCGTGGAGAGTTGGACGTAGGCCAGGTGTGAGGAGGAGAGGTGTGTTTGGGGTGGCCACTGGCTCCCTTCCTGCGTGACGTAGGCTGGCGTGGGCTCTTCCCCCAGCCCCTTGCCGGTGCTGCCACGTGAGAAGGGCCCGGGTGCCGGTCCCGCTATTCCGGAATTGTGGGTTCACCTGAAGTTTGAGGCCAAACCCCCAGCGGTCAGTGGGACGCCAGTCGCCTTTGACCTCTTGGTCAAGCTGGCCTTGCCGTGACCCGTGAGAATGCCCAAGTGCCAATGTGTCCCGGGGGGCAGGGCCGGGGCTGGGATCCTCGTGTGTGCCCAGTCTCCTTCTCGTCCCTGCGGGTTCCACCATCCTCCCATCCTAACGCATCGTTAGGGATGCGGTTAGGTCGGGTCCATCCCCAGGGCGGTCCAAGGGGACCGCTTTCTGGTTTGTCAGGAAGGCAGGCTAGTAAGAAGGGTCCCGCCGAGTCCCATCTGCCAAGGACAGGGTCCCGCAGGTGGGCCAGGGCTGGCCCAAAGCGGCCGAGATGCTGATCCGCCATGTGCGGGGCGCTGTTGGCGTTTTTTCCTCAGCAAAGGGCGGAGGGAGTGGACGTGGGGGAAGGGCAGGTGGGCATTTCTGGAGCAATACTGCCATCAAGAGGAACTGGCTTGGCAATCCCGCGCACCCTTCGCTGTGCTCGCCTGGGGAGGAGTGGCTTGGGACTGTCCTGGGGGACCAGGCAGGACTAGGGCAGGTGCTCGGACGGATCCGAGGTCTCTGGAGGTCCGAGAGAAGCAGGCTCCGCCGCGGGGTCGGGCGGTGGAAGCCCCAGAGAGAGGCGCCAGGACTAGCTGGACAGCCAGGACGCCGGGCCGTTCCCGGACAGGAAGCCATGGCTCGGGAGCCTGGTGGCGGCCATGATCTGGGCGGGACCAGCGGAGGCCTCCGCCAGGGAGCCTGGGCTCGGGGCCTTGGGCAGTTTGCCTGGTGCCCCTTCCCGTGGGAGCAACCGGGGTGACGGCCTAGCTGGGTCCTCGGCCCGGGAGGCTCCGTCGGCCACACTGCACGCCTGCGGCGTGAGGAGGGCCGACTGCCAGTGCTGAGTTCCGTGGCCATTGGCGCCGGTGCCCGCCGCTGCTGGCCGGCGCCGGGGCGTTCCTCCTTGCGTCCTAGGGAGGAAGGTGGGCCGCGGGGCATCCCGCGGGGCCCGTACCCAGACGGTTCTTGACGAGGTGGACGCAAGGCCAGGCCCGGCCCGGCCCGGCCCGGCCCGGCCAGGCCACCCTTAGACGCCGCGCACCCGCCTTGTTGAGACTTGCCACCCTGTCTTGTTGTGTCCATGTCCCCGAGGTTGTCTTGGAGGCGGGCCGTTCCCCGTGGTGCTCATTTCTGCCTGGGGGCCTTCCGGGGACCCCGCTTGTCTTTGGGGGTGCGCAGGCCCTTGCCCTGCGATCAGAGGCGCACCGACCGATGAGTTCGGTGGCAAAGCTTGAGAAATGGAGACTCTCTGGGCATCGGCTAAGGGGGCCCGGGGCCTTCCCAGGCCTGCTGGAGTCCGGGAAGCCGGGGGCACCCAGAAGGAAGGACCCGTCGGACTCTGCCTGGGGACAGCCTGCTCCGCGCCAGAAGGGTCCGCTGCTCAGGCAGCATCCCCGTGCCTCTCCTCCAGTGGGTCCCTCAGGTAGAATCGGGGCAGGCCCCACTGGACGTGCAGGGAGGAGGCTCGGAGGATGCATCCTTTGCAGGACCCGGTCTGGTACAGCAGCAGACGGAGCCATCTCCCGGGGCTTTCTGGCTTCTCCGAGGGTGTTCAGGAGTCTCCCAAGTGCACAGGGGCTCGTGCCCAAAGGGTGGAGGTCGGCACCGCTTCGCTCAATCCAGGAGTGGAGAAGGAAGCTAGAGGACCCTCTGGAGGTGGCAGGTTTAATGTCCTGCTTTTTTATTTATTTATTTATTTATTTATTTATTTATTTATTTATTTATTTTGTAATCAACTGAAAGAAGGCAGAAGGAGTCGATGGGCCTCTTAGGCCGGAAACCTTACAAGCATAGGACCAAGGCAGAAAAGGGCCAGAGGGTTCATGGTCCTCCGTTCCACCTGAATCCAGCTAGAGAGCGAGCCAGGGGGATAGGTGTGCCCCTCGTCGCCCGTGCGCTGAGGCACTGTCACGCAAAGAGACATTCACCTTCCACGTCAACGCACCTTTAAGGGCGAGAGCGGTCCGCCGTGCCCAAGAGGAACGGGATGACATTCAACTGGGACTTGCCTCACCTTGGCTTGGGGGACCTCGAGAGCGGTCCCGTGGGGGCGGTGTTACTCGTGGTGGTAGAAGTGGAGGGCGTGTCCGGGTACTTGAGTTCATGGGCATCTCTCCCGCCGCCTCTCAGCCTATCTGCACCATGTCTCACACGTTCAGTTGCAGCTCTTACCGTTTTGAAGGCGCACGTGGGCAAGAAGTCCTGGGCAGCACAAGAAAGTCAATCACGTTGAGACAGAGAGAGCAGGAGAGGAAGTGGGCCCCAGTAGAAGTGGGCGAGAGAGCGTTGGGTGGGAACGTGGCACGAGAGAGAGAAATTATGAGATTGAGAGAGAGAGAGAGAGAGAGAGAGAGAGAGAGAGAAAGAGAAAGAGAGAGAGAAAGAGAAAGAGACAGAGAAAAGAAACTATGTTGTTTAAAATGCCAGCGGAAAGTCCATGGGGGTGAAAGAGTCCGGCAATGGCCAGGGAGTTAGCAGCTTGGCGTAGTGTCTTCCCACTGTTTTGTCTGTCTTGAGAATAGCATTCAACGCGACTGTGTTCCCGCAGCAGACGTTAGGCCGCTGCCCACGCCTTGAGTGCCGGACGAGGTCAACATAGGCTTTCCGTCACAGAATATGTTTGGGCAGGAAGATCGGAACACTTGGGGCTGGGCCATCTACCGCTCCCCCACGGCACACACGAGTCGTCAGGGAAATGCCCGCCTCTGTGTGTGTTGTACGTGCAGCCTTCTGGGCAGAGCCGTGGAGAGTTGGACGTAGGCCAGGTGTGAGGAGGAGAGGTGTGTTTGGGGTGGCCACTGGCTCCCTTCCTGCGTGACGTAGGCTGGCGTGGGCTCTTCCCCCAGCCCCTTGCCGGTGCTGCCACGTGAGAAGGGCCCGGGTGCCGGTCCCGCTATTCCGGAATTGTGGGTTCACCTGAAGTTTGAGGCCAAACCCCCAGCGGTCAGTGGGACGCCAGTCGCCTTTGACCTCTTGGTCAAGCTGGCCTTGCCGTGACCCGTGAGAATGCCCAAGTGCCAATGTGTCCCGGGGGGCAGGGCCGGGGCTGGGATCCTCGTGTGTGCCCAGTCTCCTTCTCGTCCCTGCGGGTTCCACCATCCTCCCATCCTAACGCATCGTTAGGGATGCGGTTAGGTCGGGTCCATCCCCAGGGCGGTCCAAGGGGACCGCTTTCTGGTTTGTCAGGAAGGCAGGCTAGTAAGAAGGGTCCCGCCGAGTCCCATCTGCCAAGGACAGGGTCCCGCAGGTGGGCCAGGGCTGGCCCAAAGCGGCCGAGATGCTGATCCGCCATGTGCGGGGCGCTGTTGGCGTTTTTTCCTCAGCAAAGGGCGGAGGGAGTGGACGTGGGGGAAGGGCAGGTGGGCATTTCTGGAGCAATACTGCCATCAAGAGGAACTGGCTTGGCAATCCCGCGCACCCTTCGCTGTGCTCGCCTGGGGAGGAGTGGCTTGGGACTGTCCTGGGGGACCAGGCAGGACTAGGGCAGGTGCTCGGACGGATCCGAGGTCTCTGGAGGTCCGAGAGAAGCAGGCTCCGCCGCGGGGTCGGGCGGTGGAAGCCCCAGAGAGAGGCGCCAGGACTAGCTGGACAGCCAGGACGCCGGGCCGTTCCCGGACAGGAAGCCATGGCTCGGGAGCCTGGTGGCGGCCATGATCTGGGCGGGACCAGCGGAGGCCTCCGCCAGGGAGCCTGGGCTCGGGGCCTTGGGCAGTTTGCCTGGTGCCCCTTCCCGTGGGAGCAACCGGGGTGACGGCCTAGCTGGGTCCTCGGCCCGGGAGGCTCCGTCGGCCACACTGCACGCCTGCGGCGTGAGGAGGGCCGACTGCCAGTGCTGAGTTCCGTGGCCATTGGCGCCGGTGCCCGCCGCTGCTGGCCGGCGCCGGGGCGTTCCTCCTTGCGTCCTAGGGAGGAAGGTGGGCCGCGGGGCATCCCGCGGGGCCCGTACCCAGACGGTTCTTGACGAGGTGGACGCAAGGCCAGGCCCGGCCCGGCCCGGCCCGGCCCGGCCAGGCCACCCTTAGACGCCGCGCACCCGCCTTGTTGAGACTTGCCACCCTGTCTTGTTGTGTCCATGTCCCCGAGGTTGTCTTGGAGGCGGGCCGTTCCCCGTGGTGCTCATTTCTGCCTGGGGGCCTTCCGGGGACCCCGCTTGTCTTTGGGGGTGCGCAGGCCCTTGCCCTGCGATCAGAGGCGCACCGACCGATGAGTTCGGTGGCAAAGCTTGAGAAATGGAGACTCTCTGGGCATCGGCTAAGGGGGCCCGGGGCCTTCCCAGGCCTGCTGGAGTCCGGGAAGCCGGGGGCACCCAGAAGGAAGGACCCGTCGGACTCTGCCTGGGGACAGCCTGCTCCGCGCCAGAAGGGTCCGCTGCTCAGGCAGCATCCCCGTGCCTCTCCTCCAGTGGGTCCCTCAGGTAGAATCGGGGCAGGCCCCACTGGACGTGCAGGGAGGAGGCTCGGAGGATGCATCCTTTGCAGGACCCGGTCTGGTACAGCAGCAGACGGAGCCATCTCCCGGGGCTTTCTGGCTTCTCCGAGGGTGTTCAGGAGTCTCCCAAGTGCACAGGGGCTCGTGCCCAAAGGGTGGAGGTCGGCACCGCTTCGCTCAATCCAGGAGTGGAGAAGGAAGCTAGAGGACCCTCTGGAGGTGGCAGGTTTAATGTCCTGCTTTTTTATTTATTTATTTATTTATTTATTTATTTATTTATTTATTTTGTAATCAACTGAAAGAAGGCAGAAGGAGTCGATGGGCCTCTTAGGCCGGAAACCTTACAAGCATAGGACCAAGGCAGAAAAGGTCCAGAGGGTTCATGGTCCTCCGTTCCACCTGAATCCAGCTAGAGAGCGAGCCAGGGGGATAGGTGTGCCCCTCGTCGCCCGTGCGCTGAGGCACTGTCACGCAAAGAGACATTCACCTTCCACGTCAACGCACCTTTAAGGGCGAGAGCGGTCCGCCGTGCCCAAGAGGAACGGGATGACATTCAACTGGGACTTGCCTCACCTTGGCTTGGGGGACCTCGAGAGCAGTCCCGTGGGGGCGGTGTTACTCGTGGTGGTAGAAGTGGAGGGCGTGTCCGGGTACTTGAGTTCATGGGCATCTCTCCCGCCGCCTCTCAGCCTATCTGCACCATGTCTCACACGTTCAGTTGCAGCTCTTACCGTTTTGAAGGCGCACGTGGGCAAGAAGTCCTGGGCAGCACAAGAAAGTCAATCACGTTGAGACAGAGAGAGCAGGAGAGGAAGTGGGCCCCAGTAGAAGTGGGCGAGAGAGCGTTGGGTGGGAACGTGGCACGAGAGAGAGAAATTATGAGATTGAGAGAGAGAGAGAGAGAGAGAGAGAGAGAGAAAGAGAAAGAGAGAGAGAAAGAGAAAGAGACAGAGAAAAGAAACTATGTTGTTTAAAATGCCAGCGGAAAGTCCATGGGGGTGAAAGAGTCCGGCAATGGCCAGGGAGTTAGCAGCTTGGCGTAGTGTCTTCCCACTGTTTTGTCTGTCTTGAGAATAGCATTCAACGCGACTGTGTTCCCGCAGCAGACGTTAGGCCGCTGCCCACGCCTTGAGTGCCGGACGAGGTCAACATAGGCTTTCCGTCACAGAATATGTTTGGGCAGGAAGATCGGAACACTTGGGGCTGGGCCATCTACCGCTCCCCCACGGCACACACGAGTCGTCAGGGAAATGCCCGCCTCTGTGTGTGTTGTACGTGCAGCCTTCTGGGCAGAGCCGTGGAGAGTTGGACGTAGGCCAGGTGTGAGGAGGAGAGGTGTGTTTGGGGTGGCCACTGGCTCCCTTCCTGCGTGACGTAGGCTGGCGTGGGCTCTTCCCCCAGCCCCTTGCCGGTGCTGCCACGTGAGAAGGGCCCGGGTGCCGGTCCCGCTATTCCGGAATTGTGGGTTCACCTGAAGTTTGAGGCCAAACCCCCAGCGGTCAGTGGGACGCCAGTCGCCTTTGACCTCTTGGTCAAGCTGGCCTTGCCGTGACCCGTGAGAATGCCCAAGTGCCAATGTGTCCCGGGGGGCAGGGCCGGGGCTGGGATCCTCGTGTGTGCCCAGTCTCCTTCTCGTCCCTGCGGGTTCCACCATCCTCCCATCCTAACGCATCGTTAGGGATGCGGTTAGGTCGGGTCCATCCCCAGGGCGGTCCAAGGGGACCGCTTTCTGGTTTGTCAGGAAGGCAGGCTAGTAAGAAGGGTCCCGCCGAGTCCCATCTGCCAAGGACAGGGTCCCGCAGGTGGGCCAGGGCTGGCCCAAAGCGGCCGAGATGCTGATCCGCCATGTGCGGGGCGCTGTTGGCGTTTTTTCCTCAGCAAAGGGCGGAGGGAGTGGACGTGGGGGAAGGGCAGGTGGGCATTTCTGGAGCAATACTGCCATCAAGAGGAACTGGCTTGGCAATCCCGCGCACCCTTCGCTGTGCTCGCCTGGGGAGGAGTGGCTTGGGACTGTCCTGGGGGACCAGGCAGGACTAGGGCAGGTGCTCGGACGGATCCGAGGTCTCTGGAGGTCCGAGAGAAGCAGGCTCCGCCGCGGGGTCGGGCGGTGGAAGCCCCAGAGAGAGGCGCCAGGACTAGCTGGACAGCCAGGACGCCGGGCCGTTCCCGGACAGGAAGCCATGGCTCGGGAGCCTGGTGGCGGCCATGATCTGGGCGGGACCAGCGGAGGCCTCCGCCAGGGAGCCTGGGCTCGGGGCCTTGGGCAGTTTGCCTGGTGCCCCTTCCCGTGGGAGCAACCGGGGTGACGGCCTAGCTGGGTCCTCGGCCCGGGAGGCTCCGTCGGCCACACTGCACGCCTGCGGCGTGAGGAGGGCCGACTGCCAGTGCTGAGTTCCGTGGCCATTGGCGCCGGTGCCCGCCGCTGCTGGCCGGCGCCGGGGCGTTCCTCCTTGCGTCCTAGGGAGGAAGGTGGGCCGCGGGGCATCCCGCGGGGCCCGTACCCAGACGGTTCTTGACGAGGTGGACGCAAGGCCAGGCCCGGCCCGGCCCGGCCCGGCCCGGCCAGGCCACCCTTAGACGCCGCGCACCCGCCTTGTTGAGACTTGCCACCCTGTCTTGTTGTGTCCATGTCCCCGAGGTTGTCTTGGAGGCGGGCCGTTCCCCGTGGTGCTCATTTCTGCCTGGGGGCCTTCCGGGGACCCCGCTTGTCTTTGGGGGTGCGCAGGCCCTTGCCCTGCGATCAGAGGCGCACCGACCGATGAGTTCGGTGGCAAAGCTTGAGAAATGGAGACTCTCTGGGCATCGGCTAAGGGGGCCCGGGGCCTTCCCAGGCCTGCTGGAGTCCGGGAAGCCGGGGGCACCCAGAAGGAAGGACCCGTCGGACTCTGCCTGGGGACAGCCTGCTCCGCGCCAGAAGGGTCCGCTGCTCAGGCAGCATCCCCGTGCCTCTCCTCCAGTGGGTCCCTCAGGTAGAATCGGGGCAGGCCCCACTGGACGTGCAGGGAGGAGGCTCGGAGGATGCATCCTTTGCAGGACCCGGTCTGGTACAGCAGCAGACGGAGCCATCTCCCGGGGCTTTCTGGCTTCTCCGAGGGTGTTCAGGAGTCTCCCAAGTGCACAGGGGCTCGTGCCCAAAGGGTGGAGGTCGGCACCGCTTCGCTCAATCCAGGAGTGGAGAAGGAAGCTAGAGGACCCTCTGGAGGTGGCAGGTTTAATGTCCTGCTTTTTTATTTATTTATTTATTTATTTATTTATTTATTTTGTAATCAACTGAAAGAAGGCAGAAGGAGTCGATGGGCCTCTTAGGCCGGAAACCTTACAAGCATAGGACCAAGGCAGAAAAGGTCCAGAGGGTTCATGGTCCTCCGTTCCACCTGAATCCAGCTAGAGAGCGAGCCAGGGGGATAGGTGTGCCCCTCGTCGCCCGTGCGCTGAGGCACTGTCACGCAAAGAGACATTCACCTTCCACGTCAACGCACCTTTAAGGGCGAGAGCGGTCCGCCGTGCCCAAGAGGAACGGGATGACATTCAACTGGGACTTGCCTCACCTTGGCTTGGGGGACCTCGAGAGCGGTCCCGTGGGGGCGGTGTTACTCGTGGTGGTAGAAGTGGAGGGCGTGTCCGGGTACTTGAGTTCATGGGCATCTCTCCCGCCGCCTCTCAGCCTATCTGCACCATGTCTCACACGTTCAGTTGCAGCTCTTACCGTTTTGAAGGCGCACGTGGGCAAGAAGTCCTGGGCAGCACAAGAAAGTCAATCACGTTGAGACAGAGAGAGCAGGAGAGGAAGTGGGCCCCAGTAGAAGTGGGCGAGAGAGCGTTGGGTGGGAACGTGGCACGAGAGAGAGAAATTATGAGATTGAGAGAGAGAGAGAGAGAGAGAGAGAGAGAGAGAGAGAGAGAAAGAGAAAGAGAGAGAGAAAGAGAAAGAGACAGAGAAAAGAAACTATGTTGTTTAAAATGCCAGCGGAAAGTCCATGGGGGTGAAAGAGTCCGGCAATGGCCAGGGAGTTAGCAGCTTGGCGTAGTGTCTTCCCACTGTTTTGTCTGTCTTGAGAATAGCATTCAACGCGACTGTGTTCCCGCAGCAGACGTTAGGCCGCTGCCCACGCCTTGAGTGCCGGACGAGGTCAACATAGGCTTTCCGTCACAGAATATGTTTGGGCAGGAAGATCGGAACACTTGGGGCTGGGCCATCTACCGCTCCCCCACGGCACACACGAGTCGTCAGGGAAATGCCCGCCTCTGTGTGTGTTGTACGTGCAGCCTTCTGGGCAGAGCCGTGGAGAGTTGGACGTAGGCCAGGTGTGAGGAGGAGAGGTGTGTTTGGGGTGGCCACTGGCTCCCTTCCTGCGTGACGTAGGCTGGCGTGGGCTCTTCCCCCAGCCCCTTGCCGGTGCTGCCACGTGAGAAGGGCCCGGGTGCCGGTCCCGCTATTCCGGAATTGTGGGTTCACCTGAAGTTTGAGGCCAAACCCCCAGCGGTCAGTGGGACGCCAGTCGCCTTTGACCTCTTGGTCAAGCTGGCCTTGCCGTGACCCGTGAGAATGCCCAAGTGCCAATGTGTCCCGGGGGGCAGGGCCGGGGCTGGGATCCTCGTGTGTGCCCAGTCTCCTTCTCGTCCCTGCGGGTTCCACCATCCTCCCATCCTAACGCATCGTTAGGGATGCGGTTAGGTCGGGTCCATCCCCAGGGCGGTCCAAGGGGACCGCTTTCTGGTTTGTCAGGAAGGCAGGCTAGTAAGAAGGGTCCCGCCGAGTCCCATCTGCCAAGGACAGGGTCCCGCAGGTGGGCCAGGGCTGGCCCAAAGCGGCCGAGATGCTGATCCGCCATGTGCGGGGCGCTGTTGGCGTTTTTTCCTCAGCAAAGGGCGGAGGGAGTGGACGTGGGGGAAGGGCAGGTGGGCATTTCTGGAGCAATACTGCCATCAAGAGGAACTGGCTTGGCAATCCCGCGCACCCTTCGCTGTGCTCGCCTGGGGAGGAGTGGCTTGGGACTGTCCTGGGGGACCAGGCAGGACTAGGGCAGGTGCTCGGACGGATCCGAGGTCTCTGGAGGTCCGAGAGAAGCAGGCTCCGCCGCGGGGTCGGGCGGTGGAAGCCCCAGAGAGAGGCGCCAGGACTAGCTGGACAGCCAGGACGCCGGGCCGTTCCCGGACAGGAAGCCATGGCTCGGGAGCCTGGTGGCGGCCATGATCTGGGCGGGACCAGCGGAGGCCTCCGCCAGGGAGCCTGGGCTCGGGGCCTTGGGCAGTTTGCCTGGTGCCCCTTCCCGTGGGAGCAACCGGGGTGACGGCCTAGCTGGGTCCTCGGCCCGGGAGGCTCCGTCGGCCACACTGCACGCCTGCGGCGTGAGGAGGGCCGACTGCCAGTGCTGAGTTCCGTGGCCATTGGCGCCGGTGCCCGCCGCTGCTGGCCGGCGCCGGGGCGTTCCTCCTTGCGTCCTAGGGAGGAAGGTGGGCCGCGGGGCATCCCGCGGGGCCCGTACCCAGACGGTTCTTGACGAGGTGGACGCAAGGCCAGGCCCGGCCCGGCCCGGCCCGGCCCGGCCAGGCCACCCTTAGACGCCGCGCACCCGCCTTGTTGAGACTTGCCACCCTGTCTTGTTGTGTCCATGTCCCCGAGGTTGTCTTGGAGGCGGGCCGTTCCCCGTGGTGCTCATTTCTGCCTGGGGGCCTTCCGGGGACCCCGCTTGTCTTTGGGGGTGCGCAGGCCCTTGCCCTGCGATCAGAGGCGCACCGACCGATGAGTTCGGTGGCAAAGCTTGAGAAATGGAGACTCTCTGGGCATCGGCTAAGGGGGCCCGGGGCCTTCCCAGGCCTGCTGGAGTCCGGGAAGCCGGGGGCACCCAGAAGGAAGGACCCGTCGGACTCTGCCTGGGGACAGCCTGCTCCGCGCCAGAAGGGTCCGCTGCTCAGGCAGCATCCCCGTGCCTCTCCTCCAGTGGGTCCCTCAGGTAGAATCGGGGCAGGCCCCACTGGACGTGCAGGGAGGAGGCTCGGAGGATGCATCCTTTGCAGGACCCGGTCTGGTACAGCAGCAGACGGAGCCATCTCCCGGGGCTTTCTGGCTTCTCCGAGGGTGTTCAGGAGTCTCCCAAGTGCACAGGGGCTCGTGCCCAAAGGGTGGAGGTCGGCACCGCTTCGCTCAATCCAGGAGTGGAGAAGGAAGCTAGAGGACCCTCTGGAGGTGGCAGGTTTAATGTCCTGCTTTTTTATTTATTTATTTATTTATTTATTTATTTATTTATTTTGTAATCAACTGAAAGAAGGCAGAAGGAGTCGATGGGCCTCTTAGGCCGGAAACCTTACAAGCATAGGACCAAGGCAGAAAAGGGCCAGAGGGTTCATGGTCCTCCGTTCCACCTGAATCCAGCTAGAGAGCGAGCCAGGGGGATAGGTGTGCCCCTCGTCGCCCGTGCGCTGAGGCACTGTCACGCAAAGAGACATTCACCTTCCACGTCAACGCACCTTTAAGGGCGAGAGCGGTCCGCCGTGCCCAAGAGGAACGGGATGACATTCAACTGGGACTTGCCTCACCTTGGCTTGGGGGACCTCGAGAGCGGTCCCGTGGGGGCGGTGTTACTCGTGGTGGTAGAAGTGGAGGGCGTGTCCGGGTACTTGAGTTCATGGGCATCTCTCCCGCCGCCTCTCAGCCTATCTGCACCATGTCTCACACGTTCAGTTGCAGCTCTTACCGTTTTGAAGGCGCACGTGGGCAAGAAGTCCTGGGCAGCACAAGAAAGTCAATCACGTTGAGACAGAGAGAGCAGGAGAGGAAGTGGGCCCCAGTAGAAGTGGGCGAGAGAGCGTTGGGTGGGAACGTGGCACGAGAGAGAGAAATTATGAGATTGAGAGAGAGAGAGAGAGAGAGAGAGAGAGAGAAAGAGAAAGAGAGAGAGAAAGAGAAAGAGACAGAGAAAAGAAACTATGTTGTTTAAAATGCCAGCGGAAAGTCCATGGGGGTGAAAGAGTCCGGCAATGGCCAGGGAGTTAGCAGCTTGGCGTAGTGTCTTCCCACTGTTTTGTCTGTCTTGAGAATAGCATTCAACGCGACTGTGTTCCCGCAGCAGACGTTAGGCCGCTGCCCACGCCTTGAGTGCCGGACGAGGTCAACATAGGCTTTCCGTCACAGAATATGTTTGGGCAGGAAGATCGGAACACTTGGGGCTGGGCCATCTACCGCTCCCCCACGGCACACACGAGTCGTCAGGGAAATGCCCGCCTCTGTGTGTGTTGTACGTGCAGCCTTCTGGGCAGAGCCGTGGAGAGTTGGACGTAGGCCAGGTGTGAGGAGGAGAGGTGTGTTTGGGGTGGCCACTGGCTCCCTTCCTGCGTGACGTAGGCTGGCGTGGGCTCTTCCCCCAGCCCCTTGCCGGTGCTGCCACGTGAGAAGGGCCCGGGTGCCGGTCCCGCTATTCCGGAATTGTGGGTTCACCTGAAGTTTGAGGCCAAACCCCCAGCGGTCAGTGGGACGCCAGTCGCCTTTGACCTCTTGGTCAAGCTGGCCTTGCCGTGACCCGTGAGAATGCCCAAGTGCCAATGTGTCCCGGGGGGCAGGGCCGGGGCTGGGATCCTCGTGTGTGCCCAGTCTCCTTCTCGTCCCTGCGGGTTCCACCATCCTCCCATCCTAACGCATCGTTAGGGATGCGGTTAGGTCGGGTCCATCCCCAGGGCGGTCCAAGGGGACCGCTTTCTGGTTTGTCAGGAAGGCAGGCTAGTAAGAAGGGTCCCGCCGAGTCCCATCTGCCAAGGACAGGGTCCCGCAGGTGGGCCAGGGCTGGCCCAAAGCGGCCGAGATGCTGATCCGCCATGTGCGGGGCGCTGTTGGCGTTTTTTCCTCAGCAAAGGGCGGAGGGAGTGGACGTGGGGGAAGGGCAGGTGGGCATTTCTGGAGCAATACTGCCATCAAGAGGAACTGGCTTGGCAATCCCGCGCACCCTTCGCTGTGCTCGCCTGGGGAGGAGTGGCTTGGGACTGTCCTGGGGGACCAGGCAGGACTAGGGCAGGTGCTCGGACGGATCCGAGGTCTCTGGAGGTCCGAGAGAAGCAGGCTCCGCCGCGGGGTCGGGCGGTGGAAGCCCCAGAGAGAGGCGCCAGGACTAGCTGGACAGCCAGGACGCCGGGCCGTTCCCGGACAGGAAGCCATGGCTCGGGAGCCTGGTGGCGGCCATGATCTGGGCGGGACCAGCGGAGGCCTCCGCCAGGGAGCCTGGGCTCGGGGCCTTGGGCAGTTTGCCTGGTGCCCCTTCCCGTGGGAGCAACCGGGGTGACGGCCTAGCTGGGTCCTCGGCCCGGGAGGCTCCGTCGGCCACACTGCACGCCTGCGGCGTGAGGAGGGCCGACTGCCAGTGCTGAGTTCCGTGGCCATTGGCGCCGGTGCCCGCCGCTGCTGGCCGGCGCCGGGGCGTTCCTCCTTGCGTCCTAGGGAGGAAGGTGGGCCGCGGGGCATCCCGCGGGGCCCGTACCCAGACGGTTCTTGACGAGGTGGACGCAAGGCCAGGCCCGGCCCGGCCCGGCCCGGCCCGGCCAGGCCACCCTTAGACGCCGCGCACCCGCCTTGTTGAGACTTGCCACCCTGTCTTGTTGTGTCCATGTCCCCGAGGTTGTCTTGGAGGCGGGCCGTTCCCCGTGGTGCTCATTTCTGCCTGGGGGCCTTCCGGGGACCCCGCTTGTCTTTGGGGGTGCGCAGGCCCTTGCCCTGCGATCAGAGGCGCACCGACCGATGAGTTCGGTGGCAAAGCTTGAGAAATGGAGACTCTCTGGGCATCGGCTAAGGGGGCCCGGGGCCTTCCCAGGCCTGCTGGAGTCCGGGAAGCCGGGGGCACCCAGAAGGAAGGACCCGTCGGACTCTGCCTGGGGACAGCCTGCTCCGCGCCAGAAGGGTCCGCTGCTCAGGCAGCATCCCCGTGCCTCTCCTCCAGTGGGTCCCTCAGGTAGAATCGGGGCAGGCCCCACTGGACGTGCAGGGAGGAGGCTCGGAGGATGCATCCTTTGCAGGACCCGGTCTGGTACAGCAGCAGACGGAGCCATCTCCCGGGGCTTTCTGGCTTCTCCGAGGGTGTTCAGGAGTCTCCCAAGTGCACAGGGGCTCGTGCCCAAAGGGTGGAGGTCGGCACCGCTTCGCTCAATCCAGGAGTGGAGAAGGAAGCTAGAGGACCCTCTGGAGGTGGCAGGTTTAATGTCCTGCTTTTTTATTTATTTATTTATTTATTTATTTATTTATTTATTTATTTTGTAATCAACTGAAAGAAGGCAGAAGGAGTCGATGGGCCTCTTAGGCCGGAAACCTTACAAGCATAGGACCAAGGCAGAAAAGGGCCAGAGGGTTCATGGTCCTCCGTTCCACCTGAATCCAGCTAGAGAGCGAGCCAGGGGGATAGGTGTGCCCCTCGTCGCCCGTGCGCTGAGGCACTGTCACGCAAAGAGACATTCACCTTCCACGTCAACGCACCTTTAAGGGCGAGAGCGGTCCGCCGTGCCCAAGAGGAACGGGATGACATTCAACTGGGACTTGCCTCACCTTGGCTTGGGGGACCTCGAGAGCGGTCCCGTGGGGGCGGTGTTACTCGTGGTGGTAGAAGTGGAGGGCGTGTCCGGGTACTTGAGTTCATGGGCATCTCTCCCGCCGCCTCTCAGCCTATCTGCACCATGTCTCACACGTTCAGTTGCAGCTCTTACCGTTTTGAAGGCGCACGTGGGCAAGAAGTCCTGGGCAGCACAAGAAAGTCAATCACGTTGAGACAGAGAGAGCAGGAGAGGAAGTGGGCCCCAGTAGAAGTGGGCGAGAGAGCGTTGGGTGGGAACGTGGCACGAGAGAGAGAAATTATGAGATTGAGAGAGAGAGAGAGAGAGAGAGAGAGAGAGAGAGAAAGAGAAAGAGAGAGAGAAAGAGAAAGAGACAGAGAAAAGAAACTATGTTGTTTAAAATGCCAGCGGAAAGTCCATGGGGGTGAAAGAGTCCGGCAATGGCCAGGGAGTTAGCAGCTTGGCGTAGTGTCTTCCCACTGTTTTGTCTGTCTTGAGAATAGCATTCAACGCGACTGTGTTCCCGCAGCAGACGTTAGGCCGCTGCCCACGCCTTGAGTGCCGGACGAGGTCAACATAGGCTTTCCGTCACAGAATATGTTTGGGCAGGAAGATCGGAACACTTGGGGCTGGGCCATCTTCCGCTCCCCCACGGCACACACGAGTCGTCAGGGAAATGCCCGCCTCTGTGTGTGTTGTACGTGCAGCCTTCTGGGCAGAGCCGTGGAGAGTTGGACGTAGGCCAGGTGTGAGGAGGAGAGGTGTGTTTGGGGTGGCCACTGGCTCCCTTCCTGCGTGACGTAGGCTGGCGTGGGCTCTTCCCCCAGCCCCTTGCCGGTGCTGCCACGTGAGAAGGGCCCGGGTGCCGGTCCCGCTATTCCGGAATTGTGGGTTCACCTGAAGTTTGAGGCCAAACCCCCAGCGGTCAGTGGGACGCCAGTCGCCTTTGACCTCTTGGTCAAGCTGGCCTTGCCGTGACCCGTGAGAATGCCCAAGTGCCAATGTGTCCCGGGGGGCAGGGCCGGGGCTGGGATCCTCGTGTGTGCCCAGTCTCCTTCTCGTCCCTGCGGGTTCCACCATCCTCCCATCCTAACGCATCGTTAGGGATGCGGTTAGGTCGGGTCCATCCCCAGGGCGGTCCAAGGGGACCGCTTTCTGGTTTGTCAGGAAGGCAGGCTAGTAAGAAGGGTCCCGCCGAGTCCCATCTGCCAAGGACAGGGTCCCGCAGGTGGGCCAGGGCTGGCCCAAAGCGGCCGAGATGCTGATCCGCCATGTGCGGGGCGCTGTTGGCGTTTTTTCCTCAGCAAAGGGCGGAGGGAGTGGACGTGGGGGAAGGGCAGGTGGGCATTTCTGGAGCAATACTGCCATCAAGAGGAACTGGCTTGGCAATCCCGCGCACCCTTCGCTGTGCTCGCCTGGGGAGGAGTGGCTTGGGACTGTCCTGGGGGACCAGGCAGGACTAGGGCAGGTGCTCGGACGGATCCGAGGTCTCTGGAGGTCCGAGAGAAGCAGGCTCCGCCGCGGGGTCGGGCGGTGGAAGCCCCAGAGAGAGGCGCCAGGACTAGCTGGACAGCCAGGACGCCGGGCCGTTCCCGGACAGGAAGCCATGGCTCGGGAGCCTGGTGGCGGCCATGATCTGGGCGGGACCAGCGGAGGCCTCCGCCAGGGAGCCTGGGCTCGGGGCCTTGGGCAGTTTGCCTGGTGCCCCTTCCCGTGGGAGCAACCGGGGTGACGGCCTAGCTGGGTCCTCGGCCCGGGAGGCTCCGTCGGCCACACTGCACGCCTGCGGCGTGAGGAGGGCCGACTGCCAGTGCTGAGTTCCGTGGCCATTGGCGCCGGTGCCCGCCGCTGCTGGCCGGCGCCGGGGCGTTCCTCCTTGCGTCCTAGGGAGGAAGGTGGGCCGCGGGGCATCCCGCGGGGCCCGTACCCAGACGGTTCTTGACGAGGTGGACGCAAGGCCAGGCCCGGCCCGGCCCGGCCCGGCCCGGCCAGGCCACCCTTAGACGCCGCGCACCCGCCTTGTTGAGACTTGCCACCCTGTCTTGTTGTGTCCATGTCCCCGAGGTTGTCTTGGAGGCGGGCCGTTCCCCGTGGTGCTCATTTCTGCCTGGGGGCCTTCCGGGGACCCCGCTTGTCTTTGGGGGTGCGCAGGCCCTTGCCCTGCGATCAGAGGCGCACCGACCGATGAGTTCGGTGGCAAAGCTTGAGAAATGGAGACTCTCTGGGCATCGGCTAAGGGGGCCCGGGGCCTTCCCAGGCCTGCTGGAGTCCGGGAAGCCGGGGGCACCCAGAAGGAAGGACCCGTCGGACTCTGCCTGGGGACAGCCTGCTCCGCGCCAGAAGGGTCCGCTGCTCAGGCAGCATCCCCGTGCCTCTCCTCCAGTGGGTCCCTCAGGTAGAATCGGGGCAGGCCCCACTGGACGTGCAGGGAGGAGGCTCGGAGGATGCATCCTTTGCAGGACCCGGTCTGGTACAGCAGCAGACGGAGCCATCTCCCGGGGCTTTCTGGCTTCTCCGAGGGTGTTCAGGAGTCTCCCAAGTGCACAGGGGCTCGTGCCCAAAGGGTGGAGGTCGGCACCGCTTCGCTCAATCCAGGAGTGGAGAAGGAAGCTAGAGGACCCTCTGGAGGTGGCAGGTTTAATGTCCTGCTTTTTTATTTATTTATTTATTTATTTATTTATTTATTTTGTAATCAACTGAAAGAAGGCAGAAGGAGTCGATGGGCCTCTTAGGCCGGAAACCTTACAAGCATAGGACCAAGGCAGAAAAGGTCCAGAGGGTTCATGGTCCTCCGTTCCACCTGAATCCAGCTAGAGAGCGAGCCAGGGGGATAGGTGTGCCCCTCGTCGCCCGTGCGCTGAGGCACTGTCACGCAAAGAGACATTCACCTTCCACGTCAACGCACCTTTAAGGGCGAGAGCGGTCCGCCGTGCCCAAGAGGAACGGGATGACATTCAACTGGGACTTGCCTCACCTTGGCTTGGGGGACCTCGAGAGCGGTCCCGTGGGGGCGGTGTTACTCGTGGTGGTAGAAGTGGAGGGCGTGTCCGGGTACTTGAGTTCATGGGCATCTCTCCCGCCGCCTCTCAGCCTATCTGCACCATGTCTCACACGTTCAGTTGCAGCTCTTACCGTTTTGAAGGCGCACGTGGGCAAGAAGTCCTGGGCAGCACAAGAAAGTCAATCACGTTGAGACAGAGAGAGCAGGAGAGGAAGTGGGCCCCAGTAGAAGTGGGCGAGAGAGCGTTGGGTGGGAACGTGGCACGAGAGAGAGAAATTATGAGATTGAGAGAGAGAGAGAGAGAGAGAGAGAAAGAGAAAGAGAGAGAGAAAGAGAAAGAGATAGAGAAAAGAAACTATGTTGTTTAAAATGCCAGCGGAAAGTCCATGGGGGTGAAAGAGTCCGGCAATGGCCAGGGAGTTAGCAGCTTGGCGTAGTGTCTTCCCACTGTTTTGTCTGTCTTGAGAATAGCATTCAACGCGACTGTGTTCCCGCAGCAGACGTTAGGCCGCTGCCCACGCCTTGAGTGCCGGACGAGGTCAACATAGGCTTTCCGTCACAGAATATGTTTGGGCAGGAAGATCGGAACACTTGGGGCTGGGCCATCTACCGCTCCCCCACGGCACACACGAGTCGTCAGGGAAATGCCCGCCTCTGTGTGTGTTGTACGTGCAGCCTTCTGGGCAGAGCCGTGGAGAGTTGGACGTAGGCCAGGTGTGAGGAGGAGAGGTGTGTTTGGGGTGGCCACTGGCTCCCTTCCTGCGTGACGTAGGCTGGCGTGGGCTCTTCCCCCAGCCCCTTGCCGGTGCTGCCACGTGAGAAGGGCCCGGGTGCCGGTCCCGCTATTCCGGAATTGTGGGTTCACCTGAAGTTTGAGGCCAAACCCCCAGCGGTCAGTGGGACGCCAGTCGCCTTTGACCTCTTGGTCAAGCTGGCCTTGCCGTGACCCGTGAGAATGCCCAAGTGCCAATGTGTCCCGGGGGGCAGGGCCGGGGCTGGGATCCTCGTGTGTGCCCAGTCTCCTTCTCGTCCCTGCGGGTTCCACCATCCTCCCATCCTAACGCATCGTTAGGGATGCGGTTAGGTCGGGTCCATCCCCAGGGCGGTCCAAGGGGACCGCTTTCTGGTTTGTCAGGAAGGCAGGCTAGTAAGAAGGGTCCCGCCGAGTCCCATCTGCCAAGGACAGGGTCCCGCAGGTGGGCCAGGGCTGGCCCAAAGCGGCCGAGATGCTGATCCGCCATGTGCGGGGCGCTGTTGGCGTTTTTTCCTCAGCAAAGGGCGGAGGGAGTGGACGTGGGGGAAGGGCAGGTGGGCATTTCTGGAGCAATACTGCCATCAAGAGGAACTGGCTTGGCAATCCCGCGCACCCTTCGCTGTGCTCGCCTGGGGAGGAGTGGCTTGGGACTGTCCTGGGGGACCAGGCAGGACTAGGGCAGGTGCTCGGACGGATCCGAGGTCTCTGGAGGTCCGAGAGAAGCAGGCTCCGCCGCGGGGTCGGGCGGTGGAAGCCCCAGAGAGAGGCGCCAGGACTAGCTGGACAGCCAGGACGCCGGGCCGTTCCCGGACAGGAAGCCATGGCTCGGGAGCCTGGTGGCGGCCATGATCTGGGCGGGACCAGCGGAGGCCTCCGCCAGGGAGCCTGGGCTCGGGGCCTTGGGCAGTTTGCCTGGTGCCCCTTCCCGTGGGAGCAACCGGGGTGACGGCCTAGCTGGGTCCTCGGCCCGGGAGGCTCCGTCGGCCACACTGCACGCCTGCGGCGTGAGGAGGGCCGACTGCCAGTGCTGAGTTCCGTGGCCATTGGCGCCGGTGCCCGCCGCTGCTGGCCGGCGCCGGGGCGTTCCTCCTTGCGTCCTAGGGAGGAAGGTGGGCCGCGGGGCATCCCGCGGGGCCCGTACCCAGACGGTTCTTGACGAGGTGGACGCAAGGCCAGGCCCGGCCCGGCCCGGCCCGGCCCGGCCAGGCCACCCTTAGACGCCGCGCACCCGCCTTGTTGAGACTTGCCACCCTGTCTTGTTGTGTCCATGTCCCCGAGGTTGTCTTGGAGGCGGGCCGTTCCCCGTGGTGCTCATTTCTGCCTGGGGGCCTTCCGGGGACCCCGCTTGTCTTTGGGGGTGCGCAGGCCCTTGCCCTGCGATCAGAGGCGCACCGACCGATGAGTTCGGTGGCAAAGCTTGAGAAATGGAGACTCTCTGGGCATCGGCTAAGGGGGCCCGGGGCCTTCCCAGGCCTGCTGGAGTCCGGGAAGCCGGGGGCACCCAGAAGGAAGGACCCGTCGGACTCTGCCTGGGGACAGCCTGCTCCGCGCCAGAAGGGTCCGCTGCTCAGGCAGCATCCCCGTGCCTCTCCTCCAGTGGGTCCCTCAGGTAGAATCGGGGCAGGCCCCACTGGACGTGCAGGGAGGAGGCTCGGAGGATGCATCCTTTGCAGGACCCGGTCTGGTACAGCAGCAGACGGAGCCATCTCCCGGGGCTTTCTGGCTTCTCCGAGGGTGTTCAGGAGTCTCCCAAGTGCACAGGGGCTCGTGCCCAAAGGGTGGAGGTCGGCACCGCTTCGCTCAATCCAGGAGTGGAGAAGGAAGCTAGAGGACCCTCTGGAGGTGGCAGGTTTAATGTCCTGCTTTTTTATTTATTTATTTATTTATTTATTTATTTATTTTGTAATCAACTGAAAGAAGGCAGAAGGAGTCGATGGGCCTCTTAGGCCGGAAACCTTACAAGCATAGGACCAAGGCAGAAAAGGTCCAGAGGGTTCATGGTCCTCCGTTCCACCTGAATCCAGCTAGAGAGCGAGCCAGGGGGATAGGTGTGCCCCTCGTCGCCCGTGCGCTGAGGCACTGTCACGCAAAGAGACATTCACCTTCCACGTCAACGCACCTTTAAGGGCGAGAGCGGTCCGCCGTGCCCAAGAGGAACGGGATGACATTCAACTGGGACTTGCCTCACCTTGGCTTGGGGGACCTCGAGAGCGGTCCCGTGGGGGCGGTGTTACTCGTGGTGGTAGAAGTGGAGGGCGTGTCCGGGTACTTGAGTTCATGGGCATCTCTCCCGCCGCCTCTCAGCCTATCTGCACCATGTCTCACACGTTCAGTTGCAGCTCTTACCGTTTTGAAGGCGCACGTGGGCAAGAAGTCCTGGGCAGCACAAGAAAGTCAATCACGTTGAGACAGAGAGAGCAGGAGAGGAAGTGGGCCCCAGTAGAAGTGGGCGAGAGAGCGTTGGGTGGGAACGTGGCACGAGAGAGAGAAATTATGAGATTGAGAGAGAGAGAGAGAGAGAGAGAGAGAGAGAAAGAGAAAGAGAGAGAGAAAGAGAAAGAGAGAGAGAAAGAGAAAGAGACAGAGAAAAGAAACTATGTTGTTTAAAATGCCAGCGGAAAGTCCATGGGGGTGAAAGAGTCCGGCAATGGCCAGGGAGTTAGCAGCTTGGCGTAGTGTCTTCCCACTGTTTTGTCTGTCTTGAGAATAGCATTCAACGCGACTGTGTTCCCGCAGCAGACGTTAGGCCGCTGCCCACGCCTTGAGTGCCGGACGAGGTCAACATAGGCTTTCCGTCACAGAATATGTTTGGGCAGGAAGATCGGAACACTTGGGGCTGGGCCATCTACCGCTCCCCCACGGCACACACGAGTCGTCAGGGAAATGCCCGCCTCTGTGTGTGTTGTACGTGCAGCCTTCTGGGCAGAGCCGTGGAGAGTTGGACGTAGGCCAGGTGTGAGGAGGAGAGGTGTGTTTGGGGTGGCCACTGGCTCCCTTCCTGCGTGACGTAGGCTGGCGTGGGCTCTTCCCCCAGCCCCTTGCCGGTGCTGCCACGTGAGAAGGGCCCGGGTGCCGGTCCCGCTATTCCGGAATTGTGGGTTCACCTGAAGTTTGAGGCCAAACCCCCAGCGGTCAGTGGGACGCCAGTCGCCTTTGACCTCTTGGTCAAGCTGGCCTTGCCGTGACCCGTGAGAATGCCCAAGTGCCAATGTGTCCCGGGGGGCAGGGCCGGGGCTGGGATCCTCGTGTGTGCCCAGTCTCCTTCTCGTCCCTGCGGGTTCCACCATCCTCCCATCCTAACGCATCGTTAGGGATGCGGTTAGGTCGGGTCCATCCCCAGGGCGGTCCAAGGGGACCGCTTTCTGGTTTGTCAGGAAGGCAGGCTAGTAAGAAGGGTCCCGCCGAGTCCCATCTGCCAAGGACAGGGTCCCGCAGGTGGGCCAGGGCTGGCCCAAAGCGGCCGAGATGCTGATCCGCCATGTGCGGGGCGCTGTTGGCGTTTTTTCCTCAGCAAAGGGCGGAGGGAGTGGACGTGGGGGAAGGGCAGGTGGGCATTTCTGGAGCAATACTGCCATCAAGAGGAACTGGCTTGGCAATCCCGCGCACCCTTCGCTGTGCTCGCCTGGGGAGGAGTGGCTTGGGACTGTCCTGGGGGACCAGGCAGGACTAGGGCAGGTGCTCGGACGGATCCGAGGTCTCTGGAGGTCCGAGAGAAGCAGGCTCCGCCGCGGGGTCGGGCGGTGGAAGCCCCAGAGAGAGGCGCCAGGACTAGCTGGACAGCCAGGACGCCGGGCCGTTCCCGGACAGGAAGCCATGGCTCGGGAGCCTGGTGGCGGCCATGATCTGGGCGGGACCAGCGGAGGCCTCCGCCAGGGAGCCTGGGCTCGGGGCCTTGGGCAGTTTGCCTGGTGCCCCTTCCCGTGGGAGCAACCGGGGTGACGGCCTAGCTGGGTCCTCGGCCCGGGAGGCTCCGTCGGCCACACTGCACGCCTGCGGCGTGAGGAGGGCCGACTGCCAGTGCTGAGTTCCGTGGCCATTGGCGCCGGTGCCCGCCGCTGCTGGCCGGCGCCGGGGCGTTCCTCCTTGCGTCCTAGGGAGGAAGGTGGGCCGCGGGGCATCCCGCGGGGCCCGTACCCAGACGGTTCTTGACGAGGTGGACGCAAGGCCAGGCCCGGCCCGGCCCGGCCCGGCCCGGCCAGGCCACCCTTAGACGCCGCGCACCCGCCTTGTTGAGACTTGCCACCCTGTCTTGTTGTGTCCATGTCCCCGAGGTTGTCTTGGAGGCGGGCCGTTCCCCGTGGTGCTCATTTCTGCCTGGGGGCCTTCCGGGGACCCCGCTTGTCTTTGGGGGTGCGCAGGCCCTTGCCCTGCGATCAGAGGCGCACCGACCGATGAGTTCGGTGGCAAAGCTTGAGAAATGGAGACTCTCTGGGCATCGGCTAAGGGGGCCCGGGGCCTTCCCAGGCCTGCTGGAGTCCGGGAAGCCGGGGGCACCCAGAAGGAAGGACCCGTCGGACTCTGCCTGGGGACAGCCTGCTCCGCGCCAGAAGGGTCCGCTGCTCAGGCAGCATCCCCGTGCCTCTCCTCCAGTGGGTCCCTCAGGTAGAATCGGGGCAGGCCCCACTGGACGTGCAGGGAGGAGGCTCGGAGGATGCATCCTTTGCAGGACCCGGTCTGGTACAGCAGCAGACGGAGCCATCTCCCGGGGCTTTCTGGCTTCTCCGAGGGTGTTCAGGAGTCTCCCAAGTGCACAGGGGCTCGTGCCCAAAGGGTGGAGGTCGGCACCGCTTCGCTCAATCCAGGAGTGGAGAAGGAAGCTAGAGGACCCTCTGGAGGTGGCAGGTTTAATGTCCTGCTTTTTTATTTATTTATTTATTTATTTATTTATTTATTTATTTATTTATTTATTTTGTAATCAACTGAAAGAAGGCAGAAGGAGTCGATGGGCCTCTTAGGCCGGAAACCTTACAAGCATAGGACCAAGGCAGAAAAGGTCCAGAGGGTTCATGGTCCTCCGTTCCACCTGAATCCAGCTAGAGAGCGAGCCAGGGGGATAGGTGTGCCCCTCGTCGCCCGTGCGCTGAGGCACTGTCACGCAAAGAGACATTCACCTTCCACGTCAACGCACCTTTAAGGGCGAGAGCGGTCCGCCGTGCCCAAGAGGAACGGGATGACATTCAACTGGGACTTGCCTCACCTTGGCTTGGGGGACCTCGAGAGCGGTCCCGTGGGGGCGGTGTTACTCGTGGTGGTAGAAGTGGAGGGCGTGTCCGGGTACTTGAGTTCATGGGCATCTCTCCCGCCGCCTCTCAGCCTATCTGCACCATGTCTCACACGTTCAGTTGCAGCTCTTACCGTTTTGAAGGCGCACGTGGGCAAGAAGTCCTGGGCAGCACAAGAAAGTCAATCACGTTGAGACAGAGAGAGCAGGAGAGGAAGTGGGCCCCAGTAGAAGTGGGCGAGAGAGCGTTGGGTGGGAACGTGGCACGAGAGAGAGAAATTATGAGATTGAGAGAGAGAGAGAGAGAGAGAGAGAGAGAGAAAGAGAAAGAGAGAGAGAAAGAGAAAGAGAGAGAGAAAGAGAAAGAGACAGAGAAAAGAAACTATGTTGTTTAAAATGCCAGCGGAAAGTCCATGGGGGTGAAAGAGTCCGGCAATGGCCAGGGAGTTAGCAGCTTGGCGTAGTGTCTTCCCACTGTTTTGTCTGTCTTGAGAATAGCATTCAACGCGACTGTGTTCCCGCAGCAGACGTTAGGCCGCTGCCCACGCCTTGAGTGCCGGACGAGGTCAACATAGGCTTTCCGTCACAGAATATGTTTGGGCAGGAAGATCGGAACACTTGGGGCTGGGCCATCTACCGCTCCCCCACGGCACACACGAGTCGTCAGGGAAATGCCCGCCTCTGTGTGTGTTGTACGTGCAGCCTTCTGGGCAGAGCCGTGGAGAGTTGGACGTAGGCCAGGTGTGAGGAGGAGAGGTGTGTTTGGGGTGGCCACTGGCTCCCTTCCTGCGTGACGTAGGCTGGCGTGGGCTCTTCCCCCAGCCCCTTGCCGGTGCTGCCACGTGAGAAGGGCCCGGGTGCCGGTCCCGCTATTCCGGAATTGTGGGTTCACCTGAAGTTTGAGGCCAAACCCCCAGCGGTCAGTGGGACGCCAGTCGCCTTTGACCTCTTGGTCAAGCTGGCCTTGCCGTGACCCGTGAGAATGCCCAAGTGCCAATGTGTCCCGGGGGGCAGGGCTGGGGCTGGGATCCTCGTGTGTGCCCAGTCTCCTTCTCGTCCCTGCGGGTTCCACCATCCTCCCATCCTAACGCATCGTTAGGGATGCGGTTAGGTCGGGTCCATCCCCAGGGCGGTCCAAGGGGACCGCTTTCTGGTTTGTCAGGAAGGCAGGCTAGTAAGAAGGGTCCCGCCGAGTCCCATCTGCCAAGGACAGGGTCCCGCAGGTGGGCCAGGGCTGGCCCAAAGCGGCCGAGATGCTGATCCGCCATGTGCGGGGCGCTGTTGGCGTTTTTTCCTCAGCAAAGGGCGGAGGGAGTGGACGTGGGGGAAGGGCAGGTGGGCATTTCTGGAGCAATACTGCCATCAAGAGGAACTGGCTTGGCAATCCCGCGCACCCTTCGCTGTGCTCGCCTGGGGAGGAGTGGCTTGGGACTGTCCTGGGGGACCAGGCAGGACTAGGGCAGGTGCTCGGACGGATCCGAGGTCTCTGGAGGTCCGAGAGAAGCAGGCTCCGCCGCGGGGTCGGGCGGTGGAAGCCCCAGAGAGAGGCGCCAGGACTAGCTGGACAGCCAGGACGCCGGGCCGTTCCCGGACAGGAAGCCATGGCTCGGGAGCCTGGTGGCGGCCATGATCTGGGCGGGACCAGCGGAGGCCTCCGCCAGGGAGCCTGGGCTCGGGGCCTTGGGCAGTTTGCCTGGTGCCCCTTCCCGTGGGAGCAACCGGGGTGACGGCCTAGCTGGGTCCTCGGCCCGGGAGGCTCCGTCGGCCACACTGCACGCCTGCGGCGTGAGGAGGGCCGACTGCCAGTGCTGAGTTCCGTGGCCATTGGCGCCGGTGCCCGCCGCTGCTGGCCGGCGCCGGGGCGTTCCTCCTTGCGTCCTAGGGAGGAAGGTGGGCCGCGGGGCATCCCGCGGGGCCCGTACCCAGACGGTTCTTGACGAGGTGGACGCAAGGCCAGGCCCGGCCCGGCCCGGCCCGGCCCGGCCAGGCCACCCTTAGACGCCGCGCACCCGCCTTGTTGAGACTTGCCACCCTGTCTTGTTGTGTCCATGTCCCCGAGGTTGTCTTGGAGGCGGGCCGTTCCCCGTGGTGCTCATTTCTGCCTGGGGGCCTTCCGGGGACCCCGCTTGTCTTTGGGGGTGCGCAGGCCCTTGCCCTGCGATCAGAGGCGCACCGACCGATGAGTTCGGTGGCAAAGCTTGAGAAATGGAGACTCTCTGGGCATCGGCTAAGGGGGCCTGGGGCCTTCCCAGGCCTGCTGGAGTCCGGGAAGCCGGGGGCACCCAGAAGGAAGGACCCGTCGGACTCTGCCTGGGGACAGCCTGCTCCGCGCCAGAAGGGTCCGCTGCTCAGGCAGCATCCCCGTGCCTCTCCTCCAGTGGCTCCCTCAGGTAGAATCGGGGCAGGCCCCACTGGACGTGCAGGGAGGAGGCTCGGAGGATGCATCCTTTGCAGGACCCGGTCTGGTACAGCAGCAGACGGAGCCATCTCCCGGGGCTTTCTGGCTTCTCCGAGGGTGTTCAGGAGTCTCCCAAGTGCGCAGGGGCTCGTGCCCAAAGGGTGGAGGTCGGCACCGCTTCGCTCAATTCAGGAGTGGAGAAGGAAGCTAGAGGACCCTCTGGAGGTGGCAGGTTTAATGTCCTGCTTTTTTATTTATTTATTTATTTATTTATTTATTTATTTATTTATTTATTTTGTAATCAACTGAAAGAAGGCAGAAGGAGTCGATGGGCCTCTTAGGCCGGAAACCTTACAAGCATAGGACCAAGGCAGAAAAGGTCCAGAGGGTTCATGGTCCTCCGTTCCACCTGAATCCAGCTAGAGAGCGAGCCAGGGGGATAGGTGTGCCCCTCGTCGCCCGTGCGCTGAGGCACTGTCACGCAAAGAGACATTCACCTTCCACGTCAACGCACCTTTAAGGGCGAGAGCGGTCCGCCGTGCCCAAGAGGAACGGGATGACATTCAACTGGGACTTGCCTCACCTTGGCTTGGGGGACCTCGAGAGCGGTCCCGTGGGGGCGGTGTTACTCGTGGTGGTAGAAGTGGAGGGCGTGTCCGGGTACTTGAGTTCATGGGCATCTCTCCCGCCGCCTCTCAGCCTATCTGCACCATGTCTCACACGTTCAGTTGCAGCTCTTACCGTTTTGAAGGCGCACGTGGGCAAGAAGTCCTGGGCAGCACAAGAAAGTCAATCACGTTGAGACAGAGAGAGCAGGAGAGGAAGTGGGCCCCAGTAGAAGTGGGCGAGAGAGCGTTGGGTGGGAACGTGGCACGAGAGAGAGAAATTATGAGATTGAGAGAGAGAGAGAGAGAGAGAGAGAGAAAGAGAAAGAGAGAGAGAAAGAGAAAGAGAAAGAGACAGAGAAAAGAAACTATGTTGTTTAAAATGCCAGCGGAAAGTCCATGGGGGTGAAAGAGTCCGGCAATGGCCAGGGAGTTAGCAGCTTGGCGTAGTGTCTTCCCACTGTTTTGTCTGTCTTGAGAATAGCATTCAACGCGACTGTGTTCCCGCAGCAGACGTTAGGCCGCTGCCCACGCCTTGAGTGCCGGACGAGGTCAACATAGGCTTTCCGTCACAGAATATGTTTGGGCAGGAAGATCGGAACACTTGGGGCTGGGCCATCTACCGCTCCCCCACGGCACACACGAGTCGTCAGGGAAATGCCCGCCTCTGTGTGTGTTGTACGTGCAGCCTTCTGGGCAGAGCCGTGGAGAGTTGGACGTAGGCCAGGTGTGAGGAGGAGAGGTGTGTTTGGGGTGGCCACTGGCTCCCTTCCTGCGTGACGTAGGCTGGCGTGGGCTCTTCCCCCAGCCCCTTGCCGGTGCTGCCACGTGAGAAGGGCCCGGGTGCCGGTCCCGCTATTCCGGAATTGTGGGTTCACCTGAAGTTTGAGGCCAAACCCCCAGCGGTCAGTGGGACGCCAGTCGCCTTTGACCTCTTGGTCAAGCTGGCCTTGCCGTGACCCGTGAGAATGCCCAAGTGCCAATGTGTCCCGGGGGGCAGGGCCGGGGCTGGGATCCTAGTGTGTGCCCAGTCTCCTTCTCGTCCCTGCGGGTTCCACCATCCTCCCATCCTAACGCATCGTTAGGGATGCGGTTAGGTCGGGTCCATCCCCAGGGCGGTCCAAGGGGACCGCTTTCTGGTTTGTCAGGAAGGCAGGCTAGTAAGAAGGGTCCCGCCGAGTCCCATCTGCCAAGGACAGGGTCCCGCAGGTGGGCCAGGGCTGGCCCAAAGCGGCCGAGATGCTGATCCGCCATGTGCGGGGCGCTGTTGGCGTTTTTTCCTCAGCAAAGGGCGGAGGGAGTGGACGTGGGGGAAGGGCAGGTGGGCATTTCTGGAGCAATACTGCCATCAAGAGGAACTGGCTTGGCAATCCCGCGCACCCTTCGCTGTGCTCGCCTGGGGAGGAGTGGCTTGGGACTGTCCTGGGGGACCAGAAGGGTCCGCTGCTCAGGCAGCATCCCCGTGCCTCTCCTCCAGTGGGTCCCTCAGGTAGAATCGGGGCAGGCCCCACTGGACGTGCAGGGAGGAGGCTCGGAGGATGCATCCTTTGCAGGACCCGGTCTGGTACAGCAGCAGACGGAGCCATCTCCCGGGGCTTTCTGGCTTCTCCGAGGGTGTTCAGGAGTCTCCCAAGTGCGCAGGGGCTCGTGCCCAAAGGGTGGAGGTCGGCACCGCTTCGCTCAATTCAGGAGTGGAGAAGGAAGCTAGAGGACCCTCTGGAGGTGGCAGGTTTAATGTCCTGCTTTTTTATTTATTTATTTATTTATTTATTTATTTATTTTGTAATCAACTGAAAGAAGGCAGAAGGAGTCGATGGGCCTCTTAGGCCGGAAACCTTACAAGCATAGGACCAAGGCAGAAAAGGTCCAGAGGGTTCATGGTCCTCCGTTCCACCTGAATCCAGCTAGAGAGCGAGCCAGGGGGATAGGTGTGCCCCTCGTCGCCCGTGCGCTGAGGCACTGTCACGCAAAGAGACATTCACCTTCCACGTCAACGCACCTTTAAGGGCGAGAGCGGTCCGCCGTGCCCAAGAGGAACGGGATGACATTCAACTGGGACTTGCCTCACCTTGGCTTGGGGGACCTCGAGAGCGGTCCCGTGGGGGCGGTGTTACTCGTGGTGGTAGAAGTGGAGGGCGTGTCCGGGTACTTGAGTTCATGGGCATCTCTCCCGCCGCCTCTCAGCCTATCTGCACCATGTCTCACACGTTCAGTTGCAGCTCTTACCGTTTTGAAGGCGCACGTGGGCAAGAAGTCCTGGGCAGCACAAGAAAGTCAATCACGTTGAGACAGAGAGAGCGGGAGAGGAAGTGGGCCCCAGTAGAAGTGGGCGAGAGAGCGTTGGGTGGGAACGTGGCACGAGAGAGAGAAATTATGAGATTGACAGAGAGAGAGAGAGAGAGAGAGAAAGAGAAAGAGAGAGAGAAAGAGAAAGAGACAGAGAAAAGAAACTATGTTGTTTAAAATGCCAGCGGAAAGTCCATGGGGGTGAAAGAGTCCGGCAATGGCCAGGGAGTTAGCAGCTTGGCGTAGTGTCTTCCCACTGTTTTGTCTGTCTTGAGAATAGCATTCAACGCGACTGTGTTCCCGCAGCAGACGTTAGGCCGCTGCCCACGCCTTGAGTGCCGGACGAGGTCAACATAGGCTTTCCGTCACAGAATATGTTTGGGCAGGAAGATCGGAACACTTGGGGCTGGGCCATCTACCGCTCCCCCACGGCACACACGAGTCGTCAGGGAAATGCCCGCCTCTGTGTGTGTTGTACGTGCAGCCTTCTGGGCAGAGCCGTGGAGAGTTGGACGTAGGCCAGGTGTGAGGAGGAGAGGTGTGTTTGGGGTGGCCACTGGCTCCCTTCCTGCGTGACGTAGGCTGGCGTGGGCTCTTCCCCCAGCCCCTTGCCGGTGCTGCCACGTGAGAAGGGCCCGGGTGCCGGTCCCGCTATTCCGGAATTGTGGGTTCACCTGAAGTTTGAGGCCAAACCCCCAGCGGTCAGTGGGACGCCAGTCGCCTTTGACCTCTTGGTCAAGCTGGCCTTGCCGTGACCCGTGAGAATGCCCAAGTGCCAATGTGTCCCGGGGGGCAGGGCCGGGGCTGGGATCCTAGTGTGTGCCCAGTCTCCTTCTCGTCCCTGCGGGTTCCACCATCCTCCCATCCTAACGCATCGTTAGGGATGCGGTTAGGTCGGGTCCATCCCCAGGGCGGTCCAAGGGGACCGCTTTCTGGTTTGTCAGGAAGGCAGGCTAGTAAGAAGGGTCCCGCCGAGTCCCATCTGCCAAGGACAGGGTCCCGCAGGTGGGCCAGGGCTGGCCCAAAGCGGCCGAGATGCTGATCCGCCATGTGCGGGGCGCTGTTGGCGTTTTTTCCTCAGCAAAGGGCGGAGGGAGTGGACGTGGGGGAAGGGCAGGTGGGCATTTCTGGAGCAATACTGTCATCAAGAGGAACTGGCTTGGCAATCCCGCGCACCCTTCGCTGTGCTCGCCTGGGGAGGAGTGGCTTGGGACTGTCCTGGGGGACCAGGCAGGACTAGGGCAGGTGCTCGGGACGGATCCGAGGTCTCTGGAGGTCCGAGAGAAGCAGGCTCCGCCGCGGGGTCGGGCGGTGGAAGCCCCAGAGAGAGGCGCCAGGACTAGCTGGACAGCCAGGACGCCGGGCCGTTCCCGGACAGGAAGCCACGGCTCGGGAGCCTGGTGGCGGCCATGATCTGGGCGGGACCAGCGGAGGCCTCCGCCAGGGAGCCTGGGCTCGGGGCCTTGGGCAGTTTGCCTGGTGCCCCTTCCCGTGGGAGCAACCGGGGTGACGGCCTAGCTGGGTCCTCGGCCCGGGAGGCTCCGTCGGCCACACTGCACGCCTGCGGTGTGAGGAGGGCCGACTGCCAGTGCTGAGTTCCGTGGCCATTGGCGTTGGTGCCCGCCGCTGCTGGCCGGCGCCGGGGCGTTCCTCCTTGCGTCCTAGGGAGGAAGGTGGGCCGCGGGGCATCCCGCGGGGCCCGTACCCAGACGGTTCTTGACGAGGTGGACGCAAGGCCAGGCCCGGCCCGGCCCGGCCCGGCCACCCTCAGACGCCGCGCACCCGCCTTGTTGAGACTTGCCACCCTGTCTTGTTGTGTCCATGTCCCCGAGGTTGTCTTGGAGGCGGGCCGTTCCCCGTGGTGCTCATTTCTGCCTGGGGGCCTTCCGGGGACCCCGCTTGTCTTTGGGGGTGCGCAGGCCCTTGCCCTGCGATCAGAGGCGCACCGACCGATGAGTTCGGTGGCAAAGCTTGAGAAATGGAGACTCTCTGGGCATCGGCTAAGGGGGCCCGGGGCCTTCCCAGGCCTGCTGGAGTCCGGGAAGCCGGGGGCACCCAGAAGGAAGGACCCGTCGGACTCTGCCTGGGGACAGCCTGCTCCGCGCCAGAAGGGTCCGCTGCTCAGGCAGCATCCCCGTGCCTCTCCTCCAGTGGGTCCCTCAGGTAGAATCGGGGCAGGCCCCACTGGACGTTCAGGGAGGAGGCTCGGAGGATGCATCCTTTGCAGGACCCGGTCTGGTACAGCAGCAGACGGAGCCATCTCCCGGGGCTTTCTGGCTTCTCCGAGGGTGTTCAGGAGTCTCCCAAGTGCACAGGGGCTCGTGCCCAAAGGGTGGAGGTCGGCACCGCTTCGCTCAATTCAGGAGTGGAGAAGGATCCTAGAGGACCCTCTGGAGGTGGCAGGTGGAATGTCCTGCTTTTTTTTTCTTTTTAAATGTACTGAAGCAAGGCAGAAGGATTCGGTGGGCCTCTTAGGCCTGAGACGTTAAAAGCACAGGACCAAAGCAGAAAAGGTCCAGAGGGTTCATGGTTCTCTATTCCACCTGAATACAGCTAGATATTGAGCCAGGTGGATACGTGTGCCCCTCCTCTCCCGTGTGCAGAGACACTGCCATGCAAAGAGACATTCACCTTCCACTTCAATGCACATTTAAGCGTGACCGCGGTCCGCTGTGACGAAGAGGTACGGGATGACATTCAGCTGAGTGTTGCCTGATCTTGGCTTGGGGCATCTCGGAAGTTGGCTTCTGGGTGGTGTTGGTGGTCGTCGTAGAAGCGGAGGGTGTGATCGGATTCTTGCGTAGTTCTCTTGCTGCCTCTCAGCTCATCTGCTCTATGTCTCACGCGTTCAGTTGCCTCTGGTACCTGCCTACGTCGGCAGGAATTCCTGGATAGTCTAGGAAACCCTATGACGTTGAGACAGAATAAGACAGGAATCGCGCAAAGTAGAAGTGGGCGAGAGAGTGTTGGGTCCGAATGTGGCAAGAGAGGGAGCGATAGAGTGTGAGAGGGAGCAGAAACCATGTGGTTGATATCCCAAAGAAAGTCGTGCGGGCTAAGGAGTCTGTAAATGGCGAGGAATATCCTTTTTGATATGACTTGTATGCCTAATCGATCCCCTGGGAGTTTGAACATCTCCTTCGGCAAGTGGACAGGGATACAAAACGGCATCATCCTTCATCACTATAAATTTAAAAATAAGAAATTCCCTAGCTATGTTGATTGGATCATAGTGTCCAATATGGCGAAGAAGATTATGTCGGGTGCTAGGCCCAGGCAGTTACTGCAGCAGAGAGTGTGGTGGTAAAAAAAATAACAAGCAAGGCGTGCTTCACAGCCACTTCATTCTACCTAACGAAACTTGAGACAAATGGAGGAGAGCAAAGGCATAATTATCCCAGTCTTTTCTCCTGATGTGACCCCTGCTAATTCCTGCTATCCCTCAATCAGGTATCATTCCCTTTCCTAAGCCTTTAAGGTAGGTCAGACTGCTGAACTGGGCTTGGCCTGGATCTATGAGTACAGGAAAGTGTCAATAATTCCAGGATAAGAGTAAAATCCAGGTACTTGGCCCATCTCAAGCTATGAGTCTGTGTCTTCGTGAAAGAAACAATTCTACTTAAGATAACCCATATAAACCCAAAAGTGTGCTCAGGAATAGATCAATACAGCTATTCGTTTTGATGAATTATTTCATAGACATTTATATTTCCCACTGAGAGCATGACAGAAAGGGATACCAGTTCACCCCGAGAACCCAAGCAGAGTAAATCCCACTTCAAGGTCTTGGACTGGTTTTGGGACTCCCTTTGGATTAGGACAAAAGGCAAGGGGAAAGGTCTGGCAGGCCAGAGTGGTTGGCATTACTGGAGCAAAAGGGCCATCAAGCAGAAGCTTTTTGAGTATGGCTTCTGGCCCCTCTCTGTATATTCATACTTCTGTTAGGTAACAGGGTAGGTATGTTAGGTAACAGGGTAGGTATGGAACACTCAGAGAATTCTGGAGGTGGACATGGGCACCTGAGTGGGTGCCTTCAGAGTTGGTGTGAAAGCGAGGGAACCAGGCTCATCCACCAAGGAGCCCTGGGCTGCAAGGCCTGTCAGGTCCCAGAGGTGGTGGAGGTCAGGCCTTGTTGGCCGCCATGTTTGGAAACTGGGAGCTGAAGCTACTGCAGGGCATTGAGACTATGGATCTTTGCTCTTAGTGCAGAAACAAGGTTAGGGGAAGAGAGGGATCCTTGCCCTGGAGGTCTTGGGGCTATGTAAAACCTGAGAACTAATGTCTCATCTGGAGGACCCAGGCCTAGCCAAATAACGGGGCGGTGGTAGTGGCCACATTATCAGGCGTTATCTCTTGTAAAGAGGAGAGAGAATTTCCTGATTATTGGGTACTGCACTGAGACAAGAAATGGTAACCCAGGTGCATTGCATTTCAAGTATTGTCTGGTTTCCTCTTGCTCCCCTCAAAGAAAGGCTGGGTCAAGGGTGCCACAGGATGCCATTCTGTCAGTCTTCTCCCTAGGGCACAGGGTACCCACTGGTTGTTGATGTTGTGTAGGACATCATCCTGAAGAGTCGAGAGACCTAGGACTACATTGAGAGTTTACTTCAGTTTGGGAAAATTCCAGGGTTGCCCTGTTCCCTGATCTCTAGGGGCATGACCTGGTTTGTCTCTTGGGGACATTTGGATTCACACTCATGGTGTTGTATGTTCTGTGGGTTCAGCTGTCCTATGGTGATGGCCCACGCCAAAGGAGCACACTCAAACTACTAATCTCACAGCCTTGGGCTAGGGACTGATCAGATCTTCTAGGTCTGGATGCTGCCTTGGAGCTTGGCAAATATAAAATCGGTTGGATCCAAGAGTTTTTGCCCAAATATTACAACAATCTAACCTGTAGGGAAACTCACACGTGAAAAACACAGGGTAGGAAGCAGCAGTTTTCATCTAGTAGGTGTAAGAAAAATAAAAAAGGAATGAAGGTCTGGGCTTTGAGATGTCCTCCTTGGTCTTTGGGAAAGTGCAGACCAGGGAACACAAACCAAGGAAGGCAGAAGCTGGCAAATGACATGACCCATCCTACAGGTTTTCCAGAAATCACCCCTAGGGAGAGGCAGAGACAACAGAAAAGAGCTATGTGTCAGTGAGCATGCGCCTGGTTCTTGGCAAGGCACACTTGCTTAATGGGAGGGTGAATGAGATAATTAATATATAAAAAATGTGGATAGGGCTGGGTGCACAGGGAGGGGCACAGTGGGGAAGATGAGGAATGACTAAATGAAACACTGGTCAATTTGGCAGGGACTCCTGACTCTGAGTCGCAGCTCCCTGAGTACAGGTGGAGAAGGAAGCAAAGTCCATTCCTGTGTATTGCTGTATGAGCAATCATGTTGGAGTGGCATCAAAGCAAAGGTGAAGATAGCAGAAGGATGTGAAACAGAAATGAATGCAAGGGAGATGGGCCCGCTCCAAGACAAAGGTCCCGTCCTTTGGAACAGGGACACCAGAAAAACAGGGTTGCAAGAGTGGGTGGCTTCTCAAGGTGGTTGGGCATAGCATTGCTTCAATCATGTCAAAAAAAAAGAGAAAGGTTTGAGTATGGGCCCACAGGGTCTCAAGCAGCCCGTCTTCTCCCAGAGATTGGAAGAACAATCCAATGCCAGCCACCGCAAGCACCAATGGCCGTAGAACTCCAGCACTGGGAAGGGACCTTCACTGGGGGTGCCCCATAGCCAAGAAAGCCTCCCAGGCCAGGTACACCTCTAGGGCATCTGGCCCTTTGCTCCCAAGGGGCACCAGGAAAAGGGCCGATGGCCCTGAGCTGATGCTTCCTGGCCCAGATCTCTGCTAGTCCCTCCCAGACATGGCCGCCACCAGGCTCCCCAACCAAGACTTCCTGTGCAGGACCAGCCACGCATCCTGGTGCCTATCTCTGGGGCTTCCACGGCCTGAACTGGCCACAGACCCACTTCTGTCAGGCCTCCAGAGAGCTCAGATCTGTCCGGGCACCAGCCCTAGTCCTGCCTCCTCCCCCACAGCACTCCCAAGCCACTCCTTCCCAGGCAAGCATAGGGAAGGGTGTGCAGGATTGACAAATGATTTCCTCTTGATGGCAGTATTGCTCCAGAGATGCCTACCTGCCCTTCCCCCAGGTCCACTCCCTCCACCCTTTGCTGAGGAAAAAACGCCAACATGCTCCACACATGGCCGATCACAATCTTGGCCACTTTGGGCCAGCTCTAGCCCACCTGTGGCACCCTTTCCCTAGGGAGACTGGCCTCAGCGGAGTCCTCCTAGCCTGCCTTCCTGACAAACAGGAAAGCAGTCCCCTCGGACCGCCCTAGGGTTGGACTTGACCTAACCACATCCCTAACTATGCCTTTAGAATGGGAGGATGGTGGAGCGCTCAGGAAAAAGACAAGAGACTGGGCACAGAGTTGTATCTAAGCCACTCCCTGCCTACTGAGAGACATTTCCACTTGGGTGTTCCCATGAGTCACTACAAGACCAGCTTGACCACAAGGTCAAAGGCAACCAGCATCCCACAGGCCACTGGGGTGGACTAAAGAGTAAGGTGAACGTACAATTTTAGAACAGCAGGATTGAGCCCCCGGCTTGTCTCCTGGGGCAGCCCCATGGGGTACAGGCAAAGATAGATGAGACAGGAGGAGTGCCAGGTGCCACCCCAAACACACCTGGGCTATATCAGTCTCTGGCCAGCTCACCCCAGAATGTTTGAGGTGGGAAAAAACAGACAGGTGTGAGTGCTGTTGAGGACTCCTGTGTGTCACAGGGGAGCAGTAGATGGGCAAGACCCACTTTTTCTGATCTTCCTCCCCACATATATTCTCTGACAAAAACCTTATTATGACTGTGTTGGGGCAGAGTAGATATGGGAATACCTTCAACGTGTGCTGCCGAAACACACTGACCACGAACACTGTTGTGAAGATAAGACAGAGAAAATAGAAAAAGCAGACAACACCCAAGCTGCTGCCTCCCGGACTCATTCCCAACACTTTGAACCAAACTCTTTTTTTTCTCTCTCTCTTGCCATCTCCCCCTCTAACCCTCTCTCTCTATGTTTGTGTATCTGTCTTTCTCCAGGACATCATATCAATGTATTTCTCCTGAACTGTAAGAGATGCAACTGAACGTGTGAGAGGTCATGTCAGTAGGCTGACAGGCAGCAAGAGAAATGCCCAGGAAACAAGTTCCTCTTGATGGCAGTATTGCTCCAGAAATGCCCATCTGCTCTTCCCCCAGGTCCATTCCCTCCACCCTTTGCTGAGGAGAAAACGCCAACTGCACTCCAAACATGGCTGATCACCATCTCGGCCCTTTTGGGCCAGCTCTGGCCCACAGGCGGGAACTTCTCCCTTGGGAGACTGGCCTTGGTGGGGTCCTCCTAGCCTGCCTTCCTGACAAACAAGAAAGCAGTCCCCTTGGACAGCCCTAGGGATGGACCAGGCCTAATTGCCTCCCTAACCATGTTTTTAGCTTGGGAGGATGGTGGAGCCTGCAGGGAAGAGATGGAGACTGGACACACAGTAGGATCCAAGCCCACCTTCTGTCATTTATGACACATTTCCACTTGGGCATTCTCATGGGTCACTCCAAGGGCAGGTTGACTACAAGGTGTTTAGGTGGAAGGTGAATGTCTGTTTGAATTGCAGTCTCTGTGGGCACAGGTATTTACGTGAGTCTGTCTCTTGATTGAGATGGAAAAAGAGGACCATGTATTCTTTGGGACATTTTCTACTATTAGTGCTCTGAAGAAGGCGGTTCTCCTAAGGATTCAGGCATCAGAGGCTCATCACCTTATGCTTGCTACATTATGTCCCACCCTAAGGAAACAACACATTTCACCTGTCACCTCGAAAGGGTCCTTTAGGTTTCTTCCCTCTCTTGAATTCTATAGTGGGCTGAGCCTCACCACCATGGACACGCACCCCTGTTCATTTGTCAGCTTTTCTCGACATTCTCAAAAGTGCCAGAACTCACCCACCATGGAAAAGAGTCCAGTCCTCTGCGTTACCAGATCCCTTACTGCAAAGGAACATGTCCTCCAAGCTCTAGTGAAGCACAACATGTTGGACATGGCCATATTCTACTCTGCAGACACACTTGAATAGAGGCAGGGGTATGTCCAGGTGAATGAGCCAGGGCCAAGCGTCATTCACTACATTTGCCTGAGCATGCCCCAGAAGTTCTTTCTGGCACCCAGCAGGATCTCCTGAGGCCAAGCCCGATGGGTCTGTCCTTTTGTGTCATCTTAGCTTCTGGAATTTCAGCAGGTTTGGGACCACCCTCTCCCTAACAGTTTATACCCAGAGTCTCCATTTTGAAACGCTTGCCACAAAACACATTGGTCCACTTCTGATCACAGGACAAGGGCCTGCCCACCCTCAAAGCACAGGCTGAGTTGGCAGAAGGCTTCCAAGCAAAAATGAGCACCATAGATAATAGCCCACCTCCAAGGGAACATTTGGGGCATGGGAACAACAAAAGAGGGTCACGGGGTGGGGGGGCGCAGGGCACAGTGTCTCAAGGTAGCTGGGCATTGCCTTACATCCACTTTGTCAATGACAGTCTGGGTACCAGCCCTGCAGGATTGCTGCCCATTTTCTTCCCTAGGATGGAGGAACACCCCAGCGCTCTCCAACCACTGGCACCAATGGCTGCAGAACTCCAGTGCTAAGTGTGGCCCCTTCTCAATGGTGTGCACTGCAGCCAGGGGAGCCTCCCAGGGCTCAGGACCCAGCTAGGCCATCAGGATTCTTGCTCCCAAGGGTAGGGGCACCAGGCAAACTGCCCACGCCCGGAGCCCATGCTCCTTGGCTGAGGCCTCCGCTAGTCCCGCCCAGACATGGCCACCACCAGGCTCCCAAGACATGGCTTCCCAGGCATCCTGGATGTCCAGGTCACCCTGGCCTAACTCAGGGGCCTCCATGGCCTGAGCCACAGGCCCCATTTCCCACAGGCCTCCAGAGAGCTCGGATCTGTCTGGGCACTGGCCCTAGTCCTGCCTGGTTCTCCACAGCACTCCCAAGCCACTCCTCCCCAGCAAGCACAGGGAAAGATGCACGGGATTGCCACACAAGTTCCTCTTGATGGTAGTATTGCTCCAGAAATACCACCTTCTTTTCCCCCATCCACTCCCTCTGCCCTTTGCTGAGGAAAAAACACCAACCATGCTCCAAACATGGCCCATCACCATCTCAATCACTTTGGGTGAACTTTGGCCTACATGCAGGGCTCCTTTCAGCAAAGTCTGGCCTCTGCAGGGTCCTCTTCACCTGCCTTCATGACAAAGAGAGAAACAGCCCCCTTCAGCTGTCCTATGAATAGACTGGAACTTATCACATCCCTAACCCCGCCTTTAGCATGGGAGGATGGTGGAGCCCTCAGAGAAGAGATGGAGACTGGGCACACAGTAGGATCCAAGCCTACCCCTTGCCCTCTACAAGACATTTCCACTTGGGTGTTGTCATGGTTCACTCCAAGGGCAGCTTGACCACGAGGTCAAAGGTGACCAGCATCCCAGAGGCCACTGGGGTGAACTAGAGTAAGGTGAACGTAGAATTTCAGGACAGTGGGAATGATGCCCTGGCTCTTCTCACATGGCAGTCCTGGAGGGTCCCGGCAGGGATAAGTCAGACAGGAGGGGAGCCAGGTGCCACCCCAAACACACGTGTCCTCCTCATACCTGGCCAATGTCAATCTCTGGACAGCTTCCCTCAGAAGGTTAGAGGTGGAAAACACACAGAGTTGTGCATGCTGTTGAGGACTCTTGTGAGTCATGGGGGTGCAGAAGATGGGTGTGAAATGAAAACAAATATTGGGACCCCAAAATCACTAAGCTAAAGGGAAAAGTCAACCTGGGAACTGCTTAGGGGAAATCTGCCTCTCATTCTATTCAAAGTCATCCCTTGAGGTTCACTTGAGACAAATGAGTATCTGATTGCTTCCTCTCCCCTATCATTTATGTAAAAATGCAGATTCTCTGAGCCAGACTACATTGTGTATTCAGTGGAAAACTTATCGAGGGCTCAAAAGAATGCAACCTTTTGTTGCTTATCTACTTCTAACCTGGAAGTCCCCACTTCTTGTTGTCCCACCTTACTGGACCAAACCAATGTACATGTTACACATATTGACTGATGTCTCTGTAAACTGTCTAAATGCAAACTGTACCCCCGACCACATTGGGCACATGTCTCAGGACTCCCTGAGGCTTTGTCATGGGCACGTTCTTAACCTTGGCAAAATGAACTTTGTAAATTGACTGAGACCTGTCTCAGATATTTTGTGTTCACCTAGGCAAGACCCAAGTGTTACTATATCCTTCCCCACACATACCCTGTAACAGAAACGCTATGGCAACCATGTTGCAGCAGCTAAACGCAAGACCACCACCAACTATGCTGCAGGAACACAGTGACCAAGAACGCTACTCTCAGTATAAGACAGAGGAAACAGAAGAAACAGACTACACCCAAGCTCCTACCTCTCTGGTCCCCTTTGGGCTCCTTGACACCCACACACTTCTCTTTTGGATTTTCCATGAGATGTTTTTTTCTTTGTCTCTGTCTCACTCTCGTTCTTCCTCTCTCTCTGTTTCTACCCATCAGCCAAATGCTGTTTTGTCATCTTCCTCTCCTGCTCTATGTATTTGTCTGTGTGTTTTAAACTCTCTAAGATGTCATGTAAATGTATTCCTCCACAATTATAAAACATGAAACTGAACAAGTGAGAAATTGTACAGGTAGGCTGAGAGGCAGCAAGATAAATGCTCAAAAGCCCAAGGCCCCATGCCACATCTTCCACTTCTACCACCACTACCCCGGGGAATTTCCTTCTTGGTCCCAGAAGCCAAGGTGAGGCAAGTGACAGTTGAATGTCGTCCTGTTGGTCCTGGGAACTTCGGCACATGTTCAATGGCAAAAGTGCATTGAGGTGGGAAGGTAAATGGAAATCTCTGTGTGTACTGGCATGCACAGTGACAGGCGAGGTTGACGGAAGGCCCCCAGGAAGAAATGAGCACCAGGAAGATGGCCAAGCTCCAAGACAACCTCTGAGATATGGACACAACAAGAGAGGGTCACATCGGGGGAACGATATCTAAGAGTGGCTGGGCCTGGCCTTGCGTCCACCTCATCAAGCACAGTCTGGGTCTGGGCCCCGCAGGATTCCATGTGGTCCATCTTCCCTAGGATGGAGGAACACCCCAGCACCAGCCACCAACAGAGCCAATGGCCACAGTTAGGACTCACTGCTGGGAGTGGTCCCTCCTCACTGGCATGTAGTGTGGCCAAGAGAGCCTCCCGGGGCCAAGGACCCAGCTAGGCCGTCACCCCTGTTGCTACCAAGGGAAGGGGCACCAGGCAAACTGCCCATGCCCCTGAGCCCAGGCTCCTTGGCCAAGGTCTCTGCTAGTCCCGCCCAGATCATGGCCACCACCAGGCTCCCGAGCCATGGCTTCTTCTACAGGACCGGCGAGGCATCCTCATTGTCCAGCTCATCCTGGCATCTATCCTTGGGGCTTCCACGGCCCCATGTGGACATAGGCCCCACTTCCCTCGAACCTCCAGAGAGCTCAGATCCATCCAGGCACCAGCCCTAGTCCTGCCTGGTCCCCTACAGCACTCCCAAGCCACTGCTCCCCAGGTAAGCACAGGGAATGGTACACGGGATTGCCAGACAAGTTCCTCTTGATGGCAGTATTGCTCCAGAAATGCCCACTTGCCCTTCCTCCAGGTCCACTCCCTCCGCCCTTTGCTGAGGAAAAAAACACCAGCCATGCTCCAAACATGGCTGATCACCATCTTAGCAACTTTCACCCAGCACTGAGCCACCTGCAGGAGACTGGCCTCAGTAGGGACCTCTTAGCCTGCCTTCCTGACAAACAGGAAAGCAGTCCCCTTGGACCACCCTAGGGATGGCCACAACCTAACCCCATCCCTAAGTACTCCTTTAGCATGGAAGGGTGGTGGAGTCCTCAGTGAAGAGAAGGAGATTGGGCACACAGCAGGACACGAGCCCAGCCCCTTCCCTACAGGAGACATTTGCACTTGGGCATTCTCATAGGTCACTCCAAAACCAGCTTGACCACGAGGTCAAAGGTGACCAGTGTACCACTGGGTCCTGGAACTCAAACTTCAGGTGAATATACAACTCTAGGATAGCGGGACCAAGCCCACGGCCCTTCTTACATGGCAGCCATGGCAAGGGGGTTGGGAGGGAGAGCCCAAGCTAGCCTAGGTCAGACAGGAGGGGAGTTAGGTTCCATCCCAAACACACCTGTCCTCCTCACACCTGGCCTACATCAACCTCCCGACAGCTCTGCCCAGAAGGCTGGACATAAAAAACACAGAGAGGTGTGCATGCCATTGAGGACTCATGCGTGCTATGGGGGAGTGGTAGATGGGCAAGACCCAAGTCTTCTGATCTTCCTCCCTACACATATTCTGTGACGGAAACCCTATGTTGACCTCGTCGGAGCAGTCAAGGCGGGGGCAAATGCCTGACGTCTGCTGTAGGAACACAGTGACATTGAATGCTATTCTCAAGACAGAGGAAAAAGAAGGAACACACTACTCCAAGCTTCTACCTCTCTGGCCCCTTCCGGACTCCTTGACCCCTACGCACTTCCCTTTGGGATTTTCCATGACAGGTTTTTCCTTCTCTGTCTCTTCCTTTTTCTACTGTGTGCTCTCTCTCCTCCTTTCTTTTGAGCCACCCCCAGGCCCAATGTTCTCTCGTCCACTTCTACTGGGGCCCGCTTCCTCTCCTGCTCTGTCTCTGTGTGGTTGTTTTTTTTTTGACTGTCCAGGACTTCCTGTCAATGTGTGCCTTTAAGATGATAAGAGATGCAACTGAACGTGTGAGAAATCGTGCAGGTAGGCTGAGAGGTGGCAAGAGAAATGCTCAAGAGCCCAAGACCTGGTCCACTCCCTCCGTTTCTACCACCACCCCCAGCCCGGGGACCTTCCTTCTTGGTCCCTGAAGCCAAGGTGAAGCATGTTTAAGTTGAATGTCACCCCGTTTGTCCTGGGAACACCAGCCTGCACTAAACAGCAATAGTGCATTGCAGTGGAAGGTGAATGTTTGGTTGGTAGTCTGTGCACACGGGGATGGAGGGGCATGCTTATACACGTGGCTTGCTCTCTCGCTGGATTCAGGAGGAATGGAGGACCATGTACCCTGAGGACCATTTCTAATTTTGGTACTCCAAACTGGGCACTATGCTTCCAAGAATTCAGACCTCAGAGGCCCATCACCTCCTTATGCCTTCATTGAGTCCTACCAGAAAACAGCTTATCCCACCTGTAACTTCGATAGCATCCTCTAGGTCCCTTTGCACTCCTGAATTCTGCGAAAGGGTGCTGATCCTTACCTTTTGGACACGAGCCCCTGTTCACCTGGGAGACTCCTGAACACATTCAGAAAGGCCAGAATTCCCTGGGAGATGGCCCAGTCCCCTGCTGTACCAGACCGTGTTCTGCAAAAGGACACATCCTCCAAGCCTCATCCGTAAAACCCATGTGGGGCTTGGCCTGATTCTACTTCAGAGACCCACTTGAGGAGAGGCAGGGTGATGCTGCCTGGGTGCACCTCAGCAGACCCTTCTGGCACATAGCAGGCTGTCCCCACACCGAGTCTGAAGGGTCCTTCCTTCTGGGTGCTCTTGGCTTCCCATACTTTAGCAGACCTAGGAAGGCCCTGGTCCCACCCAGCTGTCACCCAGATAGTCTCCATTTTGCCACGTTTGCCACTCAACCCACTGGTTGGTCCCCTTCTTGTCAATGGGCCTGTGCACCCCCAAAGACAGATGGGGTCAAAAGAAGGCTCCCAGGCAGAAATGAGCACCTTGGGGGAATGGCCCAGCTCCATGACAAACTCTGGGATGTGGACAAAACAAGAGAGGGTCACATTGGGAGTGCAGTGTCTCAGGGTGGTTGGGCCTTGCCTTGCATCCACCTTCTCAAGGACAGCTTGGCTATGGGCCCCACAGGATCCCACACCAACCATCTTCCTCCTTGGATGGAGGAACGCCTGGGTGCAGTTCAGCACCATCACCAGTGGCCACAGAACGCAGCGCTAGTAGTGGCCCCTCCTCACTGGCATGCAGCGTGGCCAAGAGAGTCTTCCAGGGCTGTAGACCCAGCTAGGCATCACCCTCGTTGCTCCCAGGGGAAGGGGCACAAGGCAAACTGTCCAGGGCTCTGAGCCGATGCTCCTTGGCTGAGGCCTCGCTAGGCCCACCCAGATAATGACTGCCACCAGGCTCCCCAGCCATGGCTTCCTGTATGAGTTGCACCAGGAATCCTGGCTGTCCAGCTCATCCTGGAACCTACCACGTGGTCAAAGGCTACCAGCATCCCATTGGCCCCTAGGGTGTGGCACTAAAACTTACAATCCCAGTATAGAAGGACTGAGCCCCTGGCTTTTCTCACACAGCAGCCCTGGTAAGGGGGTGGGGGAGAGCCCAAGCCAGAATAGGTCAGACGGGACCAAATTGAAAGCCAGGAGCCACTCCAAGCACACCTGTCCTTCTAACACCTGGCCTATGTCAACCTCTGGAGAGCTCTCCCCAGAAGGCTTCTCTACAGAGGAGTGCAAGTTGTTGAGGACTTGTGTGTGCTATGGGGGAGTGGTAGATGGTCAAAACCCAAGTGTTCTGATCTTCCTCCCCACAAAAATTCTGTGACGGAAACCTTATGGTCACCGTGTTGGGGCAGTGAAGGCGCGGGCAAATGCCTAATTTGTGCTGCAGGAACACAGTGACATTGAACGTTGTTCTGAAGACAGAGGTAACAGAAGAAACACAGTAATCCCAAACTGCTACCTCTCTGACCCCTTCTGGACTCCTTGACCCCCACACACTTCTCTGAGATTTTGCACATTTATTTCTCTATCTCTGTCTCTTTTCTACTGCGTGCTCTTTCACTCTCTATTTCCACCCCCAGGCTCACTGCTCTTTGGTCCACTCCCACTGGGGCCTGCTTCCTCCCCTACTGTCTCCGTGTTTGTGTTTCTTTTACTATCCAGGACTTCCTGCCAACGTGCCTTTAAAACTGTAAGAGATGCAATTAAATGTGTGAGAAATCATGCAGGTAGGTTGAGAGGTGGCGGAAAAAAAATGCCCAAGAGCCCAAGGCCTGTGCCACCTCCTCCACTTCTACCACCACCACCTTGGTGAACCTTCCTTCTTGGTCCCCAAAGCCAAGGTGAGTCAAGTCCTAGTTGAATGGCATCCCGTTGGTTCTGGGAACATAGGCCCCTACTCAACAGCAAGAGTGCATACAGGTAGAATTTGAATGTCTGTTTGGATGGCAGTCTCTGTGCACATGGACAGGGAAGGGCACACCAATCCACATGGCTTGCTCTCTCGCTGAATTCATGTGGAAGGGAGGACTATGTGTCTTTCAAGACCTTTTCCACTTTTGGTCCTCTGCTTCCAGAATTCAGGCCTCAGAGGCCCATCACCTCCTTATGCATTTTTCAGTCCTACCAAAGAAACAGTACATTCGACTTGTCTTCTCAAGAGGGTCCTCTAGGTCCCTTTCCACTCTTGAATTCTGTGAAGCAGTGCAGATCCCCACCTTTGGACACAAGCCCCTCTTCACTTGGTAAACTCCTGAACACACTCAAAAGGGCCAGAATGACCCAGGAAATGGCTCGATCCTCTGCTTTACCTGACCATGTCCTGCAAAGGGGTGCATCCTCCAAGCCTCATCCCTGCACCCAATGTTGGTCCTGGCCCAATTGAACCTCAGAGACCCTGAGTAGGGCAGGGGGTTGCTGCCTGAGCACCCCAGTAGACCCTTCTGGCATACAGCAGGGTGTCCCCAGGCTGAGCCCAACAGGTCCTTCTGTCTGGATGGCCTTGGCTTCCCAGATTTTAGCAGGCCTAGGAAGGCCCTGATGCTACCCAGCTGATGCCCAGAAAGTCTCCATTTTGCCATGTTTGCCACCAAACCCATTGGTTTGTATGCTTCTGATCACAGTGCAAGGCCTTCACAACCCCAAGACATATGGGGTTGATGGAAAGCCCCCAGGCAGAAATGAGCACCATGGGGAATGGCCTGGCTCCAAGAGAAACTCTGGGACATGGATACAACAAGGGAGTGTTGCATGGGAGGGGTGCGTGGTGTCTCGTGGTGGTTGGGCTTGGCCTTGCGTCCACCTTGTCAAGGACACTCTGGGTATGAGCCAAGATCCCACGTGACCCATCTTCATTCCTAGGATGGAGGAATACCCCAGCGCTGGCTACCACTGGTGCCAATGACCACCGAACTCCAGCACTGGGAGTTGCCCCTCAGCACTGGGGTGCACTGCAGCCAAGGGACCCTCCCGGGGCCAAGGACCCAGCTAGGCCATCACCCCCATTGCTCCCATAAGAGGCACCAGGCAAACTACCCATAGCCCCAAGCTGATGCTCCTTAGCTGAGGCCTCTGCTAGTCCCGCCCAGATCATGGCCACCACCAGCCTCCTGAGACATGAAATCCTTTAGGGAACTTGCCAGGAATCCTGCCTGTCCATCTCATTCTGGCACCTTTCTCTGGGCCTTTCACAGCCCTATTCAGCCATGGGCCCCTCTTCCCTCAGGCTTCCAGAGAGCTCAGATCCATCCAGGCACTGGACCTCATCCTGCCTGGTCCCCCATAACACTCCCAAGCCAATCCTCCCCAAGCAACCACAGGAAGGGTGAGCATGATTGCCAAACAGCTTCCTCTTAATGGCAATATTGCTACAGAAATGCCCACCTGCCCTTCCCCCAGGTCCACTCACTCTGCCCTTTGCTGAAGAAAAAATGCTAACCATGCTCCAAACATGACTGTTCACCACGTTGTCTACCTTGTGTAAGCTGTGGCTCACCTGTGGGGCCCTGCCCTGTCCTGGGGAGACTGGCCTTGGTGGGGACTTCTTAGCCTGCCTTCCTGACAAACAGGGATTTGGTCCTCTTTGACAGCCCTAGGGATGAACCCGAGCTAACCATATCCCTAACTATGTCTGTAGTATGGGAAGATGGAGTTCCCAGGGAATAGATGGAGACTCAGCACAGAGTAGGATCTGAGCCCACCCCTTACCCCCCCAGGAGACATTTCCAGTTGGGCATTATCACAGGTCATTCCAAGGCCAGCTGGACCATGAGGTCAAAGGCCACCAGTGTCCTATTGGCTCCTGGGGGTTGGGAGTAAAGAATCAGGTGAATATGCAGTTCCAGGATAGGGGGACTGAGTCCTGGGCTCTTCTCATGTGGTAGACCTGGGTGTTCTCATGTGGTAGCCCTGGGAGTCAGACAGGAGGGGAGCCATGTGTCACCCCAAACACTTGCGTCCTAGTCACACCTCGCCTATGATAATCTCTGTATAGCTTTTTCCAGAACACTTCGGGTAGAAAACACACAGAACTGTGCATGCTGTGGAGGACTCATGTTTGCCATTGTGGAGTGGTAGATGGGCAAGAAGCAAGTGTTCTGATCGTCCTCCACATAAATGTTTTGCACTGGAAACCGTATTGCAACCATGTTGGGGCAAATTAGATGTGGGCATGCCCCCAACATGTGCTGCAGGAACACACTGTCCAGAAACACTGCTCTGAAGACAAGACAGAGGACACAGCAAAAATGGATTACACCCAAGCTGCTACCTCCCTGGCCCCTTTCCATTTCTTTGACTTCTACATACTTGTCTTTAGGGTTTTTATGACATAATTTTTTTTTTCTTTTTCTGCTCTCTTTCTCCCAGTCGTTAGCCCTCTCTTTCACCCTTTTGTCTTCTCTACCTTTATCTGTTTGTGTTCCTTTTTGTCTCCAGAACTTCACATCAATGTAGTGCTCCCAAACTTTGGCAGTTGCAACTGATCGTGTGATAAATCATTCAGGCCAAGTGAGAGACAGTAAGAGAAATGCAAAAGAGCCCATGGCCTGTGACACTACTTCCAGTTCTACCACCCACCCGGGGGAACTTCCTTCTTGATCCCCAAAGGCAAGTTGAGGCAAGTAACAGTTGGATGTCACCCTGTTTATCCTGGGAACATTGGCCTGCAGTCAACAGCAGAAGTGCATTTTTAGGTGGAAGATGAATGTCTGGATAGCAGTCTCTGATGGAGAGGCACATGTGTCCACATGGATCTCTCTCTGAATTCAGGTGGAATGAAGGAATCTGTTCTATTTGGGAACTTTTCTGCTACTGGCACTTCCAAGAGGAGAAGCTTCTCCCAAAGTTCCAGGCTTGGAGGTTCATCCTCCCATTATCTTTACATTCTGTGTCATGCCAAGGAAAGAAGACATGCCACCTATTACCTTGAGAAGTTCCCGTAGGTCCCTTACTATTCTTAAACTCTACAAAGTGGGTGTGACCCCCATCCCTGTGCATGCTCCTTTGTTAACTTTGGCCACTCATTCTTCACATTCTTGAAAGCGCCAGAACCCACCAATAAATGGCCGGGTCCTCTGCTTAACCAGATTGTTTCCTGCAAAGCGACATGTCCTCCAAGCTTCAATCTCACATGCCATGTTGGATCTGGCCTAATTCCACCTCCAATACAGAGGAGGCATGGAGATGTCTGGGTTAATGTGCCAGGTCATAGCACCATTTACAGCGTTTTCTGAGTGTACCCCAGCAGTCCTTTCTGGCATGTAGCAGGCTCTCTCCACAAGAAGCCCAATTGGTTCTTCCTTCTGCATGCTCTTGGCTTCCTGGACTTCAGAAGGCCAAGGAAGACTCTCTTCCCTCCCAGTTTAAACCTAAACATGGCAAGGACCTGGGAACTCCCCAAAGAACAGGAGGGAGCCTTGGAAGGTTCCAAAACAGAAACGAGCACAGGTTCCAAGACAACCATCTGATCCTTTGAGACATAGACACAACAAATGAGGTCCTCAGGGGTGCATAGTATCTCATGGTGGCCAGGCCTGGTGTTGCCTCAATCTCATCTAGTAAAGTCTGGGTTTAGGCCCCACAGGGCCCCAGACAGCACATCTTCTTCTTTAAGATGGTGGACCATCCCAGCACTGGCCATCTCAGGCACCAATAGCCAAAGAATTACAGTGCTGGGAGTGATCTTTCACTAGGGTGCACTATGGCCAAGGGAGTCTCTCAGGGCCTGGGACCCACCTAGGCCTTCCCACCCATTGTTCCCAGGGGAAAGGGAACCAGGCAAAATGCCCATGGCCTTGAGATGGGGCTCCCTGGTGGAGGCCTTTGCTAGTCTTGCCCAGACATGGCTGCCACCAGCCTCTTGAGCCACAGCTTTCTGTATGGGACCCGCCAGGTGTCCTGGATGTCCAGCTCTTTTTGACACCTGTCCCTGGAGTTTCCAGAACCTGAACAGGTCATGAGCCATGCTTCCCGCATGCCTCTGGATAGCTTATATGGGCAGAGCTCCTAGTCTTGCCTGAATCCTGACAGTACTACCAAGCCACTCCTCCCCAAGCAACCACAGGGAAGGGTGATTGTGATTGCCATACATGTTCCTCTTGATGGCAGTACTGTACCAGAATTACCAGCAAACTTCCTCCCCTCCCTCAAGATCCTGTCCCTGTGCCATCTGTTATTAAAGAAACAGCCAAGAAGTATCCATTGTAGCTGATTACTGGGTGCCTAGTTCTCACAACTGGTACATCCTGCATAACCTCTTCCCAGTCTGGTGATCTGTCGCTCTCACATGCCATCTACTTGTCTTCAAACAATAAAGATCCCACACTTGGGCTGGCCAGGAGAGGACACAGATGCCATAACAGGAATACCCACCTCCTTGCACATGACCCATGGTCAGTGACTGAACAACTCTCCATAGAAGGCTTGTAGATGCAGGTATACTGTAGATGCAGGTATACTTCTAAGCCTCTTGAGTTTCAGCTTGGAAGAGAATGACAGCTCTTTAAGATACCACATTTCCTCTATGTTCCTCCTGAGAGTGTTGAAAGATAGATTTAAAGACCATGGGGAGATTGGTACCAGGCTGTGGGCATGAACATGCGTCCCCACTCCGTTCTGCAGGAGCACCCTCTTAGAGTTCAGCCTGAGCACACAAGTCCTCATTAGTCAGGAGAAGGGCCATAGTGCAGCAAGCCAGGCCCAGGAGGGATCAGGTGACATCAGGCAGAAAAGTGAGTGAGCACATAATTTAATGCAAGGCAAAAGTCCAGAAGATCTGGCTCCCTTCCCTGGGTCCCAAACAGACTTTTCTGCCCCAGTGAGGCTGGGATCATTTATTATGGGCAATAAAGGGAGCCCAAAAGTCCTATCACTGGCAGATGGCCTCACGAAGTTCTAGGCCCAACCCATTTCCAACCTCCCCTGCTCTTTAGGACAGAGACCTTGAGTTTCATGAAGTAACCCAATCCCCTTAACGGTACACATCATACCTAGGTGCTCATTCAGATGCTTCCCTACTTTGAGCCCACCATCAAGACTTTACTCATGAGCCTTTCCTACCAAGCATGGTAGAAAGCTATAGAAGAGGATACAAATGCCCCATGCCAGCTATCTACATGCCCTAGTAGTCTCTCTTGGAGGAGTGCTGAAATCCCAGAACCACTGCCCCACTTATAACATAAAACAGACTCTTCAAAAAGAAGAAGAAAAAAAAACCACTTGCCCATAACCCCAGCACCTACAGACAACCCAGGCTTGCAGTTTTCCTCTCTTTCTGTCTATTCTGTGTTCCCTGAAACAAGATAGCCAACTGTCCTTCACTGTATGTGGGATGGACTGCTAAAGTGACATTCAAAACATAGCAGTGTACATATACCCCATGAAAGCAACTGGGTGAGGGCTTTTAGGCTAGGATATCAGCTCTCTAGTGTCCTGTCATCTATGGAGAAAGCATATCATGAAAATCAACTCTACTCATCTGGAAATCACACAAATGCTACTCGAGGCTGTCATAAAGAGGCAGCTCTCCTGGAATTGTCTTGTATAAAACCAGAGGATATCTGTCCCTCAGTTCTCCTTTCTGTGGGTACCCTGACTTTCTCACCTTGGCGTCTCCCCTCACAGTATTTCTTTCCTGGTTACTTTACTTATATGAGTATGGAAGAATAAATTTCCAAGTATGTTCACAAGGCTGTTTTCTCCAACATGAATAGAATAATAGATCCTCTAGTGACCTGTAGCTCATCTGGCTGGTGGAAAAATGAGAACCAGGTACCTCCATTCTGGCTGCACACAGCTATGCCATATTGATGTTCTGGGCATAAGGACAAATCATTCTTGGATGTGGCTACCTTTTAATCTACCAAGTCACTTTCTTCTGGGTGGACATTAATACCATATGATGCACTTGTCTCTCTCTCTCACTCACACACCTCCTACAGAAAGTAGGTCTTTACATAGCCTCAAAGCTACTTCTGTTTCAAGAAAACAGTAGGGGGGAAAAAGGAAGAACCCTCATGTTCAAAGAGAAGGGACATGGTAAATAAATGATGTTCTTGCCACCTCCAGGAAGACACATGGGCAACTGAGCAGTTATTAGGAAATGAAAAGAATCTGGGAGTATGTTGACTCTGAACAGAGAGGCAAAGTCCAGGAGATGTGTTTTGTGAAAGCTACAAAGTATAAGAAAGTCTATCACATGTAAGCTTCTTGGTGTCAAAGCACACATACCTCTGCATTTGCCTTCATTCACACTGGACACTAAAAACACACAAGGAAAAATCACATCTAATTCTCACTGTAGGCAGAGTCAGGAGGATGAATAGAAGGCAGAGGGGAAACCTGGGAGTGTCCATCATGCAGTGTTAAGGGCTACCACTTAATTGGGAGGAATCTCTATCCACAGTGGCATCTCCAAGGTGGTTATGGGAGAAAGGAAGACAAAAAGAAGAAAACACACAGATTCACATACACAATTAAGGAAGAAAGTAGAAGCATGTGTGTTGGCATGCATACATGGATGTATGAATGCAGAAACAAGTGAATGTGGGGGTGCTCCAGGGAGAGAAGAGCCACACTTTCAGGTAGAGCTTCCTCGAAGGGGCTGCAGAACCAAAGGTCCCCACCAAGATCACCTGTCTGTGTGGAGCCACTGGGCCCACTTTTCTGACACATGGAACACCAATCTGGATCAGGAGTGCCTACCTGAGAACCTTGGAGGTAAGCCAGGGTATTATCCTCCCAGTTGTAAAGCTGATCATACAAATTGGGTCATCTTGTCATACGCAACTAAAACAGAGGCAAGCGACCAGGGGCAAAGCCACTTAGGGCATATAACATTGCTTCAACGATGTGATTTTTTTGCAATCCTGACCTCTGTAATGACCAGCTGTAACCTGAAAACAGTTTTTTCTAATAGCTACTGAAACAATCTGCTCAACTCTAAGACTTGTTTTACACATGGCCGTCACTCACCCATCAAAGCTTGCCAGCTCTTTGAAACTTTGCTGGTGCTAATAAACTTTCTGGAAAACAATACATAACATTTCACCTTTTTCTAAAACCTCCAACTTTTGTCTGCTCTTTGAAAATACCAAAGTCTACCTAGTCTGTGAGTACACCCCAAATTGTAATTCTTGTTTCCCAAATAAAAGATTACATTTAGAGATTTGCCTCTACATTTTTTACTTCAACACACTTGGTGCCAGAAGCAGGATTCCAAAGGTGACTCACCTTGGGGAGAATCACCAGCCCTTGGATCTAAGGTATGAGGTACTCACACTGGGGCCCAGTAAGCTCCCCACCCCACATTCATGATCTGCCTCCCTTCATGAGTCTGTTTTGGAACAAAGTCTTGATTTTGATTGAGCTCTGTTTTGTTTTGGATTTGACTGAGGAGGGGTCTTTCCCCCTCTTGTTTGAAGAGAGATCTTTCTCCTCCTGGCTAGGAGATTTCCTGTGGAGAAAGGTTAGTTTCCTCCTGTTGACCTCAGCTGGAAATTTGAACCTCAGCTGGACGCTTGGTTTCAAGGTTTGGTTTAGGGGATTTACCCCTTCATATGGAGAAGGCTTACTGTCCTTCCTGGTAAGTAAGTACTATATTTTCCATTGGCACTTTCATTTATTTGGCCTTTGCATATTCAGCACTTGCATTTAACTGGCTTTTGTGTATTTGGCAGTAAACCAAATCATCAAGGCATATTTAGTTAAAAATGAGCTCTCAAAGTTCAAAGCCATGCCACAATATTTTCTGGGAGTCCAGCTGATAACATGTTAAAATGCTATAGGGATCATTTAATCTGTTGTTCTTAAAACTAAAGTGAAAGATTGTGTCCATAAAATTTATACTCCAAATTAAACTCTTATCTCAATTGATATGTTGAGGCTTAAAAAAAAACAACAAAACAATTCAGGACTAATAGTAATATTTTCTGGCAAGGCAATCTTTCTCAAAGCTAACTGAAACAGTCTGCTCCTGGGGCTTTCCTCTCCCCATCTTATAATTCCTCCTTTTTATCCTTCTCTAAGCTAAACTCTTTTTTTTCTGCAACTTTTCAGCGATTCTGATATACTAGTTAAGTAAAAATCACTTAAAAACCAGCAAAAATGAAAGAAAAAAATTTTGACCTTGATGCTGTTTCTTAAATGTAAAATATAAATTTTTCATGTAAAAGACACCAGCCCTATGTGAAAAGGAATGGCAACATTCTTATCTTCAAGAAAAAATAGTGAAGTCCAAGAAAATACCCTAAAGGCTTTGTTAGAATAACTCTCACCTTTTAGGCCTCCTCATATAATTGGGTCACATTTTAACAGTTAAGTATTCTTTGTGAAATCTAGCTGAATTAAACTGTTTTACTCACAAGTTGGTTCACAGCCTTTACAAGTGTATTAGGCTATTCTTGTACTGCTATAAAGAAATAGCTAGACTGGGCAATTTATAAAGAAAAAAGGCTTAAATGGCTCATAGTTCTGCAGTCTTTATAGAAAGCATGGTGCTGGCATCTGCTTGGCCTTTGGAGAGGCCTCAGGAAGCTTACAATCATGACAGAAGGCAAAGGGGAAGCAAGCACATCACATGCTGACAGCAAAATGTGGGGAGGTGCCACACACTTTTAAATGAAGACCAGATCTCATGGGAACTCAATATCATGATGACAGCACCAAGCCATGAGGGATTTACCCGTGACCCAAACACCTCCCACCAGGATCCACCTCCAGAATTGGGGATTACAATTCAACATATTTGGATGGCCATAAATATACAAACTATATCAAAGATTACCTATTATAAATTTAAGTTTAGCCTTATCTCATTAAAAAAAATTGAGATCCAACTGTCTTATAAATCTGTGAGTTTGGCTTGTTTTTGTTTGTTGTTTTTTCAAGATGGTTGACTAAAAGCATTTTCAGCATGCCTCATTCACTTAGAACTACAAGGGTATAGACAATCACACCTTGAATACATTATTCAGAAGGAACATGAAAGTTCCACAGAAAAGTAACAGGAAAAACCAAAAAGTAGGAAGAAGAAGAAAAAAAAAAAAACAACAACCAAAAACACAAAACAGGCACCCTGCTGGCCCAAGGCTGGCTGGAAATGGACAGTGACTCCCCAGTATGGGGAGAGGGTGAGGGAGAGTCTTACTATGGCCCACTTTCCCACTGGGGAATCATACAATCCAAACTACCAAACAGCACTCTGAAGCACTACATGTAACTTGGGAACCCCTGGGAGACTGTGAGAAAAAAAAAAACAAAACACTGCAGGGAGGGAGCTTACCCTGGGTCTCACACCCTTTTAAAAATCTAAGCAGCTGCAGAAAAAAATGCCATTTTCAATCCTAGCTTTTACTAGACTAGGATCTGTTTTCAGGTACTGTCATGAAAACCAGTGGCACTAGTCCTAGGCATGGAAAGTTGAGCTGTTTATTAGAGTTGGGGCACAAGCAGAGGGTGGGCTCCTATAGCTAGGACTAAGAAGCAAGGGTGGGGTAGGCTGCTGCCTTTCACATTGGGCATGGGGGAAATGGGTATTGTAACCTTGCAGCGAGAAGCAAGTTACCATGAAGTCTTGGTATAGAGCTGGACAGGGGCTCCTACAGCCTGGGGCTGAATTGTGGGCTGGGTACAGACTGTGAGGTGTGATGGATCAGCTGGATTAGCTGCAACAGCTGGAACTGGGGAGCAAGCTCTGGTGGGATGGGGGCATGAGAGGGATACACATCCCCCATTCACTGGCCAAGGCTATGGCCACCGGAGCCAGCCTCATCTTCCCCAGGGTAAGACCTCAGCATGGCAGCTGCTGTCCCTAACCCAAGAATTCTGCTAGGACCTAAAAACTGCCCTGCCCATCACAGCAGGTGCATGCACGTGTTATTGGAGGGCCTGAGAGCAAGATTTCCTGGTTCAACTCCAACAGGCTTTGCCAAATCACCTCCCAAGACAGAGTATGGGGTCCAGAGCCTGGGAAATTGTACAGCCCAATCCACTATGTGGGACACCAGAGCACTCCTCCTAAAGTTGGGCCTAACCAACTTACAGATTCTACCTCTGCTGCTTCTCATCTGCAAATGCCACCTGCTGGCCTGCATAGCCCATTGCAACCATTGCCAGCACAAGTGCATAGTTCTTGGGACCCAGAAGAGCATCTTGCCACTGCTACTGCCATGACCCACACCACAGCGGCTGCCCAAGGACTTGAGAGCCTATAAGCATCTGAGAAAGCCATGCAGAGGCCCATGAATCAGCTCACTTGGAACCACTAACACAGGTGCCAGCATACGTAACACCATGATATGAGGATAGACATGCTTGGCCAACCACTGCTACCTCTGAAGCCTGAAGATGAGCCCATCTGGCACTCCAGTCCCCATAACCACTTTACCATAGTCTCCACTAATAACTGCACCTCAGCATACTGAGGAAACCACAGACACCACTAATGCTGTTCATAGCCAAAGAAATCACACAGGGGCTTCCCTGCAGCACACATCCAGAAGCAAAGCTAAAAGGCCCCACCTAATCAACACCACTGACACACCTTCAGAAAAAAAAAAATCCCCCCATCCAGTGAAAGTAAATTCAAAAATAGGAAAAAGCAACTGTTACACTAGATGTCCAGAAATTAATGTAATGATACAGGAAACATAAAAAAGCAAGGGAATATGACACCCTCAAAGGAACACAACAATTCTCCAGCAATAGCTCTTAACGAAAAAGAAATTCTCAATTCTCAAAATCTTGGATAAATAATTCACAATATTAATTTTAAAGGTCAATGAGATGCAAGAGAAATTGGAAAACCAATGCAAACAACTCCAAAAAAAACAATTCAGGATACAAATGAGAAACTTATCAAAAAGATTAAAAAAAAATTCAGGAACTGCAGAAATTATTAAAGAAAATATAAAATACATCCAATAGCTTCAACAATACACTAGACCAAGTAGAAGAATTTTAGAAATTGAAGACAGCCTTTTAAAAACAATCCACTAAGATAAAAATTAAAAAAGAATTTAAAAGAATAAACAAACCTTTGAAACACTTGGGACAACATAAAAAGGCTAAATTTAGAAACTATTTGTATCCCTGAGGGAGAAGAGCCATCAAAAAGGTTAGAAAACCAATTTAACAAAATAATATATGAAAACTTTCCAATTCTAGTGGGAATTGTAGACATCCAGATACAGGAGACTCAGCAATCCCCAAGAAAATACAACACAAAAAGAACCTTGTCACAACACATTATAATAAGAATGTCTTAAGTCAAAGTGAAAGAGTGAATTCTAAAATTAGCAGAAGAAAAGTATCTATTCACCTATAAGGAACTCCCATCAGACTAACAGCATAAGAAATGCTCAAGGGAGTCCTACAATAGAAGTGAAAGGATGACATTTACCACCATAAAAACACAAGAAAATATAAAACTCACTGGTAATCACAAAAAGGAGGAAGAGAAAGGAATCAAAGAGCACCACTGCAGCATCCACCAAACCACAATGACAAACACCAAGACTAAAAAGAAACAAAAAATTTATAAGACAACTAGAAAATAATTAACAATATGACAAAACAAAACCTCATGTCATTAAATGCCTATGATAGAAAGATTACAAAATAACAATCTACTAATATGCCCTAATAACTAAAAAAGCAAGAACCAAACTGAAAATTAGCAGCAGAAAAAAATTACAAACATTAGAGCAGAACTAAAAAAAAATGAAAACTAAAAACAATACAATGAATCAACAAAAGTTGGTTCTTCAAAAGATTAAAAACAGTTAAAAATCACTAGCTAGACTAACCAAGAAAAGACCCAAATAAACAAAATCAGAAATGAGAAATATGACAATACAACTGACCAACAGAAATACAAATGATCAGAGATAATGAGGAAGAACTATATGCTCACAAATTAGGAAACCTAGAGGAATCAGGTAAACTCCTGGAAACATACAACTTCCCAAGATTAGACAAGAAAAAAATAGAAAACCTAATTAGAGCAATAAAAAATAGCAAAACTGAATCAGTAATTTAAAAAATTATCTCCAAATAAGAACAAATAACAAGATTGAATCAGTAATTTTTAAAACCTCCAAACAGGAAAAGCCCAGGACTAGATGAATTTAAAGTCAAATTCTACCAACATACAAAGAACTAATGCTAATCCTCCTCAAAGTATTCAAAAAAATCAAAGAGGCGAAAATTATCTCTAACTCATTCTATGAGGCAGTATCACTCTAATACCAAAATCAGAGAAGGGCACACAAAAAAGAAAAACTCTAGACCAATAACCCTGATGGACATAGATGCAAAAATTGCAACAATAATACTATTAAACCGACTTCAAACTATACTACAAGGCTACAGCAACCAAAACAGCAAGGTACTGGTACCAAAACAGAGATATAGACCAATGGGACAGAACAGAGCCCTCAGAAATAATACCACACATCTACAACCATCTTATCTTTGACAAACCTGATAAAAACAAGAAATGGGGAAACGATTCCCTATTTAATAAATGGTGCTGGGAAAACTGGCTAGCCATATGTAGAAAGCTGAAACTGGATGCCTTCCTTACGCCTTATACAAAAATTATTTCAAGATGGATTAAAGACTTACATGTTAGACCTAAAAGCATATAAACCCTAGAAGAAAACCTAGGCAATACCATTCAGGACATAGGCATGGGCAAGGACTTCATGTCTAAAACACCAAAAGCAATGGCAACAAAAGCCAAAATTGACAAGTGGGATCTAATTAAACTAAAGAGCTTCTGCACAGCAAAAGAGACTACTAGCAGAGTGAACAGGCAACCTACAGAATGGGAGAAAATTTTTGTGATCTACTCATCTGACAAAGGGCTAATATCCAGAATCTACAAAGAACTCAAATTTACAAGAAAAAAACAAACAGCCCCATCAAAAAGTGGGCTAAGGATATGAACAGACACTTCTCAAAAGAAGACATTTATGCAGCCAACAGACACATGAAAAAATGCTCATCATCACTGGCCATCAGAGAAATGCAAATCAAAACCACAATGAGATATCATGTCATACCAGTTAGAATGGCAATCATTAAAAAGTCAGGAAACAACAGATGCTGGAGAGGATGTGGAGAAATAGGAACATTTTTACACTGTTGGTGGGACTGTAAACTAATTTAACCATTGTGGAAGACAGTGTGGCAATTCTTCAAGGATCTAGAACTAGAAATACCATTTGTCCCAGCCATTCCATTACTGGGTATATACCCAAAGGGTTATAAGTCATGCTGCTATAAAGACACATGCACACGTATGTTTATTGCAGCACTATTCACAACAGCAAAGACTTGGAACCAACCCAAATGTCCATCAATGATAGACTGGATTAAGAAAATGTGGCACATATACACCATGGAATACTATGCAGCCATAAAAAATGATGAGTTCATGTCCTTTGTAGGGACATGGATGAAGCTGGAAACCATCAGTCTGAGCAAACTATTGCAAGGACAGAAAATCAAACACTGCATGTTCTCACTCATAGGTGGGAATTGAACAATGAGAACACTTGGACACAGGGCAGGGAACATCACACACCAGGGCCTGTCACGGGGTGGGGGGACGGGGGAGGGATAGCATTAGGAGATACACCTAATGTAAATGATGAGTTAATGGGTGCAGCACACCAACATAGCACATGTATACATATGTAACAAACCTGCACGTTGTGCACATGTACCCTAGAACTTAAAGTATAATAAAAAAATACATATAAATACTATTAAATCAAAACAGGGCACAGAAAAAGATAATACACCATAATCAAGTAGGTTTTATACCAGAGATGCAAGGACAACTCAACATATGCAAATCAACAAATACGATACTTTGCATTAAGAGAATCAAGAACAAAACCCACATGACGATCTCAATAGACCCAGAAAAAACATTTCATAAAATTCAGCATCCCTTCATAATAAAAACTCTCAAAGAACTAAGCACAGAAGGAACATGCCTCAAAATAATAAAGGCCATATACTACAAACTCACAGCTAACATTGTAGCAGGACAAGCCACAGACAAAACCCCTCAGACATCGAGTTAAGGAAGGGCTTTATTCGGCCGGGAGCTTTGGCAAGACTCACATCTCCAACACAATTCCTGTCCTTAAAAGGGACAGGAATTGCTCACTCCAAGAGCTCCCTGAGTGACCAATTCCTGTCCCTTTTAAGGGCTCACAACTCTAAGGGGGTCCGCGTGAGAGGGTCATGATTGAGCAAGCAGGGGTTACATGACTGGGGGCTGCATGCACCAGTAATTAGAAGGGAACAGAACAGGACAGGGATCTTTACAGTGCTTTTCTTATGCAAATAACCAATTAGGTCAGGGGTCGATCTTTAACTACCAGGCCCAGGGTGTGGCACCGGGCTGTCTGCTTGTGGATTTCATTTCTGCCTTTTAGTTTTTACTTCTTTGGAGGCAGAAATTGGGCATAAGACAATATGAGGGGTGGTCTCCTCCCTTATTCTGCCCCTTTGAGAATCTCACTCAATAGTGGGAGTTCTCACTTTCATTCTCACTACCCATGTCTTCTTGCAAGACTGATTGATAGTAATTCATATAGTACACTTGTGCTAAAGCATTTTGGTGAACTAAGGTAGTGATGAAGCATTTTATCATTTGAAGAAGTACAGGTAGCAAACAAGGGAGCAGTAAGCAGGTTCCTATTACTATTATGACTCTTATTATAAGAGTTTTAAACTCTCCTAGCACTGGGAACCATTTTCCAAACATGGCTCCAGGATCAAATCCATGATACACTTGCACGGGCACATGTGCCAGTTTTGTCATATCCCTATGCCTTCAACTACTTGCCCCTGATCATCTATGTGTAGACAGCAATTAGTAAGGTTAAATTTCCCACAGACCCCTCCTTCAGCTGCTAGCAAGTAGTCGAGAGCCAATCTATTTTGATAGACAGCATTTCTCATCTGAGTTTCTTGCTGGGTCAGAATAGTCAAGGCTCTGCCGATCTTATTAGTGATTATTTCTAAGACAGCTTGTAACCGTATGATTCAGTTCAGCATGTAAATGGGGGTCCCATATCACCGCGAGCCATCTTGTGCCCAAGTAGCGGGCCCATAATATTATATGATTCTCTCAGGGGGCCATTCATTATCTTTCCAATTTCCTATAGCTATGCTTCTCTTTTTGTGGGAAGCATAGACAGGGAAGCCCAGGAGTTTGCCTGTCTTTATGGGCAGTAGGAAGAAAGATGGTTTAATAGTGCCAATAACACAACTATCTGCCCACTGGTAGGGTAATTTGGTGTAAGCTCTATGCCCACATATCCAGTATAATCCAGTGGGGGCTGCCCAGTCCCAGTGGGACTCTGGGTGGGTTCACATGGTTTGCAACTTTGGGAATTTACTAAATGGATTTTTCTTAGTGTGGTTTGAACTCCACTAGGTGGCTGTTTTTGTAGTAATATTATACAGTTTTTGCTCAAGGCAGTTGAGTCTTCCCACAGGAAGGTTGAAGTCCTTCCCCACTCTTGCTATACAGTATTGTCTAATAATTGAGGCTTTTAGGACCCAGAAGTTATCAGGGTGATTCTTTTGAACTGGGGATTCATCAGGAACTGGGTCTGTAGGTACTAATTCTCAGGCTTCCCATGGCCATTGATCTCCCATTATAGTTCCTCCACATACATAACATGAAGTGAAACTGAGAGACTAGGCTACATGCTCAGCTAATTGTAAAAACAAATTTCTTGTTTTTCCTGGAATTTCTGGTACTGACACATTCAGTTAATCGTAGAAGGGTTGAGATACTGGCTCAGGAGAGCGTTTATAAACTTCTCCTCAAGCCATGATATTTACTCGAGGATCCAGTCCAGCCCCCTCAATTCCTAGGGTTACACGCTCCCCTTTTTTCCAGTGAGGATCAAGGGGGTTGGTTATTACTAGTTCTAAGGGGTTACACTGACCACTTGTACAGGAAGGGCCACTTTTCCCTTTCTGAAGGTGGACGGGATCCTTTTCATTTTTTATCCAAGTAGCCGAAATGACACAAGACCAGTATGCACGTTCATTTCCATACAGTCCTAATTTATGACAAATGTACTTTTTTTTTTTTTTTGCCATATAGCCTTTTTCCTAATTAAGAGAACCACATCCTATTCCTAACTTATTACTATTAATGACAACACAGGCATCAAACTTCAAGGTGACTTGTTTGGGCACCCCTTTTTCTTTTGTTTTGGCTAACACTTTACTCATATCGTTTATGAGCCCCCACCAGGTTTCAGTCCTTAATCTTAAAAACTGTGGTCATGGGAGGCTCAGATGGGTCATAACACACATCAGGTTGGTCATTTCCTGGGCTACATACCTTGTATAGAATAGCATTATACAAACAAGTTCTTTTTAGAGTCCTGGTATACTTATAATAACCATAAAATAATAGGACTGTAGCAACTTTTTTCCTACCTCAGTGACTTGACGTATATACTGGGAATAGTCTTCAGTCTGAGGAAGGTCAGTTGAAGTCCCTATGGTATAAGTCCAAATTTTAAGGAAAATGAGTCCCGCAATGAGTTTTCTCATGCTTTGGCCATGCGTGGACCAGTCAGCTTCCGGGTGTGACTGAAGCAGGTATTGTCATCTTCTTCAGAGTCACTTTGCAGGGGTTGGCGAAGCTGCTCTCGCCCATGTACAACTCACAGTCTACTGATGTTCAAGGATGGTCTCAGAGGTTGGGCCCACTAGAATAAACTGAGTGCAATACAACACAGTGATATTCAACTGGGCTCTCTGATACCGGGAGCAAGGTGGCAGGGTTTAGGGTGTCGCAAACTTCAATGGTTATGTGGGGATTTTCACATAGCAAGCTTTGGTACTTGGTTAATCTAGCATTTGTTAGCCAATGATGTCCTTTGGTATTCATCAAAGTTACCACAGCATGGGGGGGTCTTTATATTCAGGTTTTGCCCAAGGGTTAGTTTATCTGCTTCTTGTGCTAACAGGGCCATTGCTGCCAGGGCCCTTAGCCATGGGGGCCAGCCTTTGGAAACCCCGTCTAGTTGTTTTGAGAGATAGGCCACTGGCCTTGGCCAGGGCCCCACAGTCTGGGTTAAAACTCCAACTGCCGTGTTTTCTTTTTCTGACACATAGAGTGTAAAGGCTTTTGTCAGGTCGGGTAGCCTCAGGGCTGGGGCCAACAGGAGTTTTTCTTTTAACTCATGAAAAGCTCATTGCTGTTGGTTGTAATAGATGTAGTTTATCCAATTTACATTTTTATTAACTGCCACCCACCAAAATATTGACTCAAATCCTGCAGCTATTTGATTTCAAGCTTTAAATTGATCTGGTATTCCCCGTGGGACTCCAATTGTGTCTAAATAGACGTGAGAGTCAAAAAACCCATAAGGGCCTTCTCTCGCTTTACAATGTCTTATTTTTCTTCCCTCTGGTTGATGAAATGCCAGGGTGAAAGGGATAGCCAATTGAACTAAAGTACAAGTGCCACTCCAGTTATTCGGCAGAGTGCCCAGTAAAGGTCCACACACAATCACAATACCACCACACATCCTGAAGATCACGTTCTCATCAAAGGGTGAAAAGAAAGGAAACTCGATCCAGCCTAGGAAGGACCCTACCTTGTGCTGCTAAACACCGAGACTGCTGTTCATACAGTGAAAAAAGGATGGACTAATCACAACCAAGTCAAGAAAGTGCCACCCCCTCCAGAGTCATGGGCCATAGTCCCAGGGGAAAACCTTACCAAACTAAAGCTAACAAAAATTTAAGTCTTAATCTATTCTATTACTCTTTCTTCTTACCTCGCTCTTTTGCTGACCATCTGGTTATTAACATAACCAAGTCAATTTTGCCTCAAACTATTGCATTTAATGCTTGCCTTGTTATACCCTGTGGGGACTTGCCCAGTCAAAGACAGCTCTCTACTTCAGAAAAGTACCTCTGTCCCTCCTGACTCTCCTCAGACTGGGCATTAGTAAATTAGGACCATTTAATCTGGGGAAATTTTGATTAAGACTCCAGTGTCAACCAGGAGTCTTGCTCCCCTATGTAGAGCTTTTATGCCGTAGTTGGTCCAACATTCTGTGGACCACTAAAGAGCAAGGATGGGCTGCCCCAACCGGTTTTTGTAATTTCCTAAAATCATACATTCATTTTACTAGAGGATGATAGAAGTTAAAGACTTAAAACAAACTTTGGCAATTAAGACAGGATACCAAGATGCAAATGCCTGGTTGGAATGGATCAAATATTCCATCTGCACGTTAAACAAAAGCAATTGTTATGCTTGTGCACATGGCAGGCCAGAGGCCCAGATTGTCCTCTTTCCACTAAGCAGCTGATCCTCCAGTCGACCACACGTGGGCTGCATGGTAGCTCTTATCCAGGATTCTACAGCCTGGAGTAGTAAGTCATGCCAAGCTCTCTCTGCTATATCCCAAAGTCCGGTACCCTGCGGGTCAGCCCCCGAGGGCCATCCAGCTTCCGTCTCCCAACACTAAGTTCACTTCGTGTCTCTCACAACAGGGAAGAAACTTAGCGTTCCTTGGAGACCTGAAGGGATGCAGTGAGCTTAAGAATTTTCAAGAGCTTATCAATCAGTCAGCCCTTGTTCATCCCCGAGCGGATAGGCTGGTGCTGGTTTACCGGAAATTCTAGGGGTGGTACATGTGCTAAAAGACTTTTAGTTTTGAGGGAAAGGAAAGTGGAAGATAAACCAAGTATATAATTTCTAAGAAGTTGACCTTTTGTTTTAAATGTGGGGACATCAGCAGTGGACTTTATAGTTCTTGGTGCCTTTCCACTGAGAAATTTCCTTTAGCACCTATTTTTATTAGTTTTTAGACCAAAGAAGCCAAATACCATTTTATATTTGACAATGCTTCCTGTATGATTTTTATACCAGATAAGCTAAATTTCACCTTTATATTAGTGTGTTATTAATGTTAAACTTAGTTTTAATAAAACTTTGTATACATATTTATTGAATTTTTCATGTTGGACCATCAGGTAAGATTTTTATAGACTCACTTTTTATAATCTTTGTTAAAGAGCAGGTTAGTGCTTTAAGAAAAACCCATTGTGTTTTTACTTTAATGTCCAATTCACAGAAAAACTGGATGTTACCCCTTTACCTTTGGCTAATATGTTTACACACAGAATTTCCTTTACAATTAACATTTTAAAACTTGCTTAAACCTTCAAAATAGTTTTTTTAACCTTTTAATGTATGTAACAACTTACATTCTTTTGCCTCCTTATAATCCTTTTACCAAAGTTATATTTTACTTTCCTTATACACCTTGCACATAAACTGTTTATTTCAATAGTTTTACATTCAGGAGGCCTAGTTACTTTTAAATTATACAACTTTTCTTGCATAAATTCTTTTTTTTTATAACATATTTCTCTTTCACAACTTTTGCAGACAATTCTTAGCAATGCCTGAACTTTCTGACTTATTACAAACATTTCTTTCTTTAAACAACCAGTTAATTTATTTCAGGACAAGAATTTACCATATAACACTTTTTTTACATAAATTCTGCCCCTCCTTTTCTTCTTTTTTTTTTTTTCAGAGATAACCATTCTTTTCCAAAGCGAACTTGCTTTATGACTGTGGACTAGACTGTCTAAGGCCACAAGATTATAATTTACTATAATACATGTTACAATGTTAGCTTTTAGCAAACTTTACTTTTGTTGAAAACCTTGCAAGTTTGGGATTTTAATTATCCTTTGCTATTAATAAGACCTTGTTTTGTCCAAATTAACTTAGAATTGGTATAGATGGCTTTTTTTTTTTTTTTCCTTCAATTACCCGGGAGGAACCATTGATGGTCCTGTCCTGTAGGGAATTCTGGTCTGGTCGGACCTTTGTATGGTAATTAAGACTTAGATGCCCTGTTAGGAAAACTTCTGGGTTAAGGGATTTTTTTCGTGGTTAATGTTAAAACATCCTTTTTTTTTTTTTTTTTTTTCCTTAGGATACTTCTGAACTGGTGAGGTATGCTCACACTGAGGTTTCCTCTAAAAGTTATTTTTTTACTTTCTTCTGTTAGCAAAGCCATTGCCGCTACAGACTGAATGCATCTGGGCCATTCGTGGGTTACTGGGTTAAAGATTTTTGATAGGAAGGCTACGGGTTATCAGTGGCCTCTGTGCTTTCGGGATATGCCCTTGTTTACACTGACAACAAAGTGGTATTGGAGTGTTATAGGGTTACAGAGAATACCTTCAATTATCAATTATAGGTTTTAAATTTACCCTGGCTTTTAAAGGAATAGGGCACACTTTTTTTTAACTACTTGTATATTTCTCTGTCTTTGACATTGTCTCTCTTTTTGACTTTCCTTTTGCCTCTGTCTCTTCCTCTCTCTCTCTTTCTCCTTGACTCCCTCTTTGTCTCTCTGTCTCTTCCTCTCTCTCTTCTTCTCTCTCTTTGCCTCTTTTCCTGTCTCTTTCTTCTCTGTCTCTTTGCTGGTCTTTCCTTGCCTCTGCCAGCTGCTTATGCTGCTGTTCTCTCAACCACCGTGGGGGTAGGGAGGGGGTCTAAAACCAGCTGTAACCAAGTGTCTATGTACGGGAACTGGTCTGGGCACCCTGGCTTACAGGTTACCTTGTGCCATACCTTTGAAACAAGGGACCAGTCCATGCTTCCTTCTGATGGCCAACCCACCTCTAATGCTGGCCAGTCTATTTCACACAAAGTCCTAAGTTTTCCTGGTGTCATAGTAACACCGTAATCTCCCTTAAATCCTTTCTTGAAATTTTTCAACATAGTTCCTAGTGGGGTGGGCTTACTTTGTGCCTGACCCATGCTTCCTCAAGACAAAACACCACGCTCACACCGCACGCACACCACAAAAAGAACGGGTAAAAAGGGCACACACACACTTTTACAGTTTACACCAAACCAGAATCAAAACCAAAATCAGAGTATCAAGAAATCCAAGCCAGGTCAAAACCAAAACCAAAGTATCAAGCAATCCAAGTCAAGTCAAAAACAAAAAACCAAACTGCCAGTACAGGCATGCCATGGGTGATCAGGCCACGCTTCCACTCAAATGGAGTAGGCAATTTCCAAAGACTAGTCTTACCAAGTTTCAGATGTCTGGACTCCAAGTGCCAGTTCCTTCCCGGCGTTCAGCCACTGCGTTGATCCTCCACAGGGGCCTGCCACGCACTGCTCTGGTGAGGCGTTCCACTGGGACAATTGCCTACCCAGGAGCACTCTCAGGATCTGCGTTGCTCAAGCTGGCCGGAGTCCCCCACAGAGATGCTCCATGGGGTAGGCCTAAACTGCCTAAGGGGCTGCCTCGACCGTCTGTTAATCACCTCACTTCCTGGTCAGGGAACCAAGAAATGTAGCAGGACAAGCCACAGACAAAACCCCTCAGACACTGAGTTAAAGAAGGAAGGGCTTTATTCGGCCAGGAGCTTCGGGAAGACTCACATCTCCAACAACTGAGCTCCTCTAGTGAGCAATTCCTGTCCTTTTTAAGGGCTCACAACTCTAAGGGGGTCCCTGTGAGAGGGTCGTGATCAATTGAGCAAGCAGGGGGTATGTGGCTGGGGGCTGGATGCACTGGTAATTAGAATGGAACAGAACAGGACAGGGATCTTTACAGTGCTTTTCTTATGCAAATAACCGATTAGGTCAGGGGTCAAGCTTTAACTACCAGGCCTAGGGTGTGGCGCCAGGCTGTCCGCTTGTGGATTTCATTTCTGCCTTTTACTTTTTACTACTTCTTTCTTTGGAGGCAGAAATTGGGCATAAGACAATATGAGGGGTGGTCTCCTCCCTTAACATCATAGTAATTGGGGGAATCTTGGAAAGGATTTTCTCTAAAACAGAAACAACACAAGGATGCCAAATTTTTCCACTCTCATTTAATGTATTAGGGTATGTCCTAGCCAGAGCAATCAGGAAAGAAAAATAAATAAAAGGAATCCAAATTTAAAAAGAGGAAGTTTAATTATCCCTGTTTGCTGATGATAGAATCATATATCTAGAAAAACCTAGACTCCGCCAAAGAACTCTGATTTGATGAACGAATTCAATAAAGTTGAAGAATACAAAAATATTATTGTACAAATATCAGTAGTGTTTCTATATACCAATAATGACCTTGCAAAGAAAGAAATCAAGAAGGCAATCCCATTTACAATAGCTACAAAAAAAACCCTAGCAATAAATTTAACCAAGGAGGTGAAAGATTTCTACAAGGAGGTGAAAGATTTCTACAAGGAAAATTACAAAACACTGCTGGAATAAATTGTAGATGACACAAACAAATGGAAGAATATCACATGTTCATAAATTGAAATAATTAATATAAATAAAGTGACTCATATGGTTTGGTTCCATGTCCCCAACCAAATCTCATGTTGAATTGTAATTCCCAATGTTGGGGGAGGGACCTTGTGGGAGGTAATTGGATCAGGGGGGTGGATTTCCCCCATGCTGTTCTTGTGACTGTGAGTTCTCAGGAGATCTGATGGTTTAAAAGTGTGTGGCATTTCCCCCTTGCTTGCTCTTGTTCCACCACGGTAAAGACGTGCTTGCTTCCCCTTCACCTTCTGGCATGATTGTTACTGAGGCCTCCCATTCATGCTTCCTGCAAAGTGGAACTGTGAGTTTTTAAACCTCTTTTCTTTGTAAATTACAGTCTCAGGTAGTTCTTTATAGCAGTGTGAGAACAGACTAATAGAATGACCATAACTGCCTAATCTACAGATTCAATGCAATTCCCATCAAAATACCAGTGTCGCTTTTCACAGAATTAGAAAAAACAACCATAAGATTCATATGGAACCAAAACAAAGCCCAAGTAACCAAAGCAATCTTAAGCAAAAAGATCACAGCTGGAAGCATCACTTTATTTGCCTTCAAATAATATTACAACGCTCTAGTAAGCAAAATAACATGATAGTGATATAAAAATAGTATACAGATTAATATAAAAGAATAGTGAATCCAGAAATAAAGCCACATATTTACAGCCAACTGATTTTTGACAAAACCAACAACACATACAGTGGGGGAAAGAAGACCCGCTTTAATAAATGGCTTAAAAATTGAATATCTATTGCAGAAAAATGAAACTGAATCCTTATCTCTCACCACATACAAAAACCATCTCAAGATGGATTAAAACTTACATGTAAGACCCAATACTTTAAAAATGTTAGAAGGAAACCTAGAGTAAACTCTTCTGGACATTGATCTAGGCACCAAATTAATGATTAAGAACTCAAAAGCACAGGCAACAGAAGAAAAAATAGACAAATGGGACTTAATTAAACTAAAAAGCTTCTTCGCAGCAAAGGAAACAATCAACATAGAGAAGAGACAACCTGTTATATGGGAGAAAATATTTTCAAACTATCAATCCAACAGAGGACTAATATCCAGAATATACAAGGAACTCAAACAATAAAATCAAATAATCCCATGTGGGACAAAAGACATGAACAGACATTTTTCAAAAGAGACATACAAATGGCCAACAGGTATATGAAAAAATGCTCATCATTAATCATCAGGGAAATGCAAATCAAAACCACAATGATATTTCATTTTACCCCAGCTAGAATGGCCATTATTAAAAAGACAAAAAAGAGCAGATGTTGGTGAGGATATGGAGAAAAGAGAACTCATATACTGTTGCTCGGAATGGATATTAGTACAGCCTTTACGGAAAACAGTATGGTTTTTCAAAGAACTAAAAGAACTATCATTCAATCCAGCAATACCACTGCTAGGTATCTACTGAAAGGAAAAAAATCAATATATCAAAAACATACTTGCTCTTGCATGTTTATCACACCACTATTCATAGCAAAGGGGAATCAACCTAAGTGTCTATCAATAGATAAATGAGTAAGAAAATGTGGTGTATATACATAATGGAATCCTATTCAACCATAAAAAAGAATACAATCAAGTATTTTGCAGCCATACAGATGAAACTGAAGGTCATTATCTTTGCTATCTTCTAGACAAAAGGTCTTGCTATGTCACCCAGGCTGGAGTGTCTTGGCACAATTATAGCACACTGCAGCCTTGAAATCCTGGGCTGAAGTAATCCCTCCTCCTCAGCCTTCCAACTAGCCAGGACTACAGGTTCATGCCACAGCTCCAGCTATTTATTTTTATTTTTATTTGTAAAGAGAAGGTCTTGAAATTATGCGCAGCCTGGTCTTGAAATTTTGGCATCAAGCAATCTGGCTGCGTTGGCCTTCTAAATTCCTGGGATTACAGGCACAAGCCACCACACTCATCCTGGAAATCATTATCTTAAGTGAAACGAGCCAGGCACAGAAAGACAAATATTACCTGTTATCACTCCTAAGTGGGTGCTACAAAATGTGTTCACATGGACATAGACAGATAATGGACATAGATAGATAATGTAGACTTGAAAGGTGAGGGAGTGGGAGTAGGGAGAATGATGAGAAATTATTTAATGGCTACAGCATACATTATTTAGGTGACAAATACCCTAAAAGCCCTGACTTGACCACCATGCAACCTATGTATGTAACAAAATAGCATATGCGCCTGATAAATGTATTTTTTAAAAAAAATCAGTGAGTCTCTATGTTTTACTATCTCATGACCAAAATTCTAAAATGAAAGTTGAAAGTATTTTTATATGAGCATATATATGAAAGTATTTTTATATGTGTATATATACATTTAGATGTGTTTACACATATGTACATGTACTGTGTTATATGTTACATGTACATAATAAAATCTGGTATAATTAGCTTGACATCCCTCAAAATATTTTATTTAGATATATTGGGTGCACATATAAAATCAATAGTATACTAATTATCCCATTCAATAAAATTATAGAAACAGTCTTGCTCTTTCACCTAGAATGGAGTACAGTGGCATAATCATAGCTCACTGCAACCTTGAAATTCTGGGCCCTTGAAATTCTTTCTGCCACAGCCTCCCAAGTAGCTAGGATTATAGGCACCTGGCACCCCAACTTTTTTTTTTTTTTTAGTTCACAAGTAAATCTTGATAAATTGGTTTAAAAATGGTTGAAAAAATAAAATTAGAAATATCTTCAAAAGTGTCAACATACATTCTCACTTGAGTTTACTGGTCACACAGTTTTATATATGCCTCTGCTAGATCTTTTAATGTAATAAGGTGATAAAGCCTAAAACAACATAATCTTTAACCCTTTGATAAGATTAATTTAATATTGTTGCTTTAATAAAATCAGCCGTGTCTCCTGACTTATTGACAGGATTTATACAATAGGACTTATTGACCTATGTATTTAACCTTAAAGTTCTTACTTAGGGAAATTCCTGATATTAACAGGCAATAAAATTCGTTAATAAAAACCTAATAACTAGCTATGTCTAGTATCTCAATTTTCATAGGTAATCAAGGTATAATTGTTAAAAAATAAATAAATTAGGTAATTGCAAACAGAGTAAGCATTTACAAATAAATTTTCATGTAATTTAAAATCTTAAAGTTATGTTAAATTAAATAATACTCATTAAATGTCTGAGCCATATCCAAATAAGAAAAAAACAGAAACAAATTGTTAAGTACACATAAGTTCATTCTTGGCTTTTTAAATTTTATGGAAAGACTAAATACATTTGTGTCTATTAATCAAAATATGAATTTAGAAGGAAATAATTTTGTGTAAAAAATTGTATGTGGTAAAATTTTACCTAATTTAAAATTGTTGTTCCATAATTTTTTTAAAAAGAAAAATTACAGAAATAAGACTTGGGGGGTGGGGGTTGAAAAGTGGTGAAAGAACTAAACAAGTAGAAGAGGATTTCTAAAGCACTGGTCTCATGAAAAAAGTTTCATGTGTGACTGGGTCCACTGAGATTGAAAAGAAATTGTTTATACGATATTCTAAAAATTAAATGTTGCTGTCAGGGATGACATGATACAGGACCAGAGTCTGTGTAAACAACAAAGTTTTCTTAAAGTATTGATACACGCTTTTAAAAATTGCAAGAGGTTTTAAGTTTAATTCAAAAATCTGTTTAACAGCCATTTTGTACACTACAGACAGATTCTGTTCCTGCCACTTTTTCCTGAGATCTCTTTAATATCCCTAGTTTCTGGTTTAAAGAAAGTAAGACTGCTGCTGGGTGCAGTGGCTCATGCCTGTAATGCCAGCACTTTGGGAGGCCAAGGCAGGAGGTTTGCCTGAGCCCAGGAGTTCAAGACCAGCCTGGGCAACATAGTGAGATCTTGTCTCAAATTAAAAAAAAAAAAAAAAAAAAATTAGCCAGGCATGGTGTTGTGTGCCTGTGGTCCCAGCTACTCAGCAGGCTGAGGTGGGAGGACACCTTGAGCCCAGGAAGTTGTGTTTATTTCCCAATGAATCATGTTCTCACCATTGCAGTCTGAGTGAGAGATGGAGAGTGAGACCCTGTCCCCGCCCCCCAAAAAGCTATCTTCTTTATTTAAAATGGTATTTTTAATTTTTAATTTTTGTGAGTAGTACATAGTAGGTGTATGTATTTATGGGGTACATGAAAACTTTTGATACAAGCATGCAATGTGTAATGAGCAAATCATAAAAATGGATGTATACATCCTCTCAAGCATTTATCCTTTGTGTTGCAAAGAATCCAATTATACCCTTTTAGTTATTTTTAAATGGTCAATTATTATTTACTACAGTCGCCCGATTATGCAATCAAATACTAGATCTTAATCATACTATTTTTTTTCTTTTGTACTCATTACCCATTGCAATTTCCTCCCCAACCCAACAAGTGCCCTTCCTACCCTCTGGTAATCATTCTTCTACTCTGTATGTCTATGAGTTCAATTGTTTTGATTTTTAGATCCCACAAATAAGTGAGAACATGTGATGTTTGTCTTTCTGTGCTTTGCTTATTCACTTCAAATAGTGATCTCCAGTTCCTTCCATGTTGGTGCAAATGACTAGATCTCATTCTTTTTTATGGCTGAATAGTACTCCATTTTGTATATGTACCCCATTTTGTTTATCCATTCATCTGGTGATAGACACTAAGGTTGCTCCCAAATCTTGGCTATTGTGAACAGTGCTGCAACAAGCACAGGAATGCAGCTATCTCTTTGACATATTCATTTTCTTTCTTTAGGGTACATACCCAGCAGTGAAATTGCTGGATCATATGGTAGCTCCATTTTCAGTTTTTTTGAGGAACCTCCAAACTGTTTTCCATAGTGGTTGTATTAATTTCTCACCAACAGTATACATGGTTCCATTTTCTCCAGATCTACACCAGCACTTGTTATTACCTGTCTTTTGAATATAAGCCATTTTAACTGGGGTGAGATAACTCACTAAAGTTTTGATTTGCATTTCTCTAATGATCAATGATGTTGAACACCTTTTCATGTTTTTCATTTGCATGTCTTCTTCGAAGAAATGTTTATTCAGATATTTTGCCCATTTTTTGGTCAGGTTATTGGATTTTTTTCCTATAGAGTTGTTGGAGCTTTTCATATATTCTGGTTATTAATCCTTTGTCAAATGGGTAGCTTGTAAATATTTTCTCTCATTCTGTGGGTTCTCTCTTCAATTTTTTGTTTGTTTCCTTGGCTGTGCAGAAGCTTTTTAACTTGATGAGATCCCATTTGTCCATTTGTGCTTTGGTTGCCTGTCGTTGTGGAGAATTACTTAAGAAATTTTTGCTGAGAACAATGTCCTGGAGATTTTCCCCAATGACTTCTGGTAGTAGTTTCATAGTTTGAGATCTTTACGTTTTTAATCCATTTTGATTTTTGTATACAATGAGAGATAGGGATCTAGTTTCATTCTTGTGCATATGGATATCCAGTTTTTACAGCACCATTTATCAAAGAAGAGACTGTCTTTTCCTCAGCGTATGTTCTTGGCACTTCTATTGAAAATGAGTTCACTATAGGAGTGTGAATGTTTCTAGATTCTCTATTCTGTTCCATTGGTCTGTGTCTGTTTTTATACCAGCATTAAGCTGGTTTGGTTAGTATAGCTCTGTAGTATAATTTGAAGTCAGGTAATATGAATTCTCCAGGTTTGTTCTTTTTGCCTAGGATAGCTTTGGCTATTCTGGGTCTTTTGTGGTTACATAGAAATTTTAAGATTGTTTTATCTATTTCATTGAAAAATAACATTGGTATTTTGATAGGGATTGCACTGAATCTGTAGATTGCTTTGGGTAGTATGGAATTTTACACAATATTGACTCTTCCAATTCATAAACATAGACTATCCATTTTCTGGTGTCCTTTTCAATTTCTTTCATCAGTGTTTTATAATTCTCATTACAGAGATTGTTGATTGCTTTAAATTAATTCCTAGGTATTTAATTTTATTTGTGGCTATTATAAATAAGATTACTTCTTTTTTAGATTGTTCACATTGGCATAAAGAAATGCTACTGACTTCTGGATGTTAATTTTGTATCCTGCAACTTTACTGAATTTGTTTATAAGTTCTAATTTCTTTTGTGGAGTTTTTCCTTTTTTTCATTTTTTTTCCTTTTTTGAGATAAGGTCTCATTCTGTTGCCCAGGCTGGAATGCAGTGACAGGATCTCAGCTCACTGTAGCCTCGACCTCCTGGGCTCATATGATCCTTCTGTCTCAGGCTCTCATGTAGCTGGGACTACAGGCACATGTCACTATGCCTGGCTAAGAGTCTTCAGGTTTTTCCAAATAAAAGATAATATCATCTGCAAACAAGGATAATCTGACTTCTTCCTTTCCAATTTGGATGCCCTTTATTTCTCTCTCTTGTCTGATTGCTCTATCTAAGTCTTTCAGTACTATGTCGAATAACAGTGGTGATAGTGGGCATCCCTGTTGTGTTCCAGGTCCTAGAGGAAAGGCTTTCAGTTTTTCCTCATTCAGTATGACACTAGCTGGGGTCTGTCATATATGGTTTGTATTATGTTGAGGTATGATCCTTCTATCCTCAGTTTTTTTAGGATTTTTATCATGAAGGGATGAAAACATCATTTTGACATCAATTGAAATGATCATATGGATTTTGTCCTTTCTTCTGTTGATATGATGCATCGCAATGATTGATTTGCATATGTTGAATCACCCTTGCATCCCTGGAATAAATCCCACTTGGTCGTGATGAATGAGCTTTCTAATGTATTGTTGAATTTGCTTTGCTAGTAGTTTGCTGAGGATTTTCGCATCAATATTCATTAGAGATATTGGCTTGTGTTTTTTTTTAATTTTTTTGATGTATCTTTGTCTAGTTTTGCTATCAATGTAATACTGGTCTTGTAGAATAAGTTAGGAAGTGTCCCCTCCTCATTTTTTTTTTTGAATTGTTTAAATAGGATTGGTATTAATTCTTCTTTAAATGTTTGGTACAGCTCTGCAGTAAAGTCATCAGGTCCCAAGCTTTTCTTTACTGAGGGACTTTATTATGGCTTCCATCTTGCTACTTGTTATTGGTCTGTTCAGGTTTTGGATTTCGTACTGGTTTAACATTGGAAGGTTGTATGTGTCTAGGAAATTGTCCATTTCTTCTAGATTTTCCAATTTATTGGCGTATAGTTACTCATAGTAGCCACTAGTAATCCTTTTAATGTCTGTAGTAGTCATAATGTCTCCCTTTTCATCTCTGATTTTATTTATTTGGATCTTCTCTTTTTCTTAGTCCAGCTAAAGGTCAATTTTGTTTAACTTCTCAAACTGCAAACTTTTTATTTCATTAATCTTTTGCATTGTTTTCTTCATTTCAAATTTATTTCTGCTGTCATCTTTAGTATTTCCTTTATTTACTGATTTTGGTTTTGGTTTACTCTTGCTTTTCTAGTTCAAGCACACTGTTAGATTTTTTTTTTTTTAGCTACAAACTTCTTTCATAATACTGCTTTTGCTGTATTTCATAGGTTTTGGTAGATGGTGTCTTCATTATCATCTGTTTCAAGGAATTCTTCAACTTTTTTTCGGTTTCTTCATTGACCCACTGATTCTTCAGAAGCATATTGTTTAATTTTAATGTATTTGTATGGTTTTCAGAATTCCTTGTTATTGATTTCTAGTTTTATCCCATTGTGGTCAGAGTAGATGTTTGATATTATTTCCATTTTTTGAATATTTTAAAACTTGATTTATGACCTAACATATGGTCTATCCTTGAGAACGATCTATGTGCTGAAGAGTTTATATTCCATAGCCATTGGGTGAAAAGTTTTGTAAATATCTATTAGATCCATTTGGTCTATAGTGCAGATTGAGTTTTTTTGTTAATATCTGTCTAAAAGATTTGCCTAATGCTGAAAGTGGGGTGAAGTCTCCAGCTATTATTGTATTAGGGTCTATCTCTTTCTTTACCTCTAATAATATTTGCTTCATATATCTGGGTGCTCCAGGGTTGACTGCACATATACTTAAAATTGTTATATATTCTTGCTAAATTGACCCTTTTATCATTATATAGCGACCTTGTCTCTTGTTACAGTTTTTGTCTAGAAATATATTTTGTCTGATATCAGTGCAGCAACTTTTGCTCTTGTTTGGTTTCCCTTGACATGGGATATATTCTTCCATCCTTTTATTTTCAGTGTACACGTGTCTTTATAGGGGAAGTGTGTTTCTTGTAGGAAACAAGTCAATGGGTTTGCTTTTAAAATTCATCTAGCCACTCTATGACTTTTGATTAAATAGTTGAATCCATTATATTCAGTGGTATTATTGGTAATTAAGAATTTACTCCTGCCATTTTATTATTTGTTTTCTGGGTTTTTGTGGTCTGTTTTCCTTCTTTTTCCTCCCTGTCTTCCTTTAGTGAGATGATTTTCTCTGATGATATGATTTAGTTTCTTGCTTTTAATTTCTTGTGTCTCCATTGTATGCATTTTGGTTTGAGGTTACTATGAGGCTTGCAAATACTTTTTAAAAACCCATTATTTTATCTGATAACACATTAATATAGTGTGCAGTGTATAGTTAACTTTTTGATTGGTTCATCATTTCACCTTCATACTTAGAATGAGTAGTTGACACATCAGTTACAGTCTTATAATATTCTGTGTTTTTATTTATACTTACTATTACAGTGATTTTTTTTTTTTTACCTTCAGGTGATTATTAGTTGCTCACTAACATCCTTTTATTTCTGATTGATGTACTTTCTTTAGCATTTCTTGTAGTACAGGTCTAGTGTTAATAAAATGTCTCAGTGTTTGTTTGTCTGGGAATGTCTTCATTTCTCCTTCATGTCTTAAGATTATTTTTGCTGGATATATTATTCTAGGGTAAAAGTCTCTTTCCTTCAGCACTTTAAATATGCCATACCACTCTCTTGGCCTGTGAAATTTCCACCGAAAAGTTTGCTGCCAGATGTGCTGGAGATCCATTATATGTTATTTGTTTCTCTTCTCTTGCTGTTTTCATGATAATTTCTTTATCCTTGTTTCTTGGGAGCTGGATTATTAAATTCCTTGAGGTGGTCTTCTTTGGGTTAAATCTGCTTGGTGTTGTATAATCTTCTTGTACTTGGACATTACTATCTTTTTCTAGGTTTGAGAATTCTCTGTTATTATCTCTTTGAATAAATGTTCTACCCCTATATCTTTCTCTACCTCCTCTTTAAGGCCAATAACTTTTAGATTTGCTTTTTTCCACCTATTTTCTAGATCCTGTAAGTGTTCTTCATTGTTTTTTATTTCTTTTTTCTTTTGTCTCCTCTACGTACTTTCAAACTGCCTGCCCTATTTTCAATAGCTTGCTCACTATTTCTTTCTTCTGCTTGATCAATTCTGCTAGTAAAAGACACTGATGCATTCTTCAATATGCCAATTGTATTTTTCAGCTCCCAAATTTCTGCTTGATTCTTTTTAACTATTTCAATTTATCAAATTTATCTAATAGAATTCTGAATTCCTGCTCTGTGTTATCCTGAATTTCTTTCAGTTTCCTCAAAAGAGCTTTTTTGAATTCTGTCTGAAAGATCACATATCTCGGTTTCTCCAGGATTGTTCCCTGGTGCCTTATTTAGTTCATTTGGTGAGGTCATGTTTCCATGGACTGTCTTTTATACTTGTAGATGTTTGTCTGTGTCTGGGCATTGAGGAGTTAGGTATTTATGTTAGTCTTCACAGTCTGGGCTTGTTTGTACCTATCCTTCTTGTGAAGGCTTCCCAGATATTTGAGAGGACTTGGGTGTTGTCATCTAAGCTGTATCTGCTTTATGAGGAACCATGAGCCCAGTAACACTGTGGTTCTTGCAGATTCGTAGACGTACTACCTTGATGGTCTTGGACAACATCTGGGAGATTTCTCTGGATTCCCAGGCAGATAATTCTTGTTCTCTTTTTTATGTTCTTTCAAATAAATATAGTATCTCTCTCTGTTCTGAGCGACTTGAAACTGGGGATGCAATAATATAAGCACCCCTGTGGCCACCACCACTATGACTGTGTTGGGTCAGACCTGAAGCCAGCACAGCACTGCATGTTTTCCAACGCCTGCAGTAACCACTCCCTGGCTACTGCCTATATTTACTCAAGGCCCTGGGACTCTAAAATCAGCAGGTGGAAAGTTAGGCCTGCACCCTTCCCTTCAGAGCAGTGAGTGCTCCCAGGCCCCATGTGGGTCCAAGAGTGCCATCTTGGAGTCAGGAAGAAGAGTCCAAAACCTTAGAAGTCTTGCTGGTGTTCTATTGTATTGTGGCTGAGCTGTCAGTGAGGGCACAAAATGCAGTCGTTCCAGTCTCCCCTCCCCTTTCCAAATGTAAAGAAGCCTCACTCTGTGGTCATCACCATCACAGGCCCATGGGGAGTATTGCCAGACCACTGTCAATGTTCCCTTTAGGTCCAAGGGCTCCTATGTCTGTTTGTGATGAATGCTGCCTGACTTGGGACTCACCTTTCAGGGCAGTGGGCTTCCCTTTGGCCCAGGAGAGGTCCAGGAATACCATTGAAGAGGCAAGTCCTGGAATTGTGTACTCCAAGAGCCCACTTGGTACAGCCCCCTGTGGTTGACCTGGTTCCTAAGGTTCAAGACAAAGTCCCCTTTACTCTTTCCTCTGCTCTTAAGCAGAAGAAGTCTCGCCCTGTAGCCACTACAGTTGGAAATGTGCTGAGACATGTTTGAAGCCAGTAAGTCTCAGAGTCCCACTGAAGTCCTTCAAAGTAGTACCTGGATATCTCTGCTTGCTATTCAGGGTCTAGGGCTCTTCGGTTAGTAGGTAATAAATGCTGCGAGGACTGGGTCCTTCCCTTCAAGGCAGCAAGTTCCTTTCTGGCCTGGGTTGTGTCTAGAAACGTTACCTGGGAGGTAGGGCCTGGAATGGGGGCCTCGGGATTCTGACCAGTGTCCTATCCTGCTGTGGCTGAGCTGGTATTCAACATGCAATAAAAAGTCCTCTTCGCTCTTCCCTCCTCTCTCATCAAGCAGAAGGAAGGGGTCTCTTTTGGAGCTGTGAGCTATGTAGCTTGGGGTTAGGGGAGAGGTAATGCCCACACTTTCTTAGCCACCCCAGCTGATGTTTCAGTAGGTTATGTGCCCCACCAGTCCACTGTCTCTGGGCCCATTTCAGCATTAGAACTCATCTAAAGGTTGAAATCATTGTGGCCTAGCCTACCTTTCGAGTTCATTTAGAGTCTCTGAGCACTTTAGAACGTGGTAGTGAGGTTTAGAGGAACTCAAGCGGTGATTCCCTTCTGGCTAGGTCTGGTTTAAATACTCCCACTATGGCAGGCATCAGATGAGTTTGGACTGGCTTTCCTTTCTGCTCTAACTTGACAGCACTGAGTTCAACACCTCACAACTGCCATGCTCTCCCTTCCCCCAGAACACGGAAACTCTCTCAGCACCATGCTGCTGCTGCCAGGGTGTGAGGGAGGGGTGACATTAGCACTTCAATACTTTTTTTCTATCTCTTCAGTGCTTCTTTCAGTGACAGAAAGGTAAAACCAGGTATTGTTAGTGCTCACCTGATTTTTTTATTCTTGTCACGGTGTTATTCTTTGTGTGTCCATAGTTGTTAAATTTATGTCCTTGGGAGAGGAAAATGATAGGTGGAGCCTTTTATTCCACCATCTTGCTTTGCCCCCTAATTTCATTTGTTAAGGTAAAGTTTTACTTTTCAAATTTCTCAGATTTATACCTCAGAGGTACAACTTTTGCTGTACCTCACTGCACGTGATTTGCAGGTCACACATCATGACATTCACCTTTTTATCCCCTTGAGAATGCCTGTTATGAAAACTCTCCTTCAACTTTTTTGTCAGCCCCTCTTTTTTCTCTAGTTCTAACCTGCTGTTATGGCCTAACACTAAAATGTTTACCTTGCAGGCCTAAAAAAGCACTTTCCCTCCCGTAAAATTTGACTCTGTATTCTTGGCTTTTTTGATTTACCTGAATTATTCCACTCATAACCTTGGAAACATTATCCTTGTGTCTAATTAAATTCATCAGGTTCAACTTCCAGTTCATCTAAATGAGCTTCCATTAAGAAGAAAAAGTCACAGGGCTGATGGTTTTACTTTGGCTTTTTGTTAGTTGGCCTAAGAATCAAAGGCTTTTTGTTTTATCAAGAAAATTTGCTGTGTTGACTTTATTAGGTTTTTGATTACTGAGGATAATTGAGCTTTAAAAGGATTAAGGTTTTTATATCCGTGTAACTCTCTGTGTTGCATCTGAAGTCTTTTGATGATCACTTTGGTTAAATGAGTATTATTTTATAGTGGCCTGCAATTCTGTTTTGATCAAATGCTTTGAGCGCTTTAACATCTTTGACAAACTTACTCAAGATCAAATCCTTAATTAAGTCTTGTTGACCTAGAATTAACTTTAGGATTTTCCATTCAGACCCCTGGAAAGCAACAAAAGATATTTTTTTCATTTTGTAGAGACATTAAATGATTAAGCTTATTTGGAAAATTGTGTAAGAAATGTTGTTGAAGGATAAGCAATATTAGATCTTCTCTTAGTTGCATTTATAAATGTACTATTAATGCAAATGTTTCAAAAATTATATAAATTCATAGAAATATGTTATCAATCATAATTCTAGTTGTTACCTAAAAATGCTATATGTAATAGAACTAACTAAATTTTCTCATCAATTACAACCTTTCATCAGATTTTTAACCACGGCCATTCCAAGTTTTTAGAATCCACAGTTATCATTTTGAATTATTCTGTAAAAACATTTACAATCAAATTCATGAACAAGGGATGGTCATGGTGGCTCACACTTGAAAAGTTATCATTTTGGGAGGCTGAGACGAGAGGATTGCTTGAGCTCAGGGGTTCAAGGCCAGCCTGGGAACCATCACGAGACCTTGTCTCTACAAAAAGCAAAAAAATAATTAGCTGGCTATGGTGGTACTTGCCTCTAGTCCTGATTACTTGGGAGGGTGATGCAGGAAGATCACTTGAGCCCAGGAGTTGGAGGCTGCAGTGAGCTGTGATCCTGTCACTGCACTCCAGCCTGGATGACAGAGCTGAAATAAACTAATTAATAAAATTAAATATCAAATTAATGGAAAAAACTCCAACAAGTACTCTTTTTTTTTTTCAGATGGAGTTTTGCTCTTGTTGCCCAGGCTGGAGTGCAATGGCGCAATCTCGGCTCACTGGAACCTCCGCCTTTTGGGTTCCAGTGATTCTCCTGCCTCAGCCTCCCAAGTAGGTGGGATTACAGGCGTCTGCCACAATGCCCAGGAAATTTTTTTTTTTTTTTTTGTATTTTTAGTAGAGACGGGGTTTAGTAGAGATGGGGTTTTTTAGTTCAAGATGAGGCTGGTCTTGAACTTCTGAACTCAGGTGATCCACCTGCCTTGGGCTCCCAAAGTGCTGGGATTACAGGTGTGAACCACCATGCCTGGCCCACAAGAACTCTTAAATACAGGTTTCTGATAACTTTAATATCAATGGACTAAATGAAAACTTCCAGAACTCTAATAAACTGATGGATTCAGAAAACTACTAGTGGAGATCAAAGAGAACAAATGTTGATTATATGAGACTGAATAACTAATGAAGACAATGTTTTTATGATTTTTTACTTGATACATGTGGTTCTTAATGTTTTGTTTTTCAGATTTAGGAACATTTTCTCTCTTGAGCTATCATTTATAGCAATTTGGTAAGATATACTTTTGTAAAAGAAAAAAGAAAAAAAGGAAAATCATTTGGATTTTTCTCCTTGATTCCTCCAGAATTCAGAAAGTATTTGTTAGTATTCTTATGGTAATATGATTATTTGCATAAGCCCAATAAAAATCTGTCTTCTTTATAGCAGAATACAATTTAAAAGCATGGTTATTACCAAGGCTTTGACTGAAATGACATATTTGAAAATATGCATAAAATGCCTGACTTAAGGGTTCCCAGCCTTATAGTGAGTAAATAAAAACTGTCACTTCCCAGCAGGTCCAGGAATCCTAAGATTATAATAAAATCTAAAGTTGGTCTTGGTTTTGCTTTCTAGCCTCATGAGGTTTTAAAATCTGAGATTTCCTATATGATCAATGTAGAAAGAAAAGGTTGTTTCTAAAAAAGAGCTATACTACACCTGTTATTAGATTTTAACTCTGCACATTGTTTTCAAGCTCTTATTATCTACTTATACACTACACGTGGTCCTAAATTATTCTAGGTTCCTCCAATCCAACTTTTTTCCATAAAACTCCTAAGGCAGGAACTACTTCGTTTCTAAGGCCTGTAAGCTAAAACTAGATAAATTTTAAGGAACAAATCTTGTGCCTGATATATGAACCACACAGAAAGGTCACCAAACTCCCTGACACCAAAGCCAGAGACATTCAAACTGTAAACCAGGACAAGAAGTTGACATTTTTCATGCCATAAACGACCTTTCCTAAGACATCAGAATGACATATCATAATGAAAGTCTTACTTCCCTTAATGATATTTTTTTTTCACTTGGCAGGAAGTTGACATAATTACTTTTTTTTAGCAACCAGTAACTGCTATAGATAACTTGACAAAACCTGACCAAAGAAATCCTTTTAGTTCACCTAGTGGGCAACTTTAAAAATTTTGTTCAAATTATAATGGTGGTTCCTTTTGTAAAATTGGCATTCTCTGTTTTAATTTTACCAAGTCAGAAAATGCTACTCAGTGGCTATAACAGGTCTCACCTAGTTTCCTCTATGGTCTTTTGATTTGTTTAGTTGTTGCCCTTAAGTTTGTGCTCTTAGAGCAAAACCATTGTGCAAACTAATTTTATTATATTGTTTTTTATTTTTGTATTATGATTTTTAAGTGTTGCTCTTATTACCTGTCTAATCTTTGTAAAGCCAGCTCTCTGAAGGGGATAAAATTAGCCCATTGTTTCAAGGTGACTGCTGATGACTATGGAACTGTAAGATGAAACTTGATGCTGGACTCCAGATGAACCTACCATGAGAAAATTTTTCCTTCTGGCCTCCTTGTTACTCCAATATGACCCAGGTCACTGATATACACCCCTATGACTTACCCTCAATGAGGAAGACAACAGGACAGCTCCATCCCAGCACCGAGAGACAATTAAGCCTAACTTCACAATGGTTGATCAGTCATGCATTCATAGAAGGATCTTGATCAAAGAGGGGCGTGTGAAAGTTGATCACACACATTGGGTCATTCTTACAATATAAAACTAAAACAGTCAAGAGTTCAGGGGGAAGAAGCACTCAGGGCATTATTACATTGCTCTAAGAATGTAATTCTCTACCAGCCTGGATGATAAAACTGCCTGTTATATCCTGAAAACACTTTTATCTAACAGCTACTGAAACAACCTGCTCAAAACTCTAAGACCACTTTTACCCAAGACTATCACTCACCCATCAGAGACTGCTAGCTCCACAATACGTTACTAGTACCAATGAACTTTCTAGAAAAACTGTATGTGACATTTCTCCTTTTATAAAACCTGCAACCTCCTCTTTCTTCTTCAGAAATACTAAAGGCCACCGAATCTGTATGTATGCACCAAACTGCAATTTTTCCTCCTGTAATAAAATGTTAAATTTAGATATTCATCTCTAGATTTTTATTTTCACTTTGAAAAAGTCTTCTCACCTGATATAGCACCTGTCAATTCCTGCAGGCCCCGCAATAGCCTGCCATTCCCTCTAGGGCCTGCTGCTGACATCTTAAGCTACAAGAGGCTGCTGGACTGCCTTGGGTAAGATTGCCCTGGCTCCATGAGGACAGAAGAGAAGCAACAACTCCAAGATAAGAAGGGAAATCCAGGTACTCAGCCCACCTCAAGCTATGAGTCAATGTCCCCATAAGAGCAAGAATTCTACCTAAGATATCCTATATAAACCCACAAGTGTGCCCAGAAGCCACTGACACATTTACATGATATTTAGACTTAACGCTCATAAAGGGATGATGTATTAACAGCAACAGATACATGGATACATCTGTTCTTTTTGATGAACACTTACACACAGACATTTATATTAAAACCAAGAGCCCCAGAGAAAGGTACACTCAGCCCTGCCTTGTAGCACTATAGCAGAATAAACTCTGCTTCTAAGGCTTATACTGGTTGTGGGCCTTCCCTGGTGTTTTTTCATCCACAAAGGGTGGAGGGAGAGGCCTGGTAGGACGGGGCGGTTGGCATTTCTGGAACAACAGTGCCATCAAGAGGAAGCTTTTTGAGCATGGCTTCCAGCCCTTCGCAGTGTATCCAGAGGGGAAGGTTTCTAATAGAACAAAGGGTAGGTTTGGGGCACTCAGGGAATTCTGGGACTGGATGTGGGCACCTGACTGGGTGCCTCCAGATTCAGTGCAAAAGCGAGGGAGCCGAGCTTGCCCACCAAGAAACCCTGGGCTGCCAGGCCTGCCAGGCTCGGGAGGCGGCAGAGGCCAGGCCTTAGTGGCAGCCATGTTTGGGAACCTGGAGCTACCACAGGGCATTTTGACTGTGGATCTTTGCTCTTGGTGAAGATGTAACTTCAAGCGAAGAAAGGAGGCACTGCCCTGGAGGTCCCAGGGCCAGCCAAATAAAGGGGAGGTGGCAGTAGCCACATTGCTAGGTGTAGCTCATAAAAAGGATAGAAAATTTCCTGATTTGGGGGGTACTACAATGATACAAGAAAGAGTAGTTGAAGTACATTGCACTTCAAACTTTGTCTGGTTAATTTTTGCTCCTGTCAAAGAAAGTCTGGGTCAAAGGTCTCACAGCGTGCCATTGCACACATTTTGTCCCATGGGGCAGAGAGTGCTGACACTCATTGGGGATCAAGTTGATACCAACATTGAGCTCTGGTGTCAGAGGACCTAGGTCTGTATTGTGCTGTACTTCAGCTCAAGAACAATCCGGAAGTGCACTGTTTGTTAGGCTCTAGTTCCTTAGTATGATCTGGTTCCTCTCCTCGTGGAAGAAACCTGGGTTCAAACATGAAGATCTATGTTCTGTGTATCTGCTTGTCTTACAGCATTGGCTCAAACCTAAGGAACACTCTCAGAGCATCACACTCACAGCCTTGAGCTTAGGATCAATCAGATCCTGTAGGTCCAGGTCTTGCCCTGAGGCTTGGAAAAAAGAAGGTTGATTGACCCTAAAAGGCTCTGCCCACATAAGACCACTGGGCAACACTTTAGGAAACTCACAAGTATGAAACTGAGAAAGGACTAGAGCAGTTTTTGGCACCCATTTGGGAGGTGAAAGAAAAAAAAAAGGTGGAGATCTGGGCCTTGAGTCTTCCTACCAGGCCTGTGGGCAAGCACTGACCAGGGAGCATAGCCTCAGTCAGTTAAGAGCTGGCAAAAGCACAACTTAACCACGATGTTTTCCAGGAGTAGGCCATTAGGAAGATGGAGTGTATAAAATAGGCCATGTACCCAGGAGTATGTACCTCGTTCTTGGCTCGGCAGGACTGCTTGATGAGAAGTAGATCTGAGGGAAATGGGGAGGAGGCTAGGGCTGGATGCACAGAGAGAAATGGGCATGGAGAAAGGAAGGATGATGACAGAACCCTACAGTGGTTAGATTCTGGCATGGACTCCTGGCCCTTCTTGATTCCCAGCTACCTGGATAAACACAGGTTCAGACTTGGGAGAGCCAGGGGTGAATGGGAAGCAAGGCCAATTCCTGCTCATTGCCCTGAGGCTCCTGGGACTTTGAAGGAAGGTGGCCAAGAAGAACTCTGCAAAGGCAGGGATCTAGGCACTAGCTCTCTTTGGTGTGGGACACACAGCACTAAAAACAGGCTTCTGCCAGAAGTATGGCACTCTCAGGAGCAGGCACTGCAGCCAGTAAAGGGGCAGGTGGTAAAATGGCTGTAACCTCAGGGTGGGGATCCTTTGCAGAGATTTATGCTAGCCCTATCCAGACATGGCTACCAACAGAATCATGAGCCAGGGCTTCCAGTACAGGTCCCACCAGGTGCTCTGGGGGTCTTGACCTGGTGCTTGTCTCTGAAGCTTGACAGCCCCAAATGGCCATTGGCCACACTTCTCCCATGCATCCAGATAGCTCTGTTCCCTCCTGAAACCCCACTTCACTCCCAAGCCACTCCTCAGACAATCATGAGCAAGGGTTCATGGGATTGTCAAACAAGTTCTTCTAGATGGCACTATTATGCCAGAAATGCCAGCATTCCTTCCCCTCTTTCCTCCCCAATATTCCATCCCTCTGCCATTTGCTACTGAAGAAAAAGCCAGCCAGTGTTTATCCTGGCTGAATCCTTGGGGCTCCCAGTTCTCATTGCTGGTCCTCCATCTTGCAGGGCTTCATCCCAGTAGGGTGGTCTCAAACTTTCCTCTTGACAAGGAGAAATGGCTCTAATCATTACCTTATGATCATACCTAAAAGCCATGGCTGAATCTTTAGCACTGGAGCTGGCTGAGACCACAGGAAAATATCTTGAGTCTGGGCAGAGAGTTGGAGCCAGACTTAAACTCTGCTTACCAAGTAACATTTTGACTTGGACATTGACATAAGCCACTAAAAGGTCAGCTTGACCCAGAGGTCTCAGGATGCAATACCCACAAAATGGTGGCGCAGCGGCACCAGAACTGGGGTGAACAGTGAGGAAAAACTGCCATCACAAGACAATGTGGCCTGAGGACCCCGCTCCTTTCACATGGCCGTACCCTCCAGATGAGGAATGGTCTCCAGACAAGGAAGGTTGCACGCTTGGGTCAGTGAGGAGGGGAGACAGGAGCCAAACTAGAGATACCCATCCTCCTCATATGTGATGTCCATGCCAGGATCAATGGCAGGACAATTCTTACAAGCAGGCTTGTGGTAGGTGTACTTCTGATGGCTTGTGTGGAATAACACCTCTTCAAGACACATTCCCCCACATTTCTCCTCAGTATGTCAAGAGACAGACATAAGGGACATTGAGCGATTGGCACCAGGCTGCGTGAGTGTGGCCTCCCACCCCTTTTAGCCCAATCACCCTCTAACAGTTAAGGCAGAGTGCACTCCATGTCCTCACCAGTCAGGAGGGCCATTGTGCAGTGAGTTGGGCCCAAGAGGGATTGGGAGATAATGGGCAGGACAAGAAGGCAGAGCTGTACTCAACACCAATAAGGTGAAGGCCCAAAAGACCTGTCTGTCTTCCCTGGGTCTCCAACAGACTTTCTCTTCTTAAGTGAGGCCAGGACCACTTCTTAAAAGTAACTCTGGGAGCCCAAAGATCCCATAACTGGCAGATGGCCAGCCTCCCAGAGTCCCAGTCCCAACCCATTTCCCCTCTCCCCTACACTACAGGACACTGACCTCAAGTTCCAAGAAATGATCCCAATCCCCTGAAGGAAACACATCTTGCCTAGGTGCTCATCCATGCACTTCCTACTTTGGGCCTCACTATCAGGACCTCATTCAAAAAGTCTTTCCTACTAAGCATGGTGGAAAGCTACAGAATAGGGCACCATTGCCCCATGCCAGTTATCTACATGCCTCAGCAGTGTCTTCTGTAGATGGGCTGAAATCCCAGAACCACTGCCCATTTCATAGGATAAAACAGACTTTTTTAAAAACATAATTATTTTAATTAACCTTTTTCATATAAATGCCATCAGTGACACTTCATACACAAACATGATTTTCATGTCATTTCAGTATAAATTCATTGAGCATCTACTTTGTGCTTGTTGCAAAAAGGAATGAGACAAAGCCCTGCCATCAGAGAATCCTCAGTCTGTGTTACCATTGCCGTATGTCTTAGGGCATGGTTGGAGATCAAGAATAGAAAAGCCACTAAAATCTACTTAGGTAAAAGAGAACCGACAGGCCTGCTGTGGGTGATTGGAACAGAAAATGACCAAAGATGTTACTTTCTTCATTGCCATGTTATCTCTTCCTCTGCTTCCCTCATTTTATATTTCTCTCTTTCTCCCACCTTTTCTCCCCCTCCCCATCCAACCCATTTGCAGATTGCCTTCCTTTGCTCTCCTACTACACCATCCACCATGGCTTACACTGGATGGTGCTCTCAGCCTCCAACACGTGCTGGCAACTGTCCAGGTCCAGCATTACTGTCTGTTAACTTGACTGTCTCCATTGTAATCCCAAGTGGCCAGCAAGAGACTCCAAAGGGCCTACCATGGACAGGTTTCCAACCCTAGCCCAAACAGCTATGGCTGGGGAGTGGGGAAAGGATGCCCAAGGTCATATTGAATGGTATGCAAGGGACCGCTCTTTCTGGGGCTGGACTCAAAGGTATGGGATGATGGCTTCTGTAAAATATAATGTGATAGCCAGGCGCGGTGGCTCACGCCTGCAATCCCAGCACCTTGGGAGGCTAAGGTGGGTGGACCGCCTGCGGTCAGGAGCTCAAGACCAGAATGACCAACACGGCGAAACCCCATCTTCACTAAAAATGCAAAAATGAGCCGGGCATGGTGGCAGGTGCCTGCAATCCCAGCCACTTGGGAGGCTAAGGCAGGAGAACGGCCAGAAGCCAGGAGGCGGAGGTTGCAGTGAGCCGAGACCGCACTCCAGCCTGGGTGACAGAGCAAGACTCTGCCTAAAAAAAAAATTATATATAGATATATCTGTCTATCTATATATAATGTGATAAATGGTCTAATAGTTGCTCTACAGTACATACACCTCAGATTCACATTTTGCAGACTTCACAAATTCATAGAATTTTACAAATGTATGGGATTCCAGGAATCATTTGACACAATCCCCACACTTGAGCTCATTGTAAACCAAAGCTCGAGAGCAGATAAGGGTGGATCCCATAGTCTCTGACTTCTAGTTTACGCCAACATTTACCAAACCAGAGCAGTTTAAGACTACCTTTGACATGTGGGTTACCAAAGATAGTCCACACTGCATTATAGCATGTGGATTTGTTTGTCTTTTTTAGTATAATTTCTGTACCTACTAAGAACTTTCACATATATCATCCTATCTAGTCCTCCCAGCAATCATGAAAATAATTGTTAAGCCTATTTTGTAGATGATAAACTGAGACCCAAAGAAGTCAACAGATTTGCCTACACTTTACAGATCATATCAGGCAAAGCCAAGTTTTAAACCCATACGATTTGACTTCAGACCTCGCTCTTTCTGCTATGCCACACTGCCTTCACTCTCTGGGAATCAGTCAAGTGTCAATTTGTATTGTTTGAAAATTTTTTCTATATGTTATGATGTTTTGTTTTGTTTATTTATTTATTTATGACAGAGTCTTGCTCTGTCGCCCAGGCTGGGGCGCAGTGGCACGATCTCAGCTCACTGCAACCTCCGCCTCCCGGGTTCAAGCGATTCTCCTGCCTCAGCCCCTCAAGCAGCTGGGACCACAGGCACTTGGCACCACACCCAGCCAATTTTTGCATTTCCAGCAGAGATGGGGTCTCGCCGTGCTGACCAGGCTGGTCCGGAACTCCTGACCTCATGGGATCAGCCCGCCTCGGCCTCCCAAAGTGCCAGGACCACAGGCGTGAGCCACCGCGCCTGGCCAAAACAGACTTTTTGAAAAGGATAAGGAAGAGGATTCAGAAGGATAAAGAGCACTCACCCATAACCCTAGCATCTGGAGATGACCCGGGATCGCAGAGGTATCCTCTTTTTCTGTTCACTCTGTGTGCCCTGCAACAAGATAGCCAACTATCCTTCACTGGATTTTGGGCTGATTGTCAAAGTGATAGCCAAAAGGTGGCAGTGTATATATTCAACCCACCCAGCCAACTGAGAGAGTGCTTTCAGGCTAGGATATCAGCTCTTGGATCAACCGTGATTTCTGAAGAAAGTATAACATTAAAATCAACCCTAATTATTTATTGAAAAATCCCACAAATGTAATTTGAGGCTGTCATAAAGAGGCAGCTTTCCATGAACAGTCCCATATGAAACCAGAGGATACCTCTGACTTCTCTCATTCCTGTGGGGGAATCACAACCATCATGTCTTGGCATCTATCCTCACAGAGCTTCCTTCTTGGTCTGTGTACTTGTGTGGGTATGGAGAAATAAATTTCTTCACAAGTGTGTTTTCTCCATCATGCATAAATAAAATAACAGAGGGGAAATGAAAAGAATCTGGGAGTATGTTGACTCTGCACAGAGATGCAAAGTCCAGTGGAGGTGTTTTGTGAAAGCCACAAATTATAAGAGAGTCTATCACATGTAAGCATCTTGGTGTCAAAGAGAAAGTCAAAGGCAGACATACCTCTGCATTTGCCTTTATTCACACTGGACACTAAAAACATACACACAAGGAAAAATGACACAATTCTCACTGTAGGCAGAGTCAGGAGGATGAATAGAAGGCAGAGGGGAAACTTGGGAGTGTCCATCATGCAGTGTTAAGGGCTACCACTTAATTGGGAGGAATCTCTATCCACAGTGGCATCTCCAAGGTGGTTATGGGAGAAAGGAAGAGAAAAAGAAGAAAACACACATAGATACACAATTAAGGAAGAAAGTAGAGGCATGTGTGTTTGCATGTATACATGCATGTATGAATGCACAAATGAGTGAATGTGGGGGTGCTGCAGGGAGAGAAGACCCACACTTTCATGTAGAGCTTCCTTGAAGGGGCTGCAGAACCAAAGGCCCCCACCATGGTCACCTGCCTGTGTGGAACCACTGGGCCTTCCTTCTGACCCACGGAACCCCAATCTGGAGCACCCAATGGGGGACTGCCTACCTGAGACCCCTGGAGGTAAGCCAAGGCATCATTTCCCCAGTCTTCACAATTTACATGGCCCCTGCCAATTTCTGCTGCTCCCACAATGGCTTACTACTCCCTCTTGGGCCTCCTGAGCCAGTATACTGGATGAGGTTGTTTTGCTGGGCTCCCTTGGGCTTGGCCTGGCTCCATCAGTACAGAAGACAGCCAGTGACTCCATAATAAGAGGGAAAATCTAGGTACTAATTCCACCTCAAGCTATGAGTCAGTACCCCCATGAAAGAATTTTACCCAAGTTTGGTGTGGTGGCTCAATCCTGTAATCCCAGCACTTTGAGAGACTGAGGTGGGAGGATCAGTTGAGCCCAGGAATTTGAGACCAGCCTGGGCAACATAGCAAGACGTGTCTCTAAATATAAAAACAAACAAAAATCTACTCAAGATGATCCTTATAACACTCACAAATGTGCTCAGAAAACTAGGAACCCCTTTATAAAAAATTCAAACTTAAAGCTCATAAGGAGATGATGTAGAAAAACAAGTACATCTATTCTTTTTGATGAATGTTTGCACACAGACATATTTCTCACTGAGGGCCTGAGAAGAAGAAAACCCCTTCTCCCAACAGATTAAGCCCCACTTCCAGTGATTGGATTAGTTTTGGGCCTTCCTTGGCATTTTTTCATCCACAAAGGGTAGAGGGTAAGGTATGACAGGCCAGGTTGATTGGCATTTCTGGAGCAACAGTGCCATCAAGCGGAAGCTCTTTGAGCATGGATTCCAGCCCTTCTCCATGTATCTGGAGGGTAAGGTTTCTTATAGGAGAAAGGGTGGGTTTGGGGCACTCAGAAAATTCTGGGGCTGGATGTGTGCACCTGACTGGGTACCTCCAGAGTCAGTGTGAAAGCAAGGGAGCCAGGCTCACCCACTAAGGAACCCTGGCTTGTCAGGCCTGCCAAGCTCGGGAGGTGGTAGAAGCCAGGTCTCATTGGCTGCCATGTTTAGACACCTGCGATACTGGAGAGCATTCAGACTATGGATCTTTGCTCTTGGTGTAGATGTAAGTTCAGGGGAATAAAGGGGGAACTGCCCTGAAGGTCTCAGGGATGTGGGAAACCTGAGAACCAATGTCCCATCTGGAGGACCCAGACAAAGAAAAAGAGAAGGAAGAACAGCCACATTGCCAGGTGCAGCCCATAAAGAAAATAATTTCCTGATTGCTGGGTACTACAATGAGATAAGAAAGAGTAATTCAAGTGTGGTGCATTTCAAGTTTTTTTTCTGGTTTCTTATCTCTCCCCTCAAAGAAAGGCTGGGTTAAGCGTGCCACAGGATGCCATTCTTTCCATTTTCTCACTAGTGCAGAGAGTGCCAGTACCCACTGGTTATATATCAATTGAGCAGGACATCATCCTACAGAGTGAGTAGAACTGATTCTACATTGAGAATTCATTTCAGTTTGGGAATATTCCAGGATTGCCTGATTTCCTGGTCTCCAGGGGTAACATCCATTTTGGCTCCTCTTGGAAGATACCTAAATCAACACACATGGGGTTGCATGGTCCGTGGGCTTAGCTTTCCCATTGCATTGACTAAGGCTGAAGGAGCATGCTCAGACAACCAATCTCAAAGCTGCGGACCCGTCAGATTTTCTAGGTCTGGATTTGACCTCAGGGCTTGGCAAAGATAAGGCTGGTTGGCCCCCAAATATTCTGCCTACATACACTTAGGAAAATTCACACATGAAAAATAAAGCATAGCAAGCAGAGGATTTCAGCACCCATCTGGTAGGTTTCAAATAAAAAGGGTGAACTGCTGGGCTTTGAGATGTCCTACTTGACCTTTGGGAAAGTGCTGACCGGGAAGCAAATCCCCAGGAAGGCAGGAGCTAAGAAAGGGCACAACCCACCCTACAGGCTTTCCAGAAATGGCCTCTGGAGAGAGGCAGAAACTACAGAAAAAGGCTATGTGCCAATGAGCATGCACCTCCTTCCTAGCAAGGCACGCCTGATTAACAGGGGTTTGGAGGATAGGTGGGGGTGGGTGGATCTGGGCAAAATGGGGAAGAAGAACACTGGGGCTGGGCACACACACACACAAAATGCAGTTGGAAAACAGGAGGCAACTGAACCCAAAAATGAGAGATACATGAAGGGGGTCCTAAACTTTGAGTCTCAGCGACCACAGCAAGCACACATGGAGACTTCAAAAGGCAGGGGTTAAAGGAAAGTAACTTCCACTCTTGCGGATTGCCTAAATGTCCCCGACTCTTGGAAAAGTCAATCTGTAAAAAAGAAGTCTGCAAAGGCAGCCAACTAAATGCATGTTCCTTGTGGGAGGTAGAACCTGCAACACGGAGGACAGGTCTCTGCTACGGTGGCAGCAACCGTAAGACTTGGTACTGCAGGCAGCAAAGAGGGAGGAAGAACAATGGCCACAGGCTTTGTGAAAAGTCCTGAGCTGCTAGTCCCACCCATATCATGGCCACCACCAGGCTCCCAAGCCATGGCTTCCTGTATGAGAAATGCCAGGCATCCTGGCTGGCCAACTTATACTGGCACCTATATCTGAAGCTTCCATAGCCCCACTTCATTCAGGCCTCCAGGGAGCTCGGATTCCTGCAGGCAAAGGCCACAGTCCTGCCTGGTCCCCCACAGCATCCCAAGCCACTCCTCCTCAGGCAAGTACAGGGAAGGGTGCACAGGATTGCCAAGCGAGTTCCTCTTGATGGCAGTATTGCTCCAGAAATGCCCACCTGCCCTTCCCCCAGGTCCACTCCCTCCACCCTTTGCAGAGGAAAAAACACCAACCGTGCTCCGAACACAACCAATCACCATCTCGGCCACTTTAGGCCAGCTCTGGCCCACCTGCAGGGCCCTGTCCTTGGCAGATGGGACTCGGCGGGATCCTTCTACTAGCCTGCCTTCATGACAAACCAGAAAGCGGTCCCCTTGGACCACTCTGGGGATGGACCCAACCTAACCGCATCCCTAACGATACCCTTAGGATGGGAGGATGCTGGAACCCACAGGGAAGAGAAGGAGACTGGGCACACAGTAGGATCCCAGCCCTGGCCCTGCCCCCCGGGACACATTGGCACTTGGGCATTCTCATGGGTCACTGCAAGGCCAGCTTGACCAAGAGGTCAAAGGCGACTGGCGTCCCACTGACCGCTGGGGGTTTGGCCTCAAACTTCAGGTGAACCTACAATTCCAGAATAGTGGGACTGGGTCCTGGGCCCTTCTCACGTGGCAGCACCGGCAAGGGGCTGGGGGAAGAGCCCACACCAGCCTACGTCAGACAGGAGGGGAGCCAGTGGCCACCCCAAACATACCTGTCCTCCTCACACCTGACCTATGTCAACCTCTCGACGGTTCTGCCCAGAAGGCTTGAAGTAGAAAACACACAGAAGCATGTATGATGTTGAGGACTCATGTGTGCCATGGGGAAGCCATAGATGGGCAAGACCCAAGTGTTCCGATCTTCCTCCCCACACATATTCTGTGACAGAAACCCTATTTTGACCTCGTCGGGCAGTCAAGGCGTGGGCAAACGCCTAACGTCCGCTGCAGAAACACAGTGGCATTGAACGCTGTTGTCAAGACAGAGAAAACAGAAGGAACACACTACCTCAAGCTGCTACCTCCCTGACCCCTTCTGGACTCTTTGACCCCTATGCACTTCCCTTTGGGATTTTCCACAACCTATTTTATTTCTCTGTCTCTTTTTCTTTCTAGAGGTCTCTCTGTAACTAACTAACTCTCTCTCTCGCACACCACCTTCAGCCCCAACACTCACCCACTTCTACTGGAGCCCGCTTCCTCTCTTGCTCTGTCTCTATGTGATTGGGCTTCTTTGACTCTCCGGGAATTCCCATCAATGTGGGCCTTTAAAACGATAAGAGATGCAACTGAACGTGTGAGACATCGTGCACATAGGCTGAGAGGCGGCAAGAGAAATGCCCAAGAAATCAAGACCCCAGCTACCCCCTCTGCTTCTACCACCACCAGCAACACCACCCCAGGGATGTGCTTTCTGTTTCCCCCAAGCCAAGGTGAGGCAAGTCCCAGTTGAATGTCATCGTGCTGACATTAAACGTGCTTTGAGGTGGAAGGTGAATGTCTGTTTGGATGGCAGTGTTTCTGCACGTGGGCGAGGAGGGGCACATGTATCCACCTGGCTCACTCTCTAGCTGGATTCAGGTGGAACGGAGGACCATGAACCTTCTCGACCTTTTCTGCTTTGGTCCTGTGCTTCCAACGTTTCAGGCCTAAGAAGCCCATCACCTCCTTATGCCTTCTTTCAGTCCTTCCACAAAAAGCAAAACAAAACAAAACAAAACAAAACAAAACAAAACAAAACAAACCCAAAAAACAGGACATTCCACCTGTCACCTCAAGAGGGTCCTCTAGGTTCCTTTTCCATTCCTGAATTCTGTGAAGTGGTGCTGGTCTCCACCTTTTGGACACGAGCCCCTGTTCACTTGGGAGACACCTGAACACCCTTGGAAGGGAGAGTTAGCCGCAGGAGATGACCCAGTCCACTGCTGTACCAGACCGGGTCCTGCAAAGAGAGGCGTCCATCAAGCCTCATCCCTGCACACCACGTTGGGCCTAGCCCGATTCTCCCTCAGAGACCCACTTGAGGAGAGGCACAGGGATGCTGCCTGAGCAGCAGATCCTTCTGGCACGGAGCAGGCTGTCCCCAGGCCTGTCCGACAGGTCCTTGTTTCTAGGTGCTCTTGGCTTCCCAGACTTCAGCAGGCCTAGGAAGGCCCCGGTCTCCCTTAGCTGATGCCCAGAGAGTCTCCATTTCACAAGATTTGCCACCAAACCCATTGGTCAGTGCGCCTCTGATCACAGGGCCAGGTCCTGTGAACCCTCAAAGACAACTGGGATCCACTGAAGGCCCCCATGCAAAAATGAGCACCATAGTGAATGGCCCAGCTCCAAGACAACCTCGGGGACATGGACACAGCAAGACTGGGTCACATGTCTCAACAAGGTGGGGGCGTGGTGTCTCAGGGTGGCTGGGCCGGGCCTGGCTTCGCATCTACCTCATCAAGGACTGTGTGGTTACGGACCCTCCCATGGCCCACCTTCCTCCCTAGGACGCAAGGAGGAATGCCCTGGTGCCGACTAGCAATGGCTGCAGGACTCAGTTCTGAGAGGGGCCCCTCTTCACTGGCATGCAGTGTGGCCGAGGGAGCCTCCTGGGGCGAGAACCCAGCTAGGCCATCACCCTCTTTGCTCCCAAGGGAAGGGGTGCCAGGCAAACTGCCCATAGCCTCAAGCTAAGGCTCTCTGGCCAAGGCCTCTGCCAGTCCCGCCCAGATCATGGCTGTCACCAGGCTCCTGAGCTATGGCTTCCTGTACGGGAACCGCCAGCATCCTGGTTTTACAGCTCCTCCTGGTGCCTATCTCTGGGACTTGCATGGCCCCAACTGGACAAGGGCCCTGCTTCTGTCAGGCCTCCAGAGAGCTCAGATCCATCCAGGCACCGGCCCTAGTCCTGCCTGATCCCCCACAGCACGCCCTAGCCACTCCTCCCCAGGCAAAAACAGGGAAGGGTATGTGGGTTTGCCAAATAAGTTTCTCTTGATGGCAGTATTGCTTCAGAAATGCCCACCTGCCCTTGCCCCCGGTACTCCCTCCACCCTTTGATGAGGAAAAAATACCAACTGCACTACAAAAATGGCTGATCACCATCTCAGTCATTTTGGGCCAGCTCTGGCCCACCTGTGGGACCCTGTCCTTGGGAGACTGGGGTTGGGACTCAAACTTCAGGTGAACCTACAACTCCAGGATAGCGGGACTGGGTCCCTGGCCTTTCTCACGTGGTAGCCCCGGCAGGGGAATGGGCAGAGAGCCCACCCCAGCCTAGGTCAGACAGGAGGGGAGCCAGGTGCCTCCCCGAACACACCTGTTCTCACACCTGGCCTACATCAACATCTATACAGGTCTTCCCAGAAACCTTGACGTGCAAAACACATAAAGGCAGGCATTCCGTTGAGGAATCATGTGTGCTATGGGGGAGCAGTAAATTCGCAAGACCCACGTGTTCCGATGTAACTCCCCACATGTATTCTGTAACAGAAACCCTATGATGACTCTGTCAGGGAAGTCAAGGCATGGGCAAATGCCTAACTTGTGCTGCAGGAACACAGTGATATTGAACACTGCTCTCAAGACAGAAGAAACAGAAGAAATATACTACCTTCAATCTGCTACTTATCATTAAGGAAATTCAGGGTACGGACCCTGAATACCTTTTATTTCATGAGACTTGATTCATCTTTGGGTAATAAAAAACAGTTTTAAAGATTATTGGTAAAATGCAAATGTCTTCAAAATGTAAACATGTGGTCTAAATTATGTTCAAATATTAGGTTTGCTAAATACTTTAAGGTCATAAACTCCTTCTTTGGATTTTGAAATTTGTTTGACTTGCCTGCTTTACAACAAGGTAAGGCCTCGGAACATGTGGAGTTGGCTACACCCCTAGCTATGCTGGAAATAGTCAAACCTTATCAGCACCTAGTGCATAATTAATATAACTTACCAGGGTTTACATTAAAATTAAAATTGCTAAGAGTCACTATTATAGCATGTAATTGAGACTATAGAAACAGTTTTACATGCAAGGTGTGTAAGAAAAGTGAAATGTGTTTTTGGTAAAAGATTATAAGAAGGCATGGGAATGTAAATTTTTTAAAACCTCTAACATATTTAATAGGTTTCCCAAAATAGAATTTCCGCTTTAAAATTGTCTTTTATTTCTTTGACATGTTTAGTTACATGGGAAGCATTGTCAAAATAAAAAAAATGTTTAATGATCTTCAGGTTATATTTTAGTGAATAATATTAATAAATGTTCCAAAATTGTATGGAATTTCTAAAATTCTAATATGTCTGAGTATATGCTATCAATCATAATTATGGTTATTAGGTTAAGTTATTGTAGGCCACAGAAATAACCAAATTTCCTTGTATAAAGCTACTAACCCAAGTAGAACCAAAAATTAATTGGATACCAAAAAAAAATTATACTTTGTCAGATTTTCTTGTTAATCCAGCTGATACTGAAATAGTTTAGAAGTACAATTAATGAACTCCACAGTCTAAGTCAAATTACCTATGATAACCCATCAGTTATCAGTGGTATGCACCTAATTGGGAGAAACAACTGATATTAAAGAGGATATAAGTCTAATGTTAATTAAGCATGGACTCATAGAGAACCAGGATGGCCACCTTGTCCTTCCTGAGTCCTTAAAGCTTTTATTATTAAAAGTTCTGTATTCCATGACTCATCATGGAAAAGATAAAATAACCCAAATTGAATATATTGGTGTGGTGTCTTATAAATTGCTAAAGTAATTTATAACCAATGCTTGTTCCCATATTCCTGGGAAAACAATCAAAGCTTCAGGTACATTTGGTAACCTGATGGGCCATTTAAACATTTTATAAAAGGATTTCATTCAATTGTTATTTTCAATGCATGTTTTCTGGTTGTGTAGAAGCTCTCCCATGCAACAGGGCTGTTATAACACTAAGTTATTATGCCACAGTGTATTTTCGCCAGGTAAAGAAAGCTTTTTATGGTTCACCGAGACAATTACCCCCTATACAATCTACAACCCAAAGATAGGACTTTTTTTTTTTTTTTTTTTTTTTTTGAGACAAAGTCTTGCTCTGTCTCCCAGGCTGGAGTGCAGTGGTGCAATCTTGGCTCACTGTAACCTTTGCCTCCTAGGTTCAAGCAATTCTCCTGCCTCAGTTTCCCAAGTAGCTGGGATTACAGGCATGCACCACCATGCCCGGCTAATTTTTGTATTATTATTATTATTAATTATTACTTTTAGTAGAGATGGGGTTTCGCTAAGTTGGCCAGGCTGGTCTTGAACTCCTAACCTCAAGTGATCTGCCTGCCTCGGCCTCCCAAAGCGCTGGATTTACAGGTATGAGCCATCGCACTGGACCCAAAGATTGGATCTTCTGAGAACATCAGAGAAAGACTGTCCTTGCCACCCACATTGCAGCAAAACTTTCGAACCTTGAACTCTGGGTTCATAATCTCACAACTGAGAAGGGTCCGTCCACAGTCTTGGAACTGTACATCCACTGGAACCCTTAAGGTAAAAGTAACGAGGGAATTTTCTCCCTAGAAGAAGATGGCATCCTTGATGTAAACAGCTTTTCAAGAGTTCACAGATTAAGACTTCTACTATCATGAGACTCTTATCTTTGAATATGTTTTCTTGCTTATGCCTCTATGAACAATAGAAGTAGAAAAGTGGTCTGTTATGTGCACTTATAGGGTATAATTTTATTTGTGAAGGAGTTTGGAGCCAGCCTTATACATGGATAACCTTATACTTTGAAAGATAAAAGATGAAGGCCCAATGTAGGTGAGAAACTTTAATGGTACATACATTGCCTCGTAATCAGTTGGAAACAGAACATTGGTTCACTCTTCTTCACCCACATCACAGGTTAAAGAGAACATTGTCAGAAGGCCTTCACTCTTCTAGAAAGGCATCATTTGTTAGGTCCTTTTTCCATTGTTTGGAGTAAAAGAAGCAATGTAAAAGGAGAAATGTATCCCTCATGATAGGTTCTATAGCAAATTCCACCATAAAGGCTACAGTTACACAAAAGACTTTAAATTCTCTTGTGAAAGTTATGATAGAATTGGCTGAATAGAGAAGTATCTGTGCAGCTGCTGGCACTTATGGCCTATGGAGGAAACATCGGGTATTATAGAGATTCAGGTGTAGCTGATTAATGAAGAAACTGCCTAGTTAAGGGAATAGACTCTTTATCGAGCTCATTCTTGTATCTATTTGATTTTAGGAGGTTTGGTTTATGTGGATCCTGGGTAAGGAGCATACTCCAAACCAAACTCTTAGTCATAATAATAGTCTCCCTGGTGCACTGTCTTCTCTCAGAGGTTGTTTTTTTTTTTTTTTTTTTTTTTGAGATGGAGTCTTGCTCTGTTGCCCAGGCTGGAGTGCAGTGGCAGGATCTCCGCTCACTGCAAGCTCCATCTCCCGGGTTTATGCCATTCTCCTGCCTCAGCCTCCCAAGTGCTGGGACTATAGGCACCTGCCACCATGACTGGCTAGTTTTTTTTGTATTTTCAGTAGAGACGGGGTTTCACCATGTTAGCCAGGATGGTCTCGATCTCCTGACCTCGTGATCCGCCCACCTCAGCCTCAAAGTGCTGGGATTACAGGCGTAAGCCACCGTGCCCGGCCCTCTCAGAGGTTTTAAATGCTTGCATGCAGCCATCTCTAGAATGTCAAATGGTTTCTCTTCAACTGGAATGACAAGAGCTGAAAGAAATGTGTGACTATAAGGCCACTGATGAATGACAGGCTGAGACCAGAAACCCAAAATGATGGTAACTGAGAGCGTCGCTAAGGCCCTAAGTTTTGGTCATACTCTCATCTAAGTGAGAAACTGACCAAAAAGGGAATTTTTTAAAAAACAAAATTGTGGGAGGCCATTGTTTTGGATTGAGCTTATGCACTAGGCCTCAAAAGACCAAACCAAACCAAACTGGAGTCGCTTGTGTTAAAACTTTAAGGAAACACAGGTCCTAGAACAGACCAGGTTTTGTTTTTCTCCGGCAAATCTCTAGAACAAACATTCCTGACAGCATATGTAGACACCCCCTGAAGTTCCCATTAAATCTTTTAACCAAATTCATTTCTTCTCACATAGAGACCATCAAGCTTCAGATAATCATGCAACAAAGGTTCCAGGCAGTTCCAGGTGAAGACATCACCCCTGGCCACTAAGGAGCTACCCTGCCTCCACTAGACAGAGCAGGGTGAGAGTTCCATAATTCCCGACAGGTAGGGACTACCCCCTAAGCCAGCAGAAAGCAGTTAGAGGAGAAAGACCATCAGTCCCTCCACCTGCCATAAAGATTTATGAGATCACACCTCTCGGGGGGAAATGTGGTAGGAGAACAGGGTCTGGAGGCAGGAAACATAAGGCCATTTCATGCTGACTTCCTAGAACTAAATGAAATGGAAACACTTCAGCTATGACAGGTAATATCCTTTCTATTTACACAGGGCATAAGCCGAGTAAATAACTCTGTAATGTTACTTCATCCTTTTCATTTACATAGGGCATACCCCAGGTAGCCAATAGAAACCTCTAGAGGGTATTTAAACCCTAGAAATTTCTGTAATGGGGCTCTTGAGCCCCTATGCTCAAGCCCGCTCCCACCCTGTAGAGTGTACTTTCATTTTCAATAAATGTCTGCTTTTACTGCTTCCTTCTTTCCTTGCTTTGTTTGTACATTTTGTCCAATTCATTTTTCAAGATGCTAAAAACCTTGACACCCTCCACTGGTAACACTGGGAGTGGCCCATCCTCACTGCTGTGCACTGTGGCCAAGAGAGCCTCCTGGGGCCGAGGACCCAGCTAGGCCATCACGCCAATTGCTCTCAAGAAAAGGGGCACCAGGCAAACTGCCTGTGGCCCCGAGCAAAAGCTCCTTGGCTGAGGCCTCCATTAGTCTCACCCAGATCATGGCCACCACCAGACTCCTGAGCCATGACTTCCTGTACGGAACGTGCCAGGTGTCCTGGCTGGCCACCTCATCCTCAGTGCCTATTTCTGGGGCTTCCACATCCCGACCCAGCCACGGGCCCCACTTCCCTTGGGCCTCCAGAGAGCCTGGATCTATCTGGGCACTGGCCCTAGTCCTGCCTGGTCCCCTATAGCACTCCCAAGCCGCTCCTCCCCAGGCAAGCACAGGGAAGGGTGCGTGGGATTGCCAAATGATTCCTCTTGATGGCAGTATTGCTCCAGAAATGCCCACCTGCCCTTCCCCCAGGTCCACTCCCTCTGCCCTTTGCTAAGAAAAAAAAGCCAACCATGCTCTGAACATGGCTGATCACCATCTCAGCCACTTTTGGCCAGCTCTGGCCCACCTGCGGGACCCTGTCCTGGGGAGAATGGCCTTGGCGGGGTCCTCTTAGCCTGCCTTCCTGACAAACAGGGAAGTGGTCCCCTTGAACCGTCCAAGGGATGGACCCAACCTAAACACATCCCTAACTGTGCCTTTAGCATGGGAGGATGGTGGAGCCCTCAGGGAAGAGAAGAAAATTGGGCACGCAGTAGGATCTGAGCCCAACCCCTGCTTTCCAGGAGACATATGCACTTGGGCATTCTCACGGGTCACTGCAAGGGCAGCTTGACCAAGAGGTCAAAGGCGACCAGAGTCCCACTGTCCCCTGGAGGTTGGGATTCAAACTTCAGGTGAACATACAATTTTGAGATATGCTACTGCAGTTTTGAATAAACATGGTGGTAAGCAGAGTCCCTAGCCTAGGCTTCCTGTGCCTTTCAGCTCAGGCTCCCTGGCTGGTTGTCTCCTCCTGGTGCCTGTGTTTGGAGGTTGCAAAGTCTGAGCTGTTCCCAGGAGATGCTTTATATATGCATTTTGGAGTGTGGTTCTGCTGCGTGTCCCCTCAGCCTAGGACTTTGTTTTCCATTTCCAATGCACCACAGGAAGGTTTGATAGGGAAGGATGAGGAGTGGTGAGGTGAGTCAGTGTGGGAGAAAATAGGAAGTTGGAGGAAGATGGAAGAGGGGAAGAGGGGAAGATGGGTGACTGGTTTGGGAAAGAGTTTCCTTTAGATGGCAGTATTTTACCAGAAATGTTAACATGCCCTTTGGTGCCACCCACTCAGTTACCTCTTCCTCCATCATTTGCCACTGAAAAAAAGCCAACCAGCATTAAAGTGATTGTCACTAAGTGACTCCCAGCTCTCACAGTTGGTCCTCCAGTGTGCAGGGCATCTTTCTGGTAGAATGGTCTTTAGCTTCCTCTCAGAGAAAAATAAATTTGTCCCCACCATGTAACTCTAGGAATGGATCCAAACATATCTACCCATGGTTCTATCTTTAACACTGGATCTGGTCAAGACTATAGGAAATGTCTTTAGTCTGGGCACAGAGTTGAAGTCAAATCTACTTTGGACCAGTGGGAACATTCTGTCTTGGGCATTTTTACTATAATATAATTTAACCTTGAGGTCTCAGGCAGCTAGACACAAAGAGAGGCAGCCCTGAGGCATCAGGACTGGCATGAAGTATGATGCAAAACTGCCATCCCAAGACAACAGGGCCTGAGGACCCAGCTCTTCTCACAATGCTGTCCTCTTGTCTTCAGGCTACGATGGTCCTACTTTTAGGTCAGTTAGATATAAGATCTCAGAATACTTGGCACTTGAAAACTCTATTCAAACCTCTGCACTAAAGGACTTACCAAAATCTAGAATGTCTTCTAGCAGTGTCCCTGGGATGGCCCAGCCCTACTTATCATGTTTACCACAGAATTCTCACAGTTGAGAAAAAAATGTAGTTTTTTTTTCTAGCTAACACATACTTGATAATATTTAAACTTCCTTTCTTAGAGCACTCCTAAAAAGAGCTTACAATCTCCTAAAAAGAGATCTTTGGGTCATTGATGAAATTAAGACAGAATTTTTTTTAAAAAATTGAAATCAGGAGAGAGACAGCATCATGACAGACAGAAGGCAGGACTAGATTATAGCTCCGGACAGAGCAGCATGCAGCGTCTTGCATTGTGAATTTTAGCTCCAGATCAACTGCAAGAACAAACCAGCAATCCTGAGAGGATTCACAGACCCTCTAAAGGAAACAGACTGCACCTGCAGGACCCAGGAGACACCCCAAATACTATGAGTGCCCCAACTGTAGAAGTGGGAAAGGGAGACCCCCTTCCCCCTTCTCCTGAGCACACCCCGACTGGAGAAGCCGAAGGTCAGTTTGCAGGAGAGGTTTCCGACTTTACCTGCAGCTGAGTCAAGTTAGAGAGATGAGTAAAATACAGGGGTAGAGGAAGCAGCAGAAAGGCCCTGGGAGCTCACTGGGTCCCCAAGCAGCCCATTCCTGCCTGGCACCACAGGGATCCATCGGAGGGTGGCCAGAGGAGCAAGGGGTAAAACTCCACAGGGAGAAAGAATTCTCTAGCTGAACTTTGTAACAATTTGAATGGGGTGAGAAGCCTCCTGACCAGAACTCAGGGGAGGGTGTGAATCAGGCTTGCAGACTTCACAGGCGGTGGAAGAACTTTTCTCTTGCAGCTGGGAGGCAGATAACCTTGGGCAAGTTTTCAAGCCCAACTTGACCACTGCCTGGAAATAGACTCAGGGCTGTTTGCGGGGGCACAGTGGACATGAGACTGGCCCTACCATTTGTGTGGGAGCTGGGTGAGGCCTGTGACTGCCAGCTTTCCCTCACTTTCCTGACAACCTGCATGACTCAGCAGAGGTAGCCATAATCTTCCTAGGTACACAGCTCCAATGACGTGGGAATCTCACCCCCATCCTCCACAGCAGCTGGAGCAAGACCCACCCATGGAGAGTATTTACTGAGCTCAGACATGCCTAGCCCCACCCCTACTTGATGGTCCTTCCCTGTCCACCCTGGTAGTGTAAGACAAAGGGTATATAATCCTGGGAGTTCTAGGGCCCTACCCACTACCAGTCCCTCTCCACACTACTATAGCTGATGATTTCTGGAAAGCACCACCTCCTGGCAGGAGGCCAACCAGCATAAAAATAGAGCATTAAACCACCAAAGCTAAGGACCCTCATGGAGTCCATTGCACCCTCTGCCATCTCCACTGGAACAGGCACTGGTATCCATGGCTGAAAGACCCATAGACAGTTCACATTACAGGACTCTGTGCAGACAACCCCCAGTACCAGCCTGGAGCTGGGTAGACTCACTGGGTGGCTAGACCCAGAAGAGAGACAACAATCACTGCAGTTTGGCTCACAGGAAGCCACATCCATAGGGAGAAGAGAGTAGTACATCAAGGAAACACCCTGTGGGACCAAAGAATCTGAACAACAGCCTTCAGCCCTTGACCTTCATTCTAACAGAGCCTACCCAAATGAGAAGAAACCAGAAAACCAACCCTGGCAATATGACAAAACAAGGCTCTTCAACCCCCCCCCCAAAATCACACTAGTTCCCCAGCAATGGATTCAAATCAAGAAGAAATCGCTGATTTACCTGAAAAAAATTCAGGTTAGTTATTAAGTTAATCAGGGAGGGACCAGAGAAAGGCGAAGCCCAATGCAAGGAAATCCAAAAAATGATACAAGAAGTGAAGGCAGAAATATTCATGGAAATAGATAGCTTAAAGAAAAAACAATAAAAAATTCAGGAAATTTTAGACACACTTTTAGAAATGTGAAATGCTCTGGAAAGTCTCAGGAATATAATTGAACAAGTAGAAGAAAGAAATTTATAGCTCAAAGACAAGGTCTTCGAATCAACCCAACCCAACAAAGACAAAGTAAAAAGAATAATAAAATATAAACAAAGTCTCCAAGAAGTCTGGGATTATGTTAAACAACTGAACCTAAGAATAATTGGTGTACCTGAGGGAGAAGAGAATTCTAAAAGCCTGGAAAACATATCTTGGGGAATAATCAAGGAAAACTTCCCCAGCCTTGCTAGAGACCTAGACATCCAAATATAAGAAGCACAAAAAATACCTGGGAAATTCATTACAAAAAGATCTTTGCCTAGGCACACTGTCATCACTTTATTCAAAGTTAAGATGAAGGAAATAATCTCAAGAGCTGTGAGACAGAAGCACCAGGTAACCTATCAAGGAAAACCTATCAGATTAACAGCAGATTTCTCAGCAGAAACCTTATAAACTAGAAGGGATTGGGGCCCTATCTTCAGCCTACTCAAACAAACAATTATCAGCCAAGAATTTTGTATCCAGCGAAACTAAGCATCATATATGAAGCATATATGAAGGAAAGATACAGTCGTTTTCAGACAAACAAATGGTGAGAACACTCGCCATTACCAAACCACCACTACAAGAACTGCTAAGAGGAGCTCTAAATCTTGAAAGAAATCCTGGAAACATATCAAAACAGAACCTCTTTCAATCATAAATCACATAGGACCTATAAAACAAAAATACAAGTTTAAACAATCATTTACTATGTCATTTTTCTTTACCTTGAAGAACATAAACTGTTATTTCAGTTCTACAAATCAGCAAGATATTATTTATGGCAAGAAATATTCCATTGAAATGTGCTGTAATGTGGGAAAATGTAAATGTTTTTCATGGTTTCTACCAATGTGAAATAAAACTTAATTCTGACTTTTCTGCGGAAAAAAAAAGCAAAAACAAAAAACAAAAAACACCAAGTACACAGACAACAAAAAGCACAATGAAAGTAATGGTACCTCACATTTCAATACTAACATTGAATGCAAATGGCCTAAATGCTCCACTTAAAAGATACAGAATCACAAAACGGATAAGAACTCACCAACCATCTGCTGCCTTCTGGAGACTCACCTAACATATAAGGACTCACATTAACTTAAAGTGGTGGAAAAAGGCATTTCATGCAAATGGACACCAAAAGTGAGCAGGGGTAGCTATCCTTATAACAGGCAAAACAAACTTTCAAGCAACAGCGGTTAAAAGAGACAAAGAGGGACAGCATATAATGGTAAAAGGCCTTGTGCAACAGGAAAATATCACAATCCTAAACATATATACACCTAACACTGGAGCTCCCAAATTTATAAAACAATTACTAATAGACCTAAGAAATGAGATAGACAGCAACACAATAATAGTGGGGGACTTCAATACTTCACTGACAGCACTAGACAGGTCATCAAGACAGAAAGTCAACAAAGAAACAATGGATTTAAACTATACCTTGAAACAAATGGACTTAAGAGCTACATACAGAACATTTTCTCCAACAACCACAGAATACACATTTTATTCAACAGCACATGGAACTTTCTCCTCAGATAGGCCATAAGATAGGCTTCAAAACAAGCCTCAATAAACTTAAAAAAAATTGAAATTATACCAAGCACTCTCAGACCATAGTGGAATAAAACTGGAAATCAACTCCAAAATAAACCTTCAAAGCCATGCAATTACATGGAAATTAAATAACCTGCTCCTGAATGAGCATTGGGTCAAAAATGAAATAAAGATGGAAATTTAAAAATTCTTTGAATTAAATGACAATAATGACACAATCTATCAAAACCTCTGGAATACAGCAAAGGTGGTGCTAAAAGGAAAGTTCATAGCTATAAACACCTACATCCAAAAGTCTGAAAGAGCACAAATAGACAATCTAAGGTCACACTTCAAGGAACTCGAGAAATAATGACAAACCAAACCCAAACTCAGCAGAAGAAAGGAAATAACCAAGATCAGAGCAGAACTAAATGAAATTGAAACAAAAAAAATACAAAAGATCAATGAAACAAAAAGCTGGTTCTTTGAAAAGATAAATAAAATTGATAGACCATTAGTAAGATTAACCAAGAGAAGAGAGAAAATCCAAATAACCTCGCTAATAAACAAAACAGAAATTATTACAACTGACACCACTTAGATACAAAAGATCATTCAAGGCTACTATGAATGCCTTTATGCATATAAACTAGAAAACCTAGAAGAAATCGATATATTCCTGTAAAAATACAACTCTCTTAGCTTAAATCAGAAAGAATGAGATACCCTGAACAGACCAATAACAAGCAGCGAGATTGAAATGGTAATTTAAAAATTACCAACAAAAAAAGTCCAGGATCAGATAGAGTCACAGCAGAATTCTACCAGATATTCAAAGAAGAATTGGTACCAATTCTTTTGACACTATTCCACAAGATAAAGAAGGAACCCTCCCTAATTCATTCTATGAAGCCAGCATCACCCTAATACCAAAACTAGGAAAGGACACAACCAAAAAAGAAAACTACAGACAGATATCCTTGATGAACACAGATGCTAAAGTCCTTAGCAAAATACTAGCTAACTGAATCCTACAACATATCAAAAACATAATCCAGCTGGATCAAGTGGGTTTCATACCAGGGATGCAGGGATGGTGTAATATATGTAAGTCAATAAATGTGATACACCACATAAACAGAATTAAAAACAAAAATCACATGGTCATCTAAATAAATGCAGAAAAACCATTTGACAAAATCCAGCATCCTTTATGATTAAAACCCCCAGCAAAATCAACATACAAGGGACACACCTTAATGTAATAAAAACCATTTGTGACAAACCCACAGCCAACATAATACTGAATGGGGAAAAGTTGAAAGCATTCCCTCTGAGAACTGGAACAAGACAAGGATGGCCACTCACCACTCCTTTTCAACATAGTACTGGAAGTCCTAGCCAGAGCAATCAGACAAGAGAAAGAAATGAAGGACATCCAAAATGGTAAAGAGGAAGTCAAACTGTTACTGTTTGCTGATGATATGATTGTTTACCTTGAAAACCCTAAGGACTCCTCTAGGAAGCACCTAGAACTGATAAAAGAATTCAGCAAAGTTTCCGGATACAAGATTAATGTACAGAAATCAGTAGCTCTTCCATACAACAACAGTGACCAAACAGATAAACAAATCAAGAACTTAACTCTTTTTACAATAGCTGCGGGGAAAAAAAACAACAACAAAACAAAAACAAAAAAAAAAACAACACTTAGGAATATACCTAACAAAGGAGTCGAAAGACTTCTACAAGAAAACTACAAAACACTGCTTAAACAAATCATAGATGACACAAACAAATGGAAACACATCCCATGCTCATTGATGAGTAGAATCAATATTTTGAAAACGACCATACTGCCAAAAGCAATCTATAAATTCAATGCAATCTCCACCAGAACACTACCATAATTCTTCACAGAGTTAGAAAAATCAATCCTAAAATTCATATGGAATCAAAAAAGATCCCACATAGCCAAAGCAAGACTAAGCAAAAATAACAAATCTGGAGGCATCACACTACCTGATTTCAAACTATACTATAAGAACAGTCACCAAAACAGCGTGATACTGGTATAAAAATAGGCACATAGACCAATGGAACAGAATAGAGAACCCAGAAATAAACCCAAATACTTACAGCCAACTGATCTTCGACAAAGCAAACAAAAACAAAGTGGGGAAAGGACACACTTTTCAACAAATGGTGCTGGGATAATTGGCTAGCCACATGTAGAGGAAAGAAACTGGATCCTCATATCTCACCTTACACAAAAATCAACTTAAGATGGATTAAGAACTTGAACCTAAGACCAAAACTATAAAAATTCTAGAAGATAACATTGGAAAATCCCTTCTAGACATTGGCTTAAGCAAGGATTTCATGACCAAGAACCCAAAAGCAAATGTAATAAAAACAAAGATAAATAGCTGGGACCTAATTAAACTAAAGAGCTTTTGCATGGCAAAAGGAACAGTCAGCAGAGTATACACAAAACCCACAGAGTGGGAGAAAATCTTCACAATCTATACATCTGACAAAGGACTAATATCCAGAATCTACAATGAACTCAAATCAGTAAGAAAAAAACAATCCCATTAAAAAGTCGGCTAAGGACATGAATTGATAATTCTTAAAAGATATACAAATGGCCAATAAACATATGAAAAAATGCTCAACATCACTAATGCTCAGGGAAATGCAAATCAAAACCACAATGCAATACCATCTTACTCCTTCAAGAATGGCCATAATAAAAAAATAAAAAAACAGTAGATGTTGACATGGATGCAGTGAACAGGGAACATTTCTACACTGCTGGTGGGAATGTAAACTAGTACAGCCACTACGGAAAACAGTGTGGAGATTTCTTAAAGAACTAAAAGTAGAATTACCATTTGATCCAGCCATCCCACTACTGGGTATCTACCCAGAGGAAAAGAAGTCATTATTCAAAAATGATACTTGCACACACATGTTTATAGCAGCACAGTTCACAATTGCAAATTCGTGGAACCAACCCAAATGCCCATCAATCAACAAGTGGATAAAGAAACTGTGTTATATTTGATGGAATACTATGCAGCCATAAGAAGGAATTAATTAATAGCATTTGCAGTGACCTGGATGAGATTGGAGACTATTATTCCAAATGATGTAACTCAGAAATGGAAAACCAAACATCATGTTTTCACTGATATGAGGACACAAAGGCATAAGAATGATACAGTGGACTTTGGGGACTTGTGCAGAAGAGTGGGAGGGAGGCGAGGAATAAAAGACTACAAATATGGTGCAGTGGTATACTGCTTGGGTGATGGGTGTACCAAAAATCTCACAAATCACCACTAAAGAACTTACTATGTAACCAAATACTACCTGTGACCCCAATAACTTATGGAAAAAATTTCAAAAAATTTCAGTTGCCAATAAATAAACACTTAAAAAAATTGAAATCAATGAAAATGGAGACACAAAATAACCAACCTGCAGGGATACCTCCCAAACACTTTTGATTGAATGTGCCTATCATCCTGGTGGCCAAGAAGAAATCCCTGCACACTCTGCCTAGTGCTGAGCTGCATAAATCAGGAATCCAGGCACACAGAGTCATGGCTCAGAAAGGGCCAAAGACTGCCTGCGTGAGGTTTTCCAGATGCTGATGTGTTATGCAGCTGAACTGCCACAGTTCCTACATCTCCCATGAGCCTAGAAAATGGCAGACTCGAGCTCTTGCAAGGACCCCACTAGACAGCCTGGTGTCTGCCTTCACAGTCAGCGACCACGACCTGGCAGCTCTGGCTCTAGCATTGTGTTCCGTGTGTGTGTGTGTGTGTGTGTGTGCGCGCGCGCGGTGTGTGTGTGTCTGTCTGCCTGTCTCTGGCTCTAGAATTGTGTTCCGTCTGTGTGTCTGGCTCTAGCACTGTGTTTCTACTGTGTGTGTGTGTGTGTGTCTGGCTCTAGCATTGTGTTTCTACTGTGTTTGTGTGTGTGTGGCTCTAGCACGGTGATTCTACTGTGTGTGTGTGTGTGTGTGCGCGCGCGCGCACACACACACACACACATGCCTCACTGAATGCCAAGGGTCCCCTGAGCATCCTTTCCTGTAGAGCCAGGTCTCAGAATGTGTAACAGTGCCTGTTCAATTCCCCTTACCCCAACAGAAATAGACTTTAAGAGTCCACAGAAAAAGACATACAAGGATCTTAAAATATACAAAAATATCTTTTAGCGACTCATAAGAAGGGAAATCAAAACAAAAACTACACTGTTGTATAATTTTTCACATATTATCAATTTCCAACCATGACCTGTCCCCCTCTGAGGAACCTGTACTACCTACTATTTCCTGACCCATCTTGGTTCTGGCTCCTCTCAAGTGTTCTCAAGTAATCACACTATTTTCTTGCTAGAATTTGTCCTACACATGCAGATAGCCAAATGCCATCTCACAAGGAATGTAAAACCACATGTTCTGGTGCAATTGCTTTGTTTTCTTTACCGTTAAAATGGTTATAATCCCACTTAAAACACAGTGCAATTCACTATGCGAAATGACCTCTCATGCAATCAAATCTCCATAGAACTTTGGTCAGTTTTTCTAATTTTGGAAATAAGGCCAAACTTTTGCCTTAGTATCAATAACAAGAAACACAAAGCACAACAAGAGCGAACACACAAACACTCTTAACATCTTCATCTAGAAATAACCAGTATAACTGTGACAATTGTGTCTTCTTTCCTTTTGGACTTTTTTTGTCTACATATAATTTGTTGAGCTTATATTTTGTATTATTACCACTATCTTTTGTAATTTTTGATACTTATTTAAGAAGCTTCATTCTTTCTTTTTCTTAATAATCATGGCCGTTTCAGATCCTCCCATTTCACAGAACTGAAAAAAGATGAAAATGTGAGCGAGCCCCTGAAAATCTGGGGGGGGGGGTCTCTTTCCATGTCTTTAAATGCGTACGTAGAAAGGGAGCTGTATTGCTTTTAGGCCAAAATTTCATCCGAGGAAATGTACCCTCTTTAGGGGTACATTCAAGGGAGCCCAGCACTTGTGAGCACGCACGGCGGCCATGAGGTTTAACCACCACTCAGTCCAAACCCACAGAGCACGCGCACCCTCCTCCAGCCACGTAGGTGGGGAGAACTCGAGTGGGTGAAGGAATCCGTGTGCGCACCCTTCTCCTCCTGTTCGCCCCGCCCTTTGGCCACACAGAAACGCTTCCAGGCCAACCGACGAGGAAGGCTAGAGGGACTCTGCTAGGAGGCTCTCCCTACACTTGCCAGAACTGAAAACGTAGGCAGGGGTTAAAAACTCAGTGCTCCAAAAACGCAAGACCCCGACCCGCCCACATGGCCCCGACTCGGCCCTCGGGGACTCCCAGATAACTGCCTGACGCCCGAGCCGGTGGTGCGGCAGCCACCATTGCGCAAGTTCGAGCGCCCGGCTCTGGCTGCTCACATGATGGAGGATGGGGAAGGTCCTCTGCACCAGAAAGGCCGCCTATGGCACAGAACCCCTGCCCTACTTCCCCCAGCGTCAGGGAAAGGAAAGGCAAAGAAAGGAAAGACGAAGGAAGGAGACCTACCTAGCTGAGGCTGCGCGCCAGCGGGAAAGGTCCGACTACCTCTGATCTGCGTTCTGGGGACGGCTGGACCCCAATGCGCCCCCTGCGGCAACGCGACTCCCGCGTTGCCACAGGGTAGGCTGCCATCCCTCCCTCCATCTTCTGTGTCTCCTGTTCCCCAGAGGGGGTGGAAGCTGAAGGTCAGAGGAAGGGGAGGTGTTGGGAATCCGGGTTGTGTGGTGTCGGCTCCGCCCAGGGGAGGAGTGGGACATCTTAAGCCAGTCGTAGGTGCTTAAAGGGCCGGGAGAGGTGGGCTACGGAAAGTCAGGTGGGAAATCTTTCATCTTGGCCAGTTGCTCGGTAGAATCTATTTCTTTCCCTTAGAATAAGGTACTTGTTGCTAGGGGGCAAACGATGATTGAGTCAGAACAATACAATGGAATATCTATAGTTCAATATTCGCAAAACATTTAGACGTAAAAGAAATTTAAATATGCATATTTTCAACCGATAAGTTTGTATCATTACATTGACTGAGGTTACTAAAAGCCTCAATTGCTCCCTCCCCAGGTGAGAGGTAATGAGTAAGAGAAAAGGTCTGGGAGTATCTGGCCAGCAGGTAGTCTTGGGGTAGGGGCATGGGGCTGAGAGTGTGGGGTCAGTTGGTGGGGAGTGAAATGTGTGGTTCCCAAGACCAGACACTGCCGGTGCCCTATCACTCCCTGATTTTTGTCTGGAACTGTTAGGGGCCCAGTGCTGCTTCTGCGGCCATTCCAGGGGATGCTGCTGTTTGGCGCACACGCTGCCTAGGTGGGTGATGAAATGCTACGTCCGAAAGAGTGACAGCGACTCGAAGGTTTCCCCTGTCTGACCAGTGCCCTGATATCTTCTTTCTTTTGAAAAAAAAAAAAAAAGGAACACTTTTGTCTTGCAAAATAATATTCGCAGAATGAAGACACCTGTAGTGCATAAAGAAAAACGAAGATAACCCGTGATGACACCACTCAGAGGACTGTTAAATTGGGGCGTACATCCTTCTAGCACCTGATTTCTTAAGTTGGAGGGAGAGATGCAAATAAAGATCCTTTTAAAATAATAGTCTGGTGAGCTCCCAAGACCCATGGGAAGCATGCACGCTATTCAGTTGCCAACCTATTGATTGCGAAGATATTTTTGTGGACCCATTTAATTTTCTATTCATAATATAGTATTTGATGGACTTTTACTATTATTTTTTGTTTCACAAACCCAATGTTTTAGGACCTGATGGACTTTTACAAAAATTTTTCTGAAGAAAAATTTTAAGGAATGTTTTCCCTACAAATAAGTGTTTCAAGTGAGAACCAAAGTCACCGCTGCCCAGGTCCACTCCCCAGTACACCCACCTTAAAAGAAACACTTTAAAAAGAAATCCAAGGCCTCTACACCAACCTGAGGAGGGTACAACTGCACTTTTACCGCCTCCAACTCCTTAGAATTTTCTGCCTCCATTTCACTCCCCACCAACTGACCTTCACTCTCTCAGTCCCCCATCCCCACCCCACCCCAAGACCACCTGCTGGCCAGATACTCCCAAACCTCTTCTCTTACTCATTCCCTTGCTGTTTGGGCAGAGGTGGGTGGGAATTACCAGGAGGTAGGGGAAAGAGAATAAATGGGCATAGGTAATACTTTGTTCTGGTCAGACAGATGCCTTCACCGGCTTAGGGGAGAGTTGAGGGAGGGGTTAAGACTCTGCCACAATTCCACGTTGTAGAAAATGGAAAGTGGAAAGAGCTTCCCTCTGGTTCCCAGGTGGAATTAGCCGAGAAAGAATTGGGCTATGAATCTCAGCTGCACCTCTCTGGATGCCTCCCTGTTTTTCTCCTCCTTTATTTAATGTAGGAATGGCCATTGCCTGACACAGAATCAAGTCACAGCCTTTTTTCTGTCTGCATTACCTGAACCGACACAGATTCAATAAACACTCATTGTGCCAGGAAACCAAGGTCCACAGAGGCTAAAGCTTTGCCAAGGTGAACCGGAGTGTCACAGGATGAATCCAAACATGCTAGGCTGCAACTCCTTTGCGCTCTTCATGCAAATGGGCAAGCAGCTCCATAAAGGATGCTCAACATCATTCATTTAGGCAAATACAAAGCAAAATCACGAGGAGATACACTTCACACTTACTAGGATGGGTAGAATAAAAACAAAATTGAAAATAACAAGTGTGATGAAGATGTAGAGAAATTGAAACTGTCATACATTGCCGGTGGGAAAGTAAAACGATGTAGATATTATGGAAAGGAGTTTGGCACTTCCACAAAAAGTTAAACGTATAATTACCACGTGGTCCAGGAATTCCACTCCTAAGTATATATCCAAGATAACTGAAAAGATATTTGAACAAAAGTTATGCATGAATATTTGTGGCAGCATAATTCATAAAACCCAAAGGAGAAACAACCTAAATGCCCATGAACTGGTGAGTGTTTAAACAAATATGCTATATCCATACCATGGCTTATTATTTAGCCATAACATGGAATGAAGCACAGATACATGATACCACATGGATTTAACCTGGAAACTATTATAATACATTAAGAAACCAGACAAAAATGCATATTGCATGATTCCATTTATATAAAATGGCCAGAATAGGCAAATCTATACAGAGACATAGTGGATTAGTAGTTGCCAGGGGCTGGGGAAGGCTGAATAAGAAATGACTGCTAATAGAAATGGAGCTTTCATTTTAGAAAAATTTTCTAAAATTTGTTGTAATGGATACACAATTTTGTGAATGTACTAAAAAGCAATGACTTGTATACTTTTAAATGGTGAATTACATGGTATGTGAATTGTATGTCAATAATAAAATGTAAACCAGCACTTAGATTTAATAAAATTTAGGTACAAGATTTGTGGGAAATTTTATATCATGGGTGAATCAAGGTGAGAATGCTGTAACTCACTGATATGATATTTTCCATCAAATATATGAGAAACATATTATGTGAATGCTGATATCATGCAATCAGAGTACAAAGCATCAACTATGAATGTTCCTGCCAAAAAAATTGTACCTGAATCTAACCACATCCATAGATATTACTACAAGATATTCTGCTTATAAAGGAATAGGTTTTGCATTAGGATGGATACGGTAAAATGTAAAAAATGAATAATTCTACAGGACAAATAATAAACCAGTCTCTCACCAAAGGAATAGCAAAGAAAAGAGGGAGGGTGGTGGTGTTATAGATTTAAGAAGAAATAGGAGACTGGGCATAGTGGCTCATGCCTGTAATCCCAGCACTTTGGGAGGCCAAGGTGTGCAGATCACCTGAGGTCAGGAGTTCGAGATCAGCCTGGCCAACATGGCAAATCCCCATGTCTACTAAAAATACAAAAATTAGCCAGATGTGGTGGTGGGTGTCTGTAATCCCAGCTACTCGGGAGGCTGAGGCAGGAGAATCACTTGAACCCAGGAGGCAGAGGTTGCAGTGAGCAGAGATGCTGAGATCATGCCATTGCATTCCAGGCTGGGCAACAAGAGCAAAACTCTGTCTCAAAAAATAAAGAAAGAAAGAAAAAGAAAGAGAGAGAGAGAGGAAAGGAAAGGAAAGGAAAAGAGGAAATATTTGAATCAATGTTGTGTAGGAGGAGGCAGAGCAAGATAGCAGAATAGAAGGTTCCACCTATTGTCCCCACCCCTTGCAAGGACACCAATTTAACAACTATCTATACAAGAAAAACACTGTCGTAAGAACCAAAAATTAGGTGAGTACTCATAGGACCTGGTTTTAACTTTATATCACTGAAAGAGGCCCTGAAGAGGCAGGAAAAAAAACAGTCTTGAATTGTCACATCACCCCTCCCCCAACCCCTGGCAGTAAGTGTTTCTGTGTGCTGGTGGAGGGAGAGTGCAGCAATTGTGAGTCATTGAACTCAGTGCTGTCCTGTTAGAAAGGAAAAACAGACCAAACACAGCTGATGCTCCCCACCACCCCAACAGAGGGAGTATTTATATTAGCCCTTGCCAGAGGGGAATCTCCAATGCAGGCTAAAATGCCCTGGGGCCCTTGAAAGGCAGTTTAGGCCAAAAGTATTGCAACTTTTATTAGTCCTAGTGCTGAACTCAGACAAGAGACAGTAGTCTAGGGGGACACGTGACCTACTGACACAGCAGCCAGGGAAGTTAAGTGAGTGCTGGCCTCATCCCTCTACTAACCCCAGGCTGCACAGCTCATGGCTCCAACAGAGACCCCTTCCTTACACTTGAGGAGAGGGAAGAGTAGGGAGGACATTGTCTTGCAGCTTGGATAACAGCTCAGCAACAGCAGGATAGGGCACCAGTCAGAGTAATGATGCCCACTTTCCTGGCCCTAGCTCCAGGATGACATTTCCAGACATCTTCTGGGCCAGAAGGGAACCTGCTGCTTTGAAGGTAAGAATCCAGTCCTGGTAGCATTCATCATCTGCTAACTGAAGAGCCACTGGGCACTGAACAACCAGCAGAGATACCTAGGTACTATGTTGAGGGCCTTGGGTGAGGCTCTGAGACTTGCTAGCTTCAGGTACCAGCTTTGCCACTGAAGTATAGAGCACCAAGTGGGCTCTTGGAGTCCCTGATTCCAGAACTTGGTTTTTGGATGGTATTTTTGGATCTGCCCTGGGTCAGAGGGGAGCCCACTGCCCTGAAGGGTGACTCCCAGGCCAGGCAACATTTACCACAAGCTGACTCAAGATCACTTGGTCCTTAAGGGGACATTGGTGGTAGTCTGACAGTACTTCATATAAACCTGTGGTGGCAGTGGCCATGGAGTAAGGCTCTTCTGCCTTTGGAAACGGGTGGAAAGAGTGGGAAGGAACACATCTTGCAGTTTGAGTTCCAGTGCTGCAGCAGCACAACAGAACACCAGGTAGACTTTTAAGGTTTTTGACTCTAGTTCCTGGCTCCCTGCCAGCACTCTGGGCCCTCCTGGGGGCATGGGTAACTCACCACCCTGAAGGAAAAGACATAGGCCTGGCTCGCCTCACCACCTACTGACTGTAAAGCCCCAGGGCCTTGTGTGAACAGAGGCAGCAGCCAGGGAGTGATTACAGCAGGCCTTGGGCAAAACCTAGCATTGTGCTGGCTTCAGGGCTGATCCAGCACAATCATAGTGGTGGCGGTTGCAGGGGTGCTTGTGTCACTCCACCCTCAGCTTCAGGTGGTTCAGAATGGAAAGACACTTTGTTTGTTTGTGAGAAAGTAAGGGAAGAGAACAAGAATCTCTGCCTGGTAACCCAGAGAATTCTGTTAGAACTTTTTCAGAACCATCAAGGTGGTACCTGTATGAGTCTGTGGACCCACAATATTACTGGGCTTGGGATGCCCTGTAAAGCAGACACAGCTTTGATCACAACACCCAAGTCCTTTGGAATATCTGGAAAGCCTTCTCAAGAAGGACAGGTACAAACAAGACCAGACTGTAAAGACAATAAATACCTAACCCTTCTATGCCCAGACACAGACAGACATCTACAAGTATCAAGACAATCCCGGAAAACCTAACCTCACCAAATGAACTAAACCAGACACCAGGGACCAATCCTGGAAAAACAGAGATATGTGACCTTTCAGACAGAGAATTCAAAAGAGCTGTGTTGAGGAAACTCAAAAAAATTCAAGATAACAGAGAAGAAATTTAAAGTTCTATCAGATAAATTTAACAAAGAGATTAAAATAATTACAAAGAATAAAGCAGAAATTCTGGAGCTGAAAAATGCAATTGACATACTAAAGAATGCATCAGAGTTTTTTTTTTTTTTTTTTTTTTTTACAGCAGAATTGATCAAGCAGAAGAAAGTATTAGTGAGCTTGAAGACAGGCTACTTAAAAATAGACAGTCAGAGGAGACAAAAGAAAAAAATAAACAAAATAAAGCATGCCTACAGGATCTAGAAAATAGCCTCAAAATGCAAATCTAAGAGTTATTGGCTTTAAGGAGGAGGTAGAAATTAATAGGGGTAGAAAGTTTGTATAAAGGGATAATAACAGAGAACTTCCCAAGCCTATAGAAAGATATCAACATTCAAGTACAAGAAAGTTATAGAACACCAACCAGATTTAATTCAAAGATCACCTCAAAGCATTTAATATTCTGGCTCCTGAAATTCAAGGATAAAGAAAGGATCCTAAAACAGCAAGAGAAAAAGAACAAATAACATACAATGGAGGTCCAATATGTCCAAGACATAGTCAGTACAATAAAATAGAAAACAAAAAGTGAAAAAGCAGGGGGATGGACATAAGGTGTAGAATTTCTATTAGTTTTCTTTTTGTTTGTTTCTTTATGCAAACAGTGTTAAGTTGTTATAAGCTTAAAATGGGTTATAAGATAGTATTTGCAAACCTCATAGTAACCTCAAATCAAAAAACATATAATGGATACACAAAAATAAAAAGCAAGAAACTAAACTATATCTCCAGAGAAAATCACCTTCACTAAAGGAAGACAGAAATGAAAGAAAGAAGACCACAAAACAACCAGAAAACAAATAACAAAATGTAATTACCTGCATTTCCATCAATAAAGGAATGTTAAAATATTTTTTAAAAGTCGTGTGTAATACTTCTTTTGATCCTAAGAAGAACAAGTACAATTTAAGAGCCATATTTTGGTCAATCAGGGAAATTGAACATGGATATTTTTGTGTGCCCTTAGAGAATAATTCTAATTTCTGTTAGAGGCAAGGATGACATTTTGGTTATTTTTTCCTAAAATCCTATTGGTTAGAGTGTATATTATTGTAAACTGCATGGATTGAATATCTTGTTAGGATTCATACATGAAGTCATATGATAGTTGAAATATACTTTGAGATATTTCAGTAGAAGTGAAAATAAAACATAATTTGTAAATGTTGATTATTGTTAAACTGGTTGCTGAGTACATGGAATTTTTTCCACATTGTTCTATCACCTTTGTTTCAAAATGTTCGCGATAAAGAGTAAACAAGAACAACCAAATCAGAATTTGAGTGTATTAAGAAATATGAGTAAAAATACCAAAAATAAGAGTTGATTATGGTCACATTTACAGAGCTATAATTGCTTGAGTTTCAAGGCAGAATTGGAAAACATGATTTTTGTTTTAAGTATTGTCAAAATATTCAACAGCTTAATGGAGGTACAAAGTATCAATTTTTAATGGGCCTTTATATCAGAATGTAATATGTGGAAGGAAATTCTGAAAGAAGTTCACTATATTGATGACAAGGTCACCTCTGGGAATGACACAAAGATTAGAATTGTTGAACTTTCATTAATTCCTTCAGCAAACATTTGTTGAACACCTAGTGTATGGTGATCATATTCTTAATGCTGCAACTACAGCCATGAAATAAACACAAAAAACGATCCTATTCACATAGAGCTCACATTCTAGTAGAGGAGACTGATAAAACAGGATCAATAAGTTATGTATGTATCATAATAGTCATATGCGCTACACAGCAAACTGAGCAGGGAAGGGAACACTGTGGGATGGGTGTGGGATTTTCATCTCTGGGTAGATTGTGCAGCTAAGGCCTCGCTAAGAAGGAGACATGGGAGAAAAGATCTGAAGGAGGAGATGAGAGAGCTCCATGGATATCTGGGGATGGGGGTTGCAATGAGAGAGAGTATCCTGATCTTCCCATGGATTTTTCCCTGTCAATGTATTCATCACTGACAAACAGTAATGTTTCCCCAATTTTGATGCAAGACGTGCTTCGTTGTTGTTTGGCAATGTGAATTGGTCAGCATTAAGGCCACAGTTACCTTCATGGTTCACACAATTAGTACATGGTTTCAGATCTTTGATGCTTTGAACGAATTCAGGGTGTAGCCACACATAGTAACTGTGCATGCTTCTATAAAATAGATCTTTTGGGAATATGTATAAACAGGTCCTTGCAATAATCTCAAATGGTTCAGGCCAGTTTTGCAAGGCGTTTATAGCTACTTGAGTAGCAGTGCTGTATGAATTTCAAACCTCTACTTCACACCCAATGTCAGGATACTCAGCCATCACTGGAATAAAAAAAGCTACAAGTGGGAGAACACTTCTGTATCCCAAGATGTAAAGCTAACAAGATATTTATTAATATTTCATTAAATTCAGAGACAATAGCTTAAGCAAGCAGAAAAGGTGGATCAGTATTGTTGACCACAAGCCTGAATTCCAGCACATCACTTTGTGAAGTCACTAATTGACCACAGTTGATTACATCAAAATTTGTTTTTCCCTATGAAGTCCAGACCATCTTCAGCCTTAGGCTTATTTCTCCTAAGATTGTATAATGGCTTGAAGGTTTTTAAAATTGTTGTTCTTGCTGTATTTTTAAACAGTTAAAGAGACTGGGTTTTCTTTTTTTATGCTGAATTCTTAGGAAAATTGGTTTTTATCTGGCTAAGGAACTCAACAACACTTTCTTTTCTTCTCAGGTTACAGTATTGTAAGAAAATATAAGAGTGTGATTTACAGTTGGTGTGGCCCTGTGGTGGTGTGGACCCAGACTTCAAGCACAGATGAAGATCATACACTGATTTACCACATCAGATAGGTATGTAACTCAATTATCAATTGTACTTTGATTGTGTTTTACCCCATTCTGTACAATAGGCTCCTTTCTAAAGGTAAGTATCTCACTGAACTTCCTCTCTTAATATCTGGTTAGGCACTGTGTCCATGTATAGCCCATGGCTAGAGTTAATTATGATGATCATGAGCATTTCCCTTGTGTGATTGAAAATAACCTATTTGGTAAATTCCAATATTGCTGAACTCAGTTTAGACTCAAAGCCCCAGAAAAGGTCACTATTTAACTAGAGCAGAATGCCTTGGTATTTAGAAGCATGACTTTCTATAATGTTTTCACTGGTATCATGGAGATTTGGTAGGAACTGTGTTCCTTAGGCTTTGACTTGCATCATAGCTACATTCTCAGTGCTCAACATTGAGCAAAGATAGGCAGGGTTATTTCAGTAACCTGGGACCTTGCAAGGCTCTCAGAATAGCCTGATACTTCTATAAACCTTAGAGCTGGGAAAGAATTTGAGGTGACCCTGTTTGTCCCCTTGGATTGCTGAGAAAAGGACCCTCTAGCATCTTACAATGGAATCTCTGAAGGCTCTGTGAGCCTTCCCATGTGAAGTGTACTCCGCCACGTGGCCTTGTAGTTAAGCAGTTTACTTTACTGAAACCACTGTTGGAAAGGATTTGGCATGGACTTATTTGTGGTGCCTTTTAAGGAAGAAAACTACCACTATCAAATACCAGCTGCATAACATTCTTTCCTCCATAACACAGGGCAGATTCACAGTGACATTCATAGGTGAATATTATTTATGATGTATTATTCTTTTGTGATTTTAGTAATACACACTGTAGTTGATTTAAAATGTTATAAAAAAGTTTGATCAGGGAGTCATAAGGGACTGCTTCCAATCTTTCTATTGGCTTCTAATCTCTTATGGATCACATAGCACACACAGTCTCCCAGTGACCTGAGCTGGCTAGTTCAGGGTTCAACAGACACTGGCTTTGTGTGCTGTGCCCTTATGATTATGTTCTGTTAACCAAAAGCATTGGGGCAGAGAAAGATAATGAGACCAGGTAAAAGAGGATAGTCAGCATCACAAAGCCATTATGACTCATTAACTTGTCATCTCTGATTTTGACCAGATCATTTTACTGCTCCAGATTTGAATTTCCTCAACTAAAATAGGGTCAAATAAATGAATGGTTCTTAAAATATTATGATTAAGGACCTTTTGGGGAAGCTGGTGAATGATGTGGAAATTTTATTTTATTTATTTTTTATTTTTTTTTGAGGCAAAGTCTTGCTCTGTCACCCAGCTGGAGTGCAATGGTGCGTTCTCAGCTCACTGCAACCTCCGCCTCCCGGTTTCAAGTGATTCTCCTGCCTCAGCCTCCTGAGTAGCTGTGATTACAGGCACACACCACCACGCCTGGCTAATTTTTGTATTTTTAGTAGACACAGGATTTCACCATGTTGGCCAGGCTGGTCTCAAACTCCTGACCTCAGGTGATCCACCCACCTCGGCCTCTCGAAGTGCTGGGATTACAGGCGTAAGCCACCATGCCCAGCCTGGAAATTTTATTTTTAAAAATACATGCACATACAAAAAAAAATTCAGGAACTTCAAGGAAGTCTATGGCGTCCTCTCTAGAGAGCACCCAGACTTGAAGAGCTCAGTGTCTCTTCCAGTTTCACACATCTTTGATTCCAGTGTCTTTCATCATTCAAATTATATCAGATCTTCCAAATACTCTCCAATGTTTTTCCTTTAAATTTGCCGGGGCCTGTTGTGGGGTGGGGGGAAGGGGGAGGGATAGCATTAGGAGATATACCTAATGCTAAATGATGAGTTAATGGGTGCAGCCCACCAACATGGCACATGTATACATATGTAACAAACCTGCACGTTGTGCACATGTACCCTAAAACTTAAAGTATAATAAAAAGAAATTTGAATTAAAACAATGACCAATCATAGTCAGCAGTCAGCAAGATCTTGCTACTCTGCCCTCATCACTTACCACTTTTCTCCTTAGTTGCTTTGTCTTAGTCACACAGGTTTTCCTTTTTTTAAGCTGTGGTAGTACAGGTATAATTGACAGATGATAATCTGCCCTTAAAGTGTATGATTTGATAAATATTGCCATATGTGACAGTTGTGAAAGTATCAGCACAATGAAGAGGGCAGACATATTCATCACAATCTAAAGTTCCAAATCCCTCTGTATACACAATAATGAGACCTACATTGTTGCTCCAAAGAGGACTTTTTAGTTATTTATATTGTATTTAGGAATAATTTAGTATTCAGTCAGTTACATATGTGTTTTAAAAGCATGCACCTGGAGTGTTTGAATGTTCCTGAGAAATTCCTTTACTATGTATTTGTACTTCCCACTCCAGATCCAATGTTACTTAAATAAAATATTTTACTAGAAATCCAATAATCTTATTATATATTATTTTCTTGCAGCTTTTGGTTTTAGAGTAATTTTGAGTTATAATTATTTTCAAAATGGGGTCTTTGGCACACCTCAACCCATAATAAGCCATGAAAGAAAATTTAAAAATTATATAACCATGAAAGTTGAAAATATTTCAAATCCTTTTAAAACTCATGGGAATGTGGTCAAATATATTAATGTATACTTGGTTATGGGTCTTAATAAGCCCAGCATTGAAAACAGTAAGTTAGCTAAGGAAAGAATATGTGGTAGCTGATGTTTTATGTATGGTGTAAGTCAGTTTCTCTTAAAGCAATTGATAAAAGATTTTAATATGAAAAATGGTAAATTACATGCTCTGTATTTAAAAAAAAATTTTTTGATGGAGTCTCGGTCTGTAGCCCAGGCTGGAGTGCAGTGGTGCAATCTCAGCTCACTGCAACCTCCGCTTCCCAGGTTCAAGCAATTCTCCTGCCTCAGCCTCCCGAGTAGCTGAGATTACAGGTGTTTGCCACCACGACCAGCTAATTTTTGTATTTTTAGTAGAGACGGGATTTCACCATATTGGCCAGGCTGGTCTCAAACTCCTGAGCTAGTGATCTACCCACCTCAGCCTCCCAAAGTGCTATGATTACAGGCGTGAGTCACCACACCCAGCCTATATATATATATATAAATTTGTTTACCACAATAAAAGTAATAATCTGCATAGAATTAGAGGCTGGAAGCCACCTTATGCCTGAGGGATCTGATAATTTCTAATCACTTGTGTTCAATCTTAATAGATTTTTGGGGAACTAGGCAAAAGTTGAAAAAGTTAAAAAAAAGCAGTAGAAAATTCCAAAAATGTAAGATTATTGAGTATTTGATATAGTTGTTTTATTTATTTGTGTCATACATCCTTTCCCTTCTCTTTTGCAAGACCTTGTAGATATTGTTTTAACTACAGATCACTTTATATTTCTAGACCTAAAACATAATCACCACATATTGATTTGCTTGTCCTGATAAAGTCAGCATATGGTAATCTAACATTTCTTTTTGCATCACCTTTAATAGATATGAAAGAAAACCACTTGCCTTATTATATTAAAGTGGGAAATGACATGAAATAATATTAGGTTGCTGAAAGTTATCTTTAGAAACAATCAACCTAAATAAATCTCCATTGCATTCCTTCAACTTTCACTTCTTCATTATAGATAGTTCCTTTGTAGAACCATGGGATAGTTACCTAGTTCTATCTGCTATAGTCTTTAAGTCAATCTTGTTGATAGGAACAAATAACAAATAATAATCCCCACCTTCTTTGCTTAGAGTGAGCCCAATTAGCTTCTTGGAATTTTCTACTTTATAATTTTAATATGATACTACTACTACATAGAGGTTTGGTGAAATTTGAGGATGCCTTTTTCATGTTAATAATTTACATAAATGACTTTGAGCTAATGACAGCTTTACAAATATTTTAATGTTATATGTATATACACTATCTTATTTTATGAAAGCATACTTGTAATTATATTAGGCTCTATCCAAAGTTTTCTTTATTTTTCTTCCAGGCTGTATGAAACGTTAGGATAGTATTTCTCTCCTGCTGGTGGAAGAAAGAAGAATTGAAGAACAAGGCAAAAACTCTGATAGGAAACTAAAGTGCTTATATGTTACTGTCTTATCAATATTGACTTTTATTGGAGATTAGATTACTTTCCAGAAGTTTTATAAAATCACACAAGTTACTTTGGGACTTCTGAAGAAATGTCTTAGGTCTTTCTGCTTCTAGAATAGATTATAAGAGCTTGAACAGAAAATTTGCAAATTTGCAGTCAGTTTTATTGGTGGGAAAACTGTGCTTTTTAATAGACCTTTATGTGTTTAATGTTCTTAAGTAGCATATCCAAAACTTTCTTTCAGGATATTAGAATCCACTTAATTTGGGGCTAGCAATTTCACCAGAGACACAGGACTGAAGCAAATTGTGATTATTTATTTGCCAAAGATTTCTGTAAGATGGATTTTGGGAAAAGCAGCCCTAAAATTAATGAACACATTTCAGTATTTAATGCTTTTTCTCATCACCAACACTTAGAATGAAAGCATGTCTTCTCTTGTTTCTGGTCATTTAAAGAGGCATATGAAGTAGTAAAAACAGGTCATAGAATGATAGACACTCATTATGAGATCTGATCTCAGCCTTGCTGCTAATTGACTGTGGACTTAAGTCAGTCACTTACAACCCCTTGCGTATCATAGATTATTCATCATTATAAGGGGAGATAAGAGTACAGGACTTCTAAGAAGGCCTTTTCCAGTTCATATACTTCAGACATGTAATTCTGATTCTATGTGTGGTTATAGATTGTTTAGCTAATTTTAAAATACAAGCAAAAGGATTGTGTGCCTATTTGTAGATGTACAAAGGAATCATTTATGGAAGGAAATTGTGGACAGTGTGCTAGTGTAGGTGCCAAGCTCTAAAAGTATATGAGGAGAAGCTAACTTTGGGAGGGGCACTTGGAGTGTGGATTCAGAGAAATCTTAACATGGATAGTAGTGAAGTCAAACAAGCTCACATTGGAGGACTTTCATCTTCTCAGTGAACTGGGAAACAAGGTCATTGACTGACTATAAAGGCTCTGGGGTAGGTTTGGAATTTACAGAGAGTAGAAAATACTTATATCAGCTATAGTGACACATTTTCTAGGGATTCATATATAAATAAAGAGAACAAGTAGGTGTGGCTGGCAAGATGACCAAATAGGAACAGCTCCAATCTGCAGCTCCCAGCAAGATCAACACAGAAGGTGGGTGATTTCTACATTTCCAACTAACATATACGGCTCATCTCATTGGTACTAGTTAGACATTGGGTGCAGCCCATGGAGAGCGAGCCAAAGAAGGGTGGGGTGTTGCCTAACCTAGGGAGCTCAAGGGGTTGGGGAACTCATTCCCCTAGCCAAAGGAAGCCTTGAGGGACTTTGCTGTGTGGAACGGTGCACTCCAGCCCAGATATTACACTTTTCCCATGGTCTTTGCAACCCACAAACCACAAGATTTCCTCAGGTGCCTAACCACCAGGGCCCTGGATTTCAAGCACAAAACTGGGCAGCCATTTGGGCAGACATCGAGCTAGCTGCAGGAGTTTTTTTTTTTTTTAATACCCCAATGTCACCTGGAAAACCAGCGAGACAGAACTGTTCACTCCCCTGAAAAGGGGGCTGAAGCCAGGGAGCCAAGTGGCCTAGCTCAGTAGATCCCACCCCCACAGAACCCAGCAAGCTAAGATGTACTGGCTTGAAATTCTCGCTGCCAGCAAAGCAGTCTGAAGTTGACCTAAGATGCTCAAGCTTGGTGGGGGGAGGGGCATCCAACATTACTGAGGCTTGAGTAGGGTGTTTTCCCTTCACAGTGTAAACAAAGCCCCTGGAATGTTTGAACTGGGTGGAGCCCACAGCAGCTCAGCAAAGCTGCCTTAGCCAGTCTACCTCTCTAGATTCCTCCTCTCTGGGCAGGGCATCTCTGAAAGAAAGGCAGCAGCCCCAGTCAGGGGCTTATAGATAAAACTCCCATCTCCCTGGGACAGAGCATCTAGGGGAAGGGGCAGCTCTGGGCACAGCTTCAGCAGACTTATAATTCCCTGCCTGCTGGCTCTGAAGAGAGCAGCAGATATCCCAGCACATTGCTTGAGCTCTGCTAAGGGACAGACTGCCTCCTCAAGTGGGTCCCCGACCCCCATGCCTCCTGATTGGGAGACACCTCCCAGCAGGGGTTGAGAGACACCTCATGCAGGAGAGCTCTGGCTGGTATCTGGTGGGTACCCCTCTGGGATGAAGCTTCCAGAGGAAGGAACAGGCAGCAATCTTTGCTGATCTGCAGCCTCCCCTGGTGATACCCAGGCAAACAGGGTCTGGAGTGGGCCTCCAGCAAACTCCAGCAGACCTACAGCAGAGGGGCCTGACTATTGGAAGGAAAACTAACAAACAGAAGGCAATAGCATCAGCATCAACAAAAAGGACATACACACGGAAGCCCCATCTGAAGGTCACCAATATCAAAGACTGAAGATAGATAAATCCATGAAGATGAGGAAAAACCAGTGCAAAAAGGCTTAAAATTTCAAAAACCAGAAAGCCTCTTCTCATCCAAAAGATCACAACTCCTCTCCAGCAAGAGAACAAAACTGGATGGAGAATAAGTTTGATGAATTGACAGAAGTAGGCTTCAGAAGGTGGGTAATAACAAACTCCTTTGAGCTAAAAGAGCATGTTCTAACCCAATGCAAGGAAGCTAGGAACCTTGAAAAAAGATTTCAGGAATTGCTAACTAGAATAATCAGTTTAGAGAAGAACACAAATGACCTGACGGAGGTGAAAAACACAGCACAAGAACTTCGTGAAGCATACCCGAGTATTAATAGCCAAATCGATCTAGTGGAAGACAGAATATCAGAGATTGAAGATAAACTTAATGAAATAAAGCGTGAAGACAAGATTAGAGAAAAAAGAATGAAAAGGAATGAACAAAGCCTCCAAGAAATATGGGACTATGTGAAAAGACCAAACCTACATTTGATGGGTGTACTGGAAAGTGATAGGGAGAATGGAACCAAGTTGGAAAACACTCTTCAGGATATTATCCAGAACTTCCCCAGCCTAGCAAGACAGGCCAACATTCAAATTCAGGAAGTACAGAGAACACCACAAAGATACTCCTCGAGAAGAGCAACCTCAAGACACATAATCGTCAGATTATCATTTCACCAAGGTTGAAATGCAGGAAAAGGAAAAAATGTTAAGGGCAGCCAGAGAGAAAGGTCAGCTTACCCACAAAGGGAAGCCCATCAGACTAACAGTGGATCTCTTGGCAGAAACTCTACAAGCCAGAAGAGAGTGGGGACCAATATTCAACATTCTTAAAGAAAAGAATTTTCAACCCAGAATTTCATATCCAGCCAAACTAAGCTTTATAAGTGAAGGAAAAATAAATTCTTTTACAGACAAGCAAATGCTGAGAGATTTTGACACCACCAGGCCTGTTTTACAAGAGCTCCTGAAGGAAGCAGTAAACATGGAAAGGAAAAACCAGTAGCAGCCACTGCAAAAACATACCAAATTGTAAAGACCATTGACACTATAAGAAACTGCATCAACTAACGGTCAAAACAACCAGCTAGGATCATAATGACAGGATCAAAATTCACACATAACAATATTAACCTTAAATGTCAATGGGCTAAGTGCCCCAATTAAAAGACACAAACTGGCAAATTGGATAAAGAGTCAAGACCCACTGGTGTGCTGTATTCAGGAGACCCATCTCATGTGTAAAGACACACATGGGCTCAAAATAAAAGGATGGAGGAATATTCACCAAAGAAATGGAAAACAAAACAAAAAAAAATTAGGGGTTGCAATCCTAGTCTTTGATATAACAGACTTTAAACCAACAAAGATCAAAAAAAGACAAAGAAGGGCATTACATAATGGCACAGGGATCAATGAAACAAGAAGAGTTAACTATCCTAAATATATATGCACCCAGTACAGGAGCACCCAGATTCATAAAGCAAGTTCTTAGAGACCTACAATGAGACTTAGACTCCCACACAATAATAGTGGCAGACATTAACACCTCACTGTCAATATTAGACAGATCAACGACACAGAAAATTAACAAGGATATTCAGGACTTGAACTCAGCTCTGGACCAAGTGGACCTAATCGACATCTACAGAACTCTCCACCCCAAATCAACAGAATATACATTCTTCTTACACCACATCACACTTATTCTAAAATTGACCACGTAATTGGAAGTAAAACACTCCTCAGCAAATGCAAAGGAACAGAAATCATAACAAACAGTTTCTCAGACCACAGTACAATCAAATTAGAATTCAGGATTAAGGAACTCACTCAAAACTGCATAACCACATGGAAACTGAATGATTACTGGTAATAACGAATTAAGGCAGAAATAAATAAGTTCTTAGAAACCAATGAGAATAAAGACACAACATACCAGAATCTCTGGGACACAGCTAAAGCATTATTTAGAGGGAAATTTATAGCACTAAATGCCCACAGGAGAAAGTGGGAAAGATCTAAAATCAACACCCTAACATCACAGTTAAAAGAACTAGAGAAGCAAGAGCAAATAAATTCAAAAGCTAGTAGAAGACAAGAAATAACTAAGATCAGAGCAGAACTGAAAGAGATAAAAACACGAAAAACACTTCAAAAAAATCAATGAATCCAGGAGCTGCTTTTTTTTGAAAAGATTAACAAAATAGATAGACTACTAACCAGACTAACAACAACAAAAAAAAGGCAGAAGAATAAAATAGGCACAATAAAAAATGATAAAGGAGATATCACCACTGATCCCAAGGAAATACAAACTACCTTCAGAGAATACTATAAACACCTCTATGCAAATAAACTAGAAAATCTAGAAGAAATGAATTCCTGGACACATACACCCTCCTAAGACTAAACCAGGAAGAAGTCAAATCCCTGAATAGACCAATAACAAATTTTAAAATTGAGGCAGTAACTAATAGCCTACCAACCAAAAAAAGCCCAGGACCAGATGGATTTGGCCAAAACAATCATAAGCAAATAGAAGAAAGCTGGAGGCATCATGCTGCCTGACTTCAAACTATACTATAATGCTATAGTAACCACAGCAGCATGGTACTGGCATCAAAACAGATATATAGACCAATGGAACAGAACAGAGCCCTCAGAAATAATGCCACACATCTACAACCATCTGATCTTTGACAAACCTGAGAAAAAACAAGCAATGGGGAAAGGATTCCCCATTTAATAAATGGTGCTGGGAAAACTGGCTAGCCATATGCAGAAAACTGAAACTGGACCCCTTCCTTACACTTACACAAAAATTAACTCAAGATGGATTAAAGACTTAAATATAAGACCTAAAACCATAAAAACCCTAGAAGAAAACCTAGGCAATACCATTCAGGACACAGGCATGGGCAAAGACTTCATGACTAAAACACCAAAAGCAATGGCAACAAAAGCCAAAATTGACAAATGGGATCAAATTAAACTAAACAGCTTCTGCACAGCAAAAGAACTGTCATCAGAGTGAACAGGCAGCCTACAGAATGGGAGAAAATTTTTGCAATCTATCCATCTGACAAAGGGCTAATATCCAGAATTTTCAAAGAACTTAAACAAATTTACAAGGAAAAATCAGACCACCCCATCAAAAAGTGGGCAAAGGATATGAACAGACACTTCTCAAGAGGAGACATTTATGCGGCCGACAAACATGAAAAAAAGCTCATCATCACTGGTCATTAGAGAAATGCAAGTCAGAACCACAATGAGACACCATCTCACACCATTTAGAACAGTGATCATTAAAAAGTCAGGAAACAACAGATTCTGGGGAGGATGTCGAGAAATAGGAACACTTTTACATTGTTGGTGGGAGTGTAAATTAGTTCAACTATTGTGGAAGACAGTGTAGCGATTCATCAGGGATCTAGAACCAGAAATACCATTTGACCCAGCAATTCCATTACTGGGTATATATCCAAAGGATTATAAATCATTCTATTATAAAGACACATGTACATGTATGTTTATTGTGGCACTGTTTACAATAGCAAAGACTTGGAACCAACCCAAATGCCCATCAATGATAGACTGGATAAAGAAAATGTGGTACATATACACCATGGAATATTATGCAGCCATAAAAAAGATGAGTTCATGTCCTTTGCAGGGACATGGACGAAGCTGGAAACCATCATTCTCAGCAAACTAACAAAGGAACAGAAAGCCAAACACCACATGTTCTCACTTATAAGTGGGAGTTGAACAATAAGAACACCTGGACACAGGGAGGGGAACATCACTCACCAGGGCCTGTCATGGGGTGAGGGGTTAGGGGAGGGATAACATTAAGAGAAATACCTAATGTAGATGATGGGTTGATCGGTGCAGCAAACCACCATGGCACCTGTTTACTTCGGTAACAAAGCTGCACATTCTGTACATGTATCCCAGAACTTAATGTATAATAATAATAAAAAGAACTTTGAACCTAGAATTTTTATCTAGCCAAATTTTTATTCAAATATGAGGGAATAATAAAAATATTTTCCCAAATATTAGGCCTTAGGGGGTTTTGTACATAAGACTCTACATTGAAAACCCAACAAGGAGTACCAAATTAGAAGAGAAGCAAATCCAAACAAGGGTGCCAAGAATATAGCAAGCTCAAATGATCAACTTTCTTTCCTAAATGTATTGATGACTTCACAGTAAAATTAAATATAATTTTAGGAATAAAGGAAATAAAAAGTGAAATTATATTTATCATAACCCATAACTAAGCTTATAGCCTAAATTAACATAATGGAGATGAGAGGAAACTAAATTAACTATAGAGCATGCTGAACTTCTTTTATTCTGGAGAAATTATAAATATTAATATCTTTAAGATACAAAAAAAGAGCAAATAAACATGAGAATAGTTATTAAGGTAAAAAAACTATAGAACATTAAAAGAATTACAACTTTTAAGACAATATAGAGCGGAAAACACTGTCCAATGGAAAGCACCTAATGGAGACAGTAAAAACAAAAGAAAATCTATAGTATAATCTGATTTTAGACATATTGCAGATGCTCATCCGTCAGTGTAAATTTATTAGATTTCGTCCAACTCCAAAAAAATTAAATTACCTCTTCTTTCAGACACTAGTTTACCATACGCAGAATTGTTCAATACCAAGAGCTTAATATTTTGTTGAACTCTTTATGCTCTGCAATAAAACAATTTTAGCGCATAATCAGCTGGTATCCAAATTATAGCACCCATAATTTGTCTGTAATTTGATCCTGCTCCAAGCAGTGTGTTATGGTCTGGTCATAGATAAACAAAGAGATATATACATATGCCATGTTTTGTGTGTTTGTTCGTGTGTACTTAACAAAGATGAATAGAATTTTAATACTTAAAGTCAGCTTGCTGAAAAGAAAGAAGAAAAAGCCTTAAAATAATCTGTCAGCTACCCCCCTTTTGGGCACCAGAGGGAGACCACGATTCAGTTTTACTCAACTGAAAATAAGTGCAACTTAAAAATAGTAGACTTGTTTTTCCATTATTCATACTCTGAACCAATATTTTCTTTCAAAGGAATTGCTGTCCTTTTACTTAGTCCAGAGGCTCTGAAAGTCTAGGCATGTTTGAGAGGATTAATCTGTGTCGGAGGATATAATGGAAGCTAACAAAGTTAACATTTTTTTCGTATGTTGATTAGGCACCAGAGATGCTAAATTAGTATACTCTAGCTAGAGTCCTGCTAAACTTATAGCAGTGGAAGTGCTATCTGGCTACCTGAGCTACACAGACCACCTACTCAGTACCCATACCACCCAGACAGACACACACATGTATAAATACAGATGTACACACACAGAGACACACATAAATGCAGACACGCACACACACACACACAAAATTATTGCTGTTGGTGGTTGAACCTGGATTTAGTGAGACAGCCAGTAGTAAATGAAGATTTGGTTTTCCCAGTTACTGCCCAAAAAATGCTGTTTCAGTTCAACATCTATCCGATTTTAGCAATATTAAAAAAAAAAACCCAGAAAAGCAATGACTAATTGTTTTTATTTAAATAAGGATTTTATAATTGTAAAATGATTTTGTCCCTAATTGAGTGTATAATTTGATCATCTAAATGTAGCCATGTGTAGAAAATAAAGAGCATCAGAAAGCCAAAAAGAAACATTCATAACTTTCAAATTAAAAATATAAATTATAATTCAGTTTGGGTATATCACTTCATACAATAAAACTGATCTCTCAGAAAGGTACAGGGAGTCTTTGCTCCTTTTACTGATAAGATACCTTGGGACCCATAAAAGTTTAACTGCAGTTAGGTGAGATATCTGTAATGGGGCAATACTAGAGGAGAGACTCAGCCTCCAGTGATAAAAATAAGCCCAGCTCAGAAGGCAGAAAGTACAGAGGGAGGGTACAAAAGGGTGGACCAGTATGTGAGTGGGCATGGTATTAGCTGGTAGGGAGGTAAGCAGGTTAAAAAATAAGACAATACTCGTTGACTACATTGACTAGCTTCTCTGGGTCTCAGCCAAAATAATTATGTCAACATATCATCTTAAAACTATGTATGAGTACTCAGGAGGTGGAGCAAGATGGTAGAATAGAAGGCTCTGCCAATTAGATTCCCCCACCACCAGCAAGGACGCCAAATTAACAATCATCTACACAAAAAAACACCTGCGTAAAACCCAAAGATCAGGTGAGCACTCATAGTACCTGGTTTTAACTTCATATCACTAAAAGATGAACTGAAGAGATAGAGAAAACAGTCCTGAATCGCTGAGGCTACCCTTCCCCACCCCCCCACCCGCAGCAGCAGTGGCCTGGTATGTAAAGCATCTCTGAGTGCTGGGGGAGAGAAAACACAGCAATTGTGTGGCATTGAATTTGGTGCTGTCCTGTTAGAGCAGAAAGGAAAACCAAACCAAACTCAGCTGAAATCTGTTCGTGGAGGGAGCATTTAAACCAGCCATAGCCAGAGGGGAATCACAGATCCCAGTGGTCTGAACTTGAGTGTCTGCAAACCTAACCATAGAGGACTACAGTGCTCTGTGTCTTCAAGTAGATTTGAAAGGCAGTCTAGGCTATAAAACTGCAATGCTTAGGTGAGACCTAGTGCTAAATTAAGCTCAGAGACAGCGAACTCGGTAGGACATTTGACACACTGAGACACCAGCTGGGGCAGCCAAGGAAGTGCTGGCATCACACCTCCCCTAACCCCAGGCCACACAGCTCATAGCTCCAAAAGAGACCTCTTTCTTCCACATGATTAAAAGAGAGGGAAGAGTGCGGAAGACTGTCCTGCATCTTGGATACCAGCTTAGCCATGGTAAAATAGGGCACTGGACAAAGTTACGAGGCTCCCATTCTAGGCTATAGCTTCCAGATGACATTTCTAGACACATCTGAACTTGAAGGGAGCCTACTGCCTTGAAGAAAAGGACCCAGTCCTGGCAGCATTCATCACCTGCTAACTAAAAGCTCTTGGACCCTGAAAAACCAGCAACGATACTCGGATACTACATTTTGGGCCTTGGTGATAATCTGAGACTTACTGGCTTGAGGTGAGACTCAACACATTACCAGCTGAGGTGGCTATGGAGCAAAACTCATTTTTCTTGAGAAAAGCAGAGGGAAAAGTAAAGGGGACCTAGTCTTGCAGCTTAGGTACCAGCATGTCCAAAGGTGGCCAGAGCACCAAGTTAGTTCTTGGGGGTCCCTGATTCCAGGACATGATTCTTCGATGGCATTTTTGGACATGATCTGGGCCAGAGGGTAGCCCACTGACCTGAAAGGTGAGTCCCAGGACAGTCAGCATTCACCACAGGCTGACTTAAAAGCCCTTGGGGCTTAAGGGAACATTGGCTGGTAGTCTAGCAGTACTCCATGTAGCCTGGGCTCATGATGGCTATAGTGAGGATCCTCTGCCACTGGAAAGGGAAGGGAAGAGTGGAAAAGGCTGCATCTTGTGGTTTAAGTGTCAGCTCAGCTGCAATATAATAGAACGCCAGTTAGACTTTTAAGGTTTTGACTCTAGTTTCTGACTCATGGACATCACCTCTGGACCCACCTAGGGTCTGGTGGATCTCTCTTCCCCAAAGGGAAGGACACAGGCCTGACTGGCTTTACCACCTGCTGATTGTGGAGCCCCAGCGCCTTGAGAAAATATAGGCAGTAGCTAGGGAGTGGTTACAGCAGGCCTTGGGCAAGACCCAGCACTGTGCTGGCTTCAGGTCCCAGCATAGTCATAGTGGTGGTGGCTGTAGAAGTGCTTGTATAACTCTGCCTTGAGCTTTAGGTGGCTCAGAACAGAGAGAGAAATTCTGTTTGGGAGAAAGGAAAGAGAGAAAACAAGAGTCTCTGCCTGGTAATCCAGATAATTCTCCTCGATCTGGTCCATGACCATCAAGGTGGTACCTTCACGAATCTGCAAGAACCACAGTGTTACTGAGCTTAGGGTACTCCCTAAAGAAGGTAGAGCTTAGGTCACAACACCCAGGTCCTTTCAAATGTCTAGAAAGTCTTGCTAGGAAGGACAGGTACAAATAAGCCCAGACAGTGAATACTAAAATAAATAATTAATTCTTCCATACTCAGACACCAAAGAACATCAACTAGCATCAACACGATCCAGGAAAACAAGACCTCATCAAATGAACTAAATAATGCACCAGGGACCAATCCTGGAGAAACAGGCATATGGGGACGTTCAGACAGAGAACCCCAAAAAACTGTGTTTAGCAATCTCAAAGAAATTCAAGATAACACAGAGAAAGAATTCAGAATTCTATCAGAATAATTTAACAAAGAGATTGAAAAAATTAGAATCAAGTGAAAGTTCTGGAGGTGGAAAATGTAATTGGCATACTGAAGAATGCATCAGAGTCATTTATTTTTTAGAGACGGGGTCTCGCTATGTTTGCCCAGGCTGGAGTGCAGTGGCTATTTACAGGCATGATTCCACTACTGATCAGCATGGTAGTTTTGGCTTGCTTCGCTTCTGACCTGGGCCAGTTCACCCGTCGTTAGACAACCTGGTGGTCCCGCACTCCTGGGAGGTCACCATACTGATGCCGAACTTAGTGCGGACACCTGATCAGCATAGTGCAATATAGTCCAGAACTCTTGGACTCAAGCAATCCTTCTTCCTCAGCCTCCCAAGTAGCTGAGACTACAGGCATGCACTACTGCACCCCATGCATGAGCCCTTTAATTGCAGAATTAATCAAGCAGAAGAAAGAATTAGTGAGCTTAAAGACATGCTATTTGGAAATATACAGAGGAAACGAAAGAAAAAGGAAGGAAAAACAATAAAGCACACCTACAGAATGTAGAAAACAGCCTCAAAAGGTCAAATCTAAAAGTTATTCGTTTTAAAGAGGAGGTAGAGAAAAAGATAGGGGTAGAAAGTTTATTCAAAGGGATAAAGAGGATCGAGCAAGATGGCCAACTAGACGCAGTCAGGTGGAACATTTGCTATGAGGGACCGAGATGTCTGGTGCGTTTCCAACATATCTTTAGAAGGAAGGCGCCTAGAGTGGACAAAGGGAGGATACAGAAGGTGGGCTGAAGAGGGAGAAATCCGGGAACCCTGCACAGGGCGACTGCACACCAGGACTCATTCCTGGCCCCCAATGACTATGGGGGAATGGGTGAGTTGAACTGGCAAGGGGCAACTCACTCTTGCCACTGGCCTCTGGAATCCCAGCTGAGGGAAACCCTTCTACTACCAGGGACAGTTGAGTTTGCAAGGAGAGCTGCTTAGAGAAGTGGTAGGGGTAGAAAGCCAGCTGATGAGGAACCCAAATGGTTTGGTTCAGGAGTATCTGTAGTGGAGTATAGCCAGGGATGGCCATTCTCTTAGCCTTGACTTGCTGCCATAGGAGATTTAGCCCTAGGGAACCTTTTGGACCTGAACTCTACAGGGTTGTCTTGCTCATCAGAAGGGGCTGATTTTATATGAGCAAACCTTGGTCTACTTGTCTCTCCCAGGGCCCAAGCCTGGCAGCACCTGCTTGCAGGGCAGTCTCAAGTGCCCTGGGAGCCTGCATCATGGCTTCTGGACTGGTGAACCATGCTTGACTGGTAGAGATCTCCAGTGGGGTGGCCCTCAGGGCCACACACCAGCCCACTCCTTCCCTTCTCCCCCAGGCCCATGGCAACCCCTACATTTCTTTGCCACTGCTGTGTCAGGTGTGCAGTTTATTCTGCCTCCCCCTGCCAACTACCATTGCAGTCAGAGCTTTGGCGAGAACAGAGCCAGCCAACCCCACATCCAACAGCACCCCACACTTGCACCAAAACTGCTGCAGGAGTGAAACTAGGAACAGAGAACAGTGGACCCTTACCCACCCTGAGTGACCACCCCTGCCTGCAGCACACAGAGAACACACAAAGACCTGCACCCACCAATTCCCCACCCCCTTTGTCAGCACCACCACCAGTGTGACCATAAGCACAGTCTCCAGCAGGGCCCCTATCCCTGCCTCCTTGAGCCCGCTTACCTCTACCACTGCAGTGAATGCCTGCATGGAGGCAGACAGGCAGGCACCTGATAGCACCCTGTGGCAACTGAGGAATGTGGGACCTGCTGTGTTGTTGCTGCTGCTGGCATGAGTGAACGAAGATGGAAACTGTTGTCATCTCAGTACAAAATGTTTTTCCAGACACTACTCACTGATCTGTAGTGACCAGCGGTTCGGGAGCACCTTGGCCCTCAAAGTGGAGTGGATTCTTAACCTTGAGGAGACAGAGAATGAAGTCAGGGCCCAATACAAGCCCCTCAGAGCTACAGCAGGCAGTCCAGAAATTGAGAGCTGAGCATTGACCCCCTAAGAAATGAAGCCAGTTGGCTGAATCCACGTTATACCACAACCAAACCCTCAAAGTCATCAAATAGAATAAAAGAAAGAAAAACCGCCCAAAGGTCAGCAACTTCAAAGATTGAAGTGGCATACGTCCACAAAGATGACAAAAAACTAGTGCCAGAAACCTGATGACTCAAAAAGCCAGAGTGCCTTCTTTACTCCAAATGACCACACCACCTCTCCAGCAAGGGTTCTAAACCTGGCTGAGATGGCTGAAATGACAGAAATATAATTCATAATATGGAAAGCAATAAAGATCATTGAGATGCAGAAGTATGTTGAAACTCAACCCAAGGAAGCTAAGAATCACAATAAAATGATGCAGGAGCTGACAGACAAAATAGCCAGTATAGAAAAGAATGTAACCAACCTGACAGAGCTGAAAAACACACTACAAGAATTTTATAATGCAATCACAAGTATGAATAGCTGAGTAGACCAAGCAGAAGAATCTCAGACCTTGAAGACTGGCTTTCTGAAATAAGATGGTCAGACAAGAGTAGAGAAAAAAGAATAAAAAGGAATAAACAAAACCTCAGAGAAATATGTGATTATGTAAAGAGATCAAATCTGCAACTCCTTGGTGTCTCTGAAAGAGATGGGGAGAGTGTAAGCAACTTGGAAAAAATGTTTCAGGATATCATCCAGGAGAACTTCCCCAACCTAGCTGGAGAGGCCAACATTCACATTCAGGAACCCACACAAAATACTTCACAGAAAGATTATCCCCAAAACACATAGTCATCAGATTTTCCAAGGTCAAAATGAAAGATAAAATATTAAATGCAGCTAGACAAAAAGGCCAGGTCACCTACAGAGGGAGAGCTATCAGACTAACAGCAGACCTGTCAGTGGAAACCCTTCAAGCCAGAAGACATTGGGGGTCAACATTCAACATTCTTTTTTTTTTAAACTTTTATTTTAAGTTCAGGGGTACTTGTGCAAGTTTGTTACATAGGTTAACGTGAGTCATGGGGTTTTGTTGTGCAGATTATCTCATCACCCTGGTATTAAGCCTATTACCCATTAGTTATTTTTCCTGATCTTCTCCCCCTTCTCAATCTCCACCCTCTAATAAGCCCCAGTGTGTGTTGTTCCTCTTTATGTGTTCATGTGTTCTCATCATTTAGCTCCTACTTATAAGTGAGAACATGCGGTATTTGGTTTTCTGTTCCTGTGTTAGTTTGCTAATGATGATAGCCCCCAGCCCCATCCATGTCCCTACAAAGGACATAATCTCATTTTTTCTGGCTGCATAGTATTCCATGATGTATATGTACCACATTTTCTTTATCCAGTCTATTATTGATGGGCATTTAGGTTTACTCCATGTCTTTGCTATTGTGAATATGCATGCGTGTATCTTTATAGTAGAATGATTTAAATTCTTTTGGTTATATACCCAGTAATGAGATTGCTGGGTTGAATAGTATTTTTGACTTTAGGTCTTTGAGGAATTGCAACACTGTCTTCCACAACAGTTGAACTAATTTACCCTCCTGCCAACAGTGTATTAGCCTTCCTTTTTCTCTACAACCTCTTCAGCATTTGTTATTTTTTGTAGAATAGTTTGAAGTTGGGTAGCGTAATGCATCCAACTTTGTTCTTTTTGTGTAGGATTGTCTTGGCTATTTAAGCTCTTTTTTGGTTCCACATGATTTTAAAATAGCTCTTTTTTGGTTCCATATGAATTTTAAAATAGTTTTTTTCCTAGTTCTGTGAAGAATGTCAGCGATTGATCAATGGGAGTAGCACTGAATCTGTAAATTACTTTGGACAGTATGGACATTTTCACAATATTGATTCTTTCTATCCATGAGCATGGAATGTTTTTCCATTTGTTTGTGTCATCTCTGATTTCTTTGAGTTGTGATTTGTAGTTCTCTTTGTAAAGGTTTCTCACCTTGCTATTTAGTTGTATTCCTAGGTATTTTATTCTTTTTGTGGCAATTGTGAATAGGAGTTGTTTTGTGATTTGGCCTTGACTTGACCGTTGTTGGTGTATAGGAATGCTAGTGAATTTTACATGTTGATTTTGTATCCTGAGACATTGCTGAAGTTGCTTATCAGCTTAAGAAGCTTTTGGGCTGAGATGATGGGGCTTTCTAGATATAGGATCATGTCATTTGCAAACAGGGATAGTTTGACATCCTCTCTTCCCATTTGAATGTCTATTTGAGTGCCTTTCTTTCTCTCTCTTGCCTGATTACCCTGGCCAGGACTTCCAATAATATGTTGAATAGGAGTGGTGAGAGAAGGCATCCTTATCTTGTGCAAGTTTTCCAGGGAAATTCTTCCAACTTTTGCCAATTCATTATGATGTTGGCTGTGGGTTTGACACAGATGGCTTTTTATTATTTTGAGGTATATTCCTTCAACACCTAGTTTATTGAGAGTTTTTAACATGAAGGGATGTTGAATTTTATTGAAAGACTTTTCTGCATCTATTGAGATAATCTTATTTTTTTTTGTATTTAGTTTTGTTTGTGATGAATCACATTTATTAATTTGTGTATGTTGGACCAAACTTGCATCCTGGGGATGAAGCCTACTTTATCTTGATGGATAAGCTTTTGGTTGCGCTGCTGGATTCAGTTTGACAGTATTTTGTTGAGAATTTTTCCATTGATGTTCATCAAGGATATTGGCCTGAAGTTTTCTTTAATTGTTTTCTCTCTGCCAGGTTTTGGTATCCGGATGATGCTGGCCTCATAGAATAAGTTTGGGAGGAGTCCCTCCTCCTAATTTTTTTTGAATAGTTTCAGTAGGAAAGGTACAAGATCTTCCTTGTACATATGGTATAATTCAGCTGTGAATCTGTTTGGTCCTGGGCTTTTTTTTTTGGTTGGTTTGTAGGCTATTTATTACTGCCTCAATTTTATAACTTGTAATTGTTCTGTTCAGGCATTCGATTTTTTTTTCTGGTTCAGTCTTGGGAAGTTGTATGTGTGCAGGAATGTATCCATTTCTTCTAGATTTTCTAGTTTATGTGCAGCAGGGTGACTATTGTCACTAATAATTTAATTGTGCATTTAAAAAGAACTTAAGAGTGTAATTAAATTGTAACTCAAAAGATAAAAGTTTGAGGAGATGAATACCACATTTTTCATGATGTGCTTATTTCACTTTGCATGCCTGTATCAAAACATCTCATGCATTATCCCATAAATATATACACCTACTATGTATACACAAAAATTAAAAATACAAAAAAGAAAAAGAAAAAATAGTATTACTTGTTATGTTTATCCTTAACAATATGCATATTTTTGGAGGATGTTTTTATTTTGTTCTTTCCTTAGCTAGGCTTCTATGAATGTGGTATTCATTATAGGCAGTGACAGAAAACAAAGTGTAGTAAAGGCAGGTTGTTTACATGAAAAACTTGGGTTCAGCAATATGTGTACCAGAGATGAACAGAGAAAAACTATAGAAAAACTTGGAGCTGCTGTTAAAAACTGGGGCACAGAGTCAGTGTTAAAATTTGTGTTTAGGATGACCTGATATTCATTTCTTGATGAAATCACCTAGATCTCTTTATATTCTCTTGACAGAATTAATTCCAAAGCCTGGAGGAGAGGCTGCTGGTTAGAGGTTGTGTTGCTGAGCAAGAAATATAGGAGGCAGGAAGACAGGACCTTGTTAACCCACAAACTGGTGGTACTGCTTGTTCTGCTTACTGTGAACGGCATGGTAGAATGCTGTAGTTCTCATTCTTGATATACATTAGAATCACCTCTGGTTCATTTAAAACATAACCATTCTGGAAGATATTTTTGCAGTACATATTAAAGATGAACATATACAAAAACTGCAATTTTACTCCTAGGTATAAAACAGTACTTTTCAGTATTGTTTCTTTTTTAGTATCACCTTACTCCCCATCCCCAGCATCCAGATCCTTTTTATACATGTTTTCCTTATTATGTCTACCCCTCATGAAATTTAAATACTCTAATTATAATGTAGTATATACCTCTTTATGCTGTTTATGTATTGTAGCCTTTTGGAGGAACACGAATCATTGTAACATCTAAGATTTGTTTTTTATTTCTCAAGAACCAATTTTTATACCCCTGAGGGTTCTATTGCCCTCCTTGATAATGCATGATATAAAGCCAAGAAATGAAAGCCTCTGTGCATCAAAAGACTATGTATATGAATTTTATTAGGAGTTATATTCATATTTGTTTCTAACTGAAAATCACCCAACTCTGCAACAACTGGTGAATGTTTAAATATATTGGGGTCTATTTATACAATTAAAGTACCATGCAGCAAGAAAAAGAAGTGGACCACAGATTCACACAACTATGCAATTGTTTTGTAAATTTTTCCTTGTATATTATTAAAAATATATTTATGTCTATCTCATTTTTTCCCTCCCCCTAAAACTAGATAGTTGAATCAGAATTTTTGGGAGTGGGGCTTGGGTAATGATAATTTTCAAAAACTCAGATGATATTAATGTGCACATTAAATGTGAGAGACACCACATAACATGGTGGAAGGAACACGGGTTTTAGAATAAGCATTGTGGGTTCAGATGATGTCTCTGCTACTTACTAATTTTGTGTCTCTGAGACAGTTTTCTCATAGGTAAAAATGTGATAAGGATACTACTTTACTTCATTGGACTGTTGGGCGGATTAAATTGCCTGTCAAAGTAGAAGCCCAGAATACAGGTAGTGCTCTGTAAATGCTAGTTTTCAACCACTTTCTTTTATTCCACCACTGTAGGCAATAGGTAGAGATTAACCACAGTTGCAACGGTCATGGCACCCAGGAATCTTGTGCTAAGTTACATCTATTTTTATGCACACACAATTTACTGAATTATTAAATTTGAGTGTTGTGCTGCAGTCTGTCTCCTAACAAATATTGTATATGGATTATCTTCATTAGTGATTCCCATTGTGGGACAGTGTTTTTCCTACCCCCTTCCATCTCTACTCATTCTGTATATCTTTGCCATCCTGTTTTCTAACTTCCTTTTCATGATCAATGCTGGGGAGGACAGGTATCAAGTACTTAAAATTGTCACATGTAGGTCGTAAATATTCAATAGTAGCTTTTCTTCTCTTGCTCTCTCAAGTTATATTAGCTGGTGCTGATAGAAGTCTATCTCTGACTCTCTTCGTTTTCTCTAACTTCTTACAGTTTCCTTTGCCTTACACTGAGTCACATAGTAATCTCTTCCCTCTGGTCTCTCTCCAGACTCTCAGCACGTGGTTTTGTTTCTCAGAACATTTGGTATTATTTTAGTTCACATTAAATCATGTTTTTTTATTTAACATCACATCCATGATCTGATAAGTTGGAACATATCTTAATATTATATTTCTACTTCTGGGAATGAGATTTTTTTCTTTCTCCTTTTCTTTCTTTTCATTTTATTTTGTTCAGATTTTAATGTTCAATGAATTGAATCTTACATTCTATACATGTTTTGTGTCTGGATTCTTTCAGTCATTATTGGGTTATCAGTTTCATCCATGTTTTTATGTGTAGCTACAGTTTGCTCATTTTTACTCATATAGCATTCCGTTGTTTAAATATATTATGACTAATTTATCCATTGTATTGTTGAGTGGCATTTTGGTTGTTTCTTGTTTTGGGGAGTTGAAGGCTGGAAAACAATTGTGATCTTTGGAATGAGTGAGTGTGTGTTTGTATGGGGGCATGTAAAAAAAGATAAATGTAACATACAGCCACAATGGAAAGGAAGAAGGGAAAATATGTCCATGGTGGAAAAATTTTTGTTGACTTTGTGGCTATTGGCTTCATGTGGTGCTCAAGATTCAATAACTGAGTGCTGAACAATTCAGGGGAAACAAAGTTATTGAAGCAATTGAAGTTGCCTGTGTAATATTTCATCACCTCTTTCTATGTGTTACATAGAGAACTTAAAAAAAAAAAGTTAAAACTGGGAAGTAATCTAAACCTAAAGTTTGGAATATGCCTTTTCTCTGCACATATGCATTTCCATGATCCATTCTGGTTCTGGAATACTGCACGATCTTTCAACCTCTGTTCCCATGTGTGATGAGGGGTAAAGAGTCTGGTTTAAACCTGAGGCCTTAGACTCCATGGCTTCCCAGGTTTTCTTTCAGGTCTTTGTCTCACATTCAAGGTGGACAAATGCAGAAAGTTTGTTCCAAATTAGTGTGTGTATGTCAATGACTAAGGCAGTGTTAGAAATCTTTGTGTAAAACTGAAGATTGGGAATAGCTGTGTCTATTAGGTAAGTAGTCCCAGTCAAATTTTTTTTTTCTAAAAGAATTCCAGAAGCTATAATAGGAAAGGTAGTAATGTTAGAGTTGAGAAAATATAAAATTATTGCTTGGGAAAAGATATTAGGAACAAAATTAGAGGGCTTATATTAAATAGGAAAAATGTTGCAATGTTTATAAAAAATTATTAATAGCTCTAATTTACTATACATTTTAAAAATGATAATAATAAAGTACAATAAATAAAAGAAAAAATGATATGAATAAGCAAATAATGAAGTAGGAAATCTAAATAGTCAACAAATCAATGCAAAGATGCTAAGATACTTTAGTTGTCCAGGAAATGCAAAGTGAAGTAAAATAATACTTCTAATCTTACACTTTCAAAAATAATAAAATTAAGTTAACTTTTACTGCTATCAGAGATAGACAGATGTGGATTTATACATTGCTGGTGGAAATATTATTTTCTAAACTCTCTAGTATAACAATTTGATTAAAATAATGCAATTTAACTTGTTAAATATACTTCTGGAAATGCATCAAATAGAAAAAATTTGAGTAACAAATAGTAGATTAAAAAGCATGCCAATGATTTTATAGTTTGTAATGACAAAATATTGGAAACATCCTTAATTCCCTTTAGCAGGAGAATTATTGAAAAAAATATGGCACATTCATATGTATGAGATATAAAGCTGTTATAAAAACAGCAATCTAAATTTATAGCAGTTTACTTAGACATATTTCCAAGAGGAAGTCATGAGAGTATTAAAAATAGAGAATAGAATATAACATGATACCATATTTATAAGACATTTTGTAAACACAAACATATATGTGTGTATGTTCATTTGTCTATGATAATGTGAAGCAGGAGAAATTTATGAAAGAATGACCAGTAGTTCACTAAATTTTTTTCCTTGTGTTGGTGGTAGTGGTTAGGAATGGAGAAAACAGGATATATTTTCACCAGTCCACCTCTAAAAACATAAAAAAAGGAAAGTTGTCCCAAGCGAAGATGTGATGTATAACATAGTTTGATTTGCATAAAAATTGTATATGTATTTTCACATATACATAAATTCATTTAAATGATTAGTATAATAATAACACTGGTATTCCATGTAAAACTTCTGGTGATTTTCATTTTTTATATTCTAATTTCCATTTAAATTTTATAATGATACTGGATTATACATAGAAACAAGCAACTCTAGCTATTTTAATTGTTTTCAACAATTAAAGCACCATACCTAAAGAGACCAGTATCCAAATGTGACTTTTGAAGAGAGAGAACTATATTATTTTAATTTCTGGTTCTCTTAGTGAGACTAAATATTCTAGGATAGCTTTGATTTAATAAACAGGGATAAATATTCTTGATATTGGGATTATCTTTCTGTAAAGATGAAGAGTTATGAAAAATTTCTTCAAGATAAAACATTTGTCACAAATGGGGTTTCTGTTCATTTCCAGATACAGAGATAATATAATCTTGGACTTGAAATTTTCTTAAAGATCACCTAATTTAATCTCTCTATGTGCTGTATGGAATCCCACTATAATATTCCTGAGAAGTAGTTACTGAGTTTCTGCTGATCTACCTTCAGTGATAAGTAGTTCACTACTTCTTAACAGTGGCCTTTATCATTTTTTGTATGGCTTTGACTACTGGAAGTGACTTGATAGTTTCTGGGGGCCTTCCAACTCTTGGGTTCTATTATTATGATGGTTTTATTATACTCCGGGGTAATGCTACTTAAAACATGGCCCTTGGACCTGCATCTGGATCATCTGGGAATGTCTGTAACAGATGCAGATCCCTAAGCCTCCCCCAAGATATGCAAGACTACAAGTCATTAGTGCCCCTCTCTATATTTCTATAGGGCACAGTTAATGACATCATCTATTCTTCAGATTGGACTTGATTTTTGCTGTTCAATTTAACCTGGATGTGCATGGAGGTGGAGTGCTGAGGACAGAGTAGAATTTACTCCAGACTCATAGCCCCTAAGATGACCATTTCAATTTCTTTTTATTTTTCTGGGAGCATTATATCCTCCCTTACATTTGGTGGCTGAGTTCAGAGCCCAGCCCCACTTTTCTTTGCTCTGGCTCCACCTTTCTCAGAAAGGGTTCTAGCCTCTTTCCCAGGATATTAGGAAGGCGGCACATGTTCTTAGTGCTTCTCTAGAAGTGCTTGTATTAATAATTGTCTAGAGAGAAATATCTCTCTTGACTAATGCTTTATGCAATTCTTCAAGCTTTGGTTGTTAGCACCACAGAAATGAACTCAGGGTTAAATTATACACCATTTTCTTGGGATCCATTCAAATGTATCCTCCTCCAGATTGATTCTGTATGATGTGACTGAGTCTTGGAAGCCAACATTTATTAAGAGTGGCTAAATTACTTTTTCATTGTTATTAAATAATTTAAATTTGCTCACCCAGTCAAGAATCTTATCATGAAAAAAATGAGAGGGAGAGTATTTTATTTTCTTAGTGATTCTTGAAATAAATAGATAACTCATAAAATATTTGACACACTCAACTGAAGTTGGTCATCAGCACTCAGGAAATAGCTTGTTGAATCTCAGTCCTCATGCCAAACATGCCAGGTAAAGGCAATAATAAGTAATCTCTCAGCAGCAGCAGATAGAATGGAGACCATGGCTGTGGGGATGTCCTTCTATTCATTTTAATTTGCCAGTCAGAAAGGCAACAAGGTACTGATGAAGTCCTGAACAAGATCCAGTGGTGTTGGTTGATGTAGAACAGCTTAGGAGTATCCCTATCCTATACCTTTCCTCTATTGACACAGTTCAGCCAATGCACAGACACAGTTCCAGGAATTGGAACTTTGAAAAGCACATACTTCTGCTTAGGTAGACCTGGGGGCCAGATGACTTAGGAAGCTATGTTAGTTATTTATGCCTGAAGAGGAGATGTAATTTTTATTAGATGAAGAAACAGAAAATGGGAGAGTTTCAGAACTCATTTTTTTTTTTTGATTTAGATTTAAACTTATCACATCAAATTGTTAAAACAGGAACTAATTCTGATAATTTCCTTAGTATTAAGATTTAAACCCTTTTGCTTGATCCAGTCACAGAAAATGTCATTAGCAAGCTTGGTGATTTGGTTGTAGCCTAGCCTAAATTTAACATGAAAAGCATTGGGCTTTCATAGGTTGCATGGAGTTATCTAGATCTAAAGACTTTTAGGAATATTTGAGAAAATATTTACAAATACTTATAATACATTTTCCCCTATAACTTCAGTGTAATTGATTGGCTTTGTGAAGAAACTGGTGATATTTGAGAATTCTGAAGACTCATGGGGATATATAATATCTGAGAAGAGATTAAAAAGTTTTGGAAGAAAAGAGATATGAAAATGCAAAAAAGAAAAATTTCATGATCACTAGAGTAATTAATTTGATGCGTTTAAAAAGACCAAAATAGGCCGGGTGTGGTGACTTATGTCTGTAATCCTAGCACTTTGGGAGGCCAAGACGAGTGCTTAAGGCCAGGAGTTCAAGACTAGCCAGGGCAATAGAGTGATACCCTGTTACAAAAAATATAAAAGACCAAAGTATATTTATATTAATAAAGATAAGAGGAAATTTTTGCTAAGATGCAACTCTTGAAACCTTGAGGCATTAAATAATCCAGAGTAAAAGTACATCAACACAATGTGGTCTAAACAAAGATTGTGAAAGGAAGTCAGGTGGAACATACTAGTGTTAAAACATACTGGCAAAAGTGTTTATGTGATGTATGGAAAGAGTAGATATTACTATTTTGGCAACAGGATATCTACATTTTTTTTAAACTGAGAGCAACACCTTCTGAACATCACTTGTGTAACACTTAGGAGCACATAAATAAGTGAAGGAAGGAGACTGGCCATATCCAAGACAATGCAGAAATGCTAAGCTAGAACATCTGAAGGACATTTCTTTGTGTTGAGAGTATTAAAAATCCACTTTTCTAGATATTTCAAAGTCTACAATACATTTAGTTGTTTATTATAGTCACCCTATAGTGCTATAGAGCACTAGAATGTATTTGTCCTATCTAGCTGTACTTTTCTATCTGTTAACCACCCTCTAGTTACCCTGTCCTCCACCTCTTCCCTTAGACTACATTTTTGTCAGTGTGCAACCTGTAGCTTGTGCCTGCTGTGGGCCTGTGAGGCTCACCTGTGTTGCAAGGAATAGCTTAGATGGATGGTCTAGGGCCCCTTTATTACAAGTATTAATGGCTGCATAATAGTGGCAAGTTTCCCTCCCTAAACACACACCACATTCTCATATGGGGAAGGTGGTAAGAGATATAGCATAATTGGGCAGGGCATGTCAGCGTTGGAATAGGCAGGAAGGCAGCAGAGTGCACCTCCAGACCCATCCATTGAAAAGGAAAGGAGAAGTCTGAATCAGGCTATTCATTGGCAAGAAGGTGTTGATTTTGGAGGTGGGGTATGGTGGGAGTGTGTAGCAAAAGGAGCAGAATCACAACTATTAAAATTTGTTCCAGGCACAAAAGGAAGCTTTGAGTGAGGTTAGAAGCAAATTTAATGTGCAAAGCTTATGATTTAACAATTATTTTGCTCTTCTGGGAAACTCTTCTCACCTTGCTAAAGGAGCCCAGTTGGCTGATTTTACTAAAGTAGCAGTTGTAAACAGCAGCAAGTATGGGCAAGATGAGGCAAGGCAGGCAGAGCTGTGGTAGAAGACAGAGTCCCAGAGACATCGTGGCTGGGGCAGTTTGTATAGACATACTTTTTAAGATGGTAGAGACTTGACAAATGAAAGAGAAACCCTTGGTGAAACAATGGAGTCTAGTTATCCTACAAGGACTCACCAGCATCTATTAAGGCAGCCCTTCAATTATGCAAATTATAGTCTAACTTATTCATGATAAAGCAGCACAAAGGTGACTAGAGGTATGAATTCTTATAAATCCTCAATTACCTCCCCTAGGCACATACATGAAATAAAGCCTCTAATTAAAACATAAGAGTTAGGTTAGCATGAAAAAGAAATTACAGCAACTTGGATTTTTATCTCTCCTATTCCCTAATTCACTTTTCATTAATTTGTTTTTTTCATTATTTGATTTATCAAATATTAATTAAGCATCTGCTATGTACTAAAAATGTATTAGGCATTAGGAATACAGAAAGAAATGTCGTTCAATCAAGTTTGCCTTTTGGAACTTTGCCCTGATAGAAGAGTCATACAGATACATTAATATTCATAAGTTAGTGTGATTGGCATTATGATAAAGATATGTGTAGAATACTGGGGGTACAGAAAAGGGAGAGTCAGGGAAAACTTCCTGGAAGAGTTCATGTTTAAGTTAAGTCTTAAAGGTTAAGAGCTAAGCAGATAAGGAAATGAAAAAAGATTAAAAATGTGGAATAATTCCAGGTAGAAGCAGCAGCATGAATAAAAGTACAGAATGAAACAGTGTGACACATTCAGGAAAATGCAAGCAGTTCAGTATGTAGGGCATATAGAAGGCAAATAGTGGAGAAGCAGGAAATGAGGCTGACAATATTGTTAAGGACCTGTATGCTAAATTTGTCTTTTACTTCTATTGTGAAATCAATAGATAGCCATAGAAGAGAAGTGATATGGTCAGATTCACACTTCAGAAATTTTAAGTGGGATCTCTGTGGGAGAATAGATTGCCCAGGGTCAAACTACAATATGATCTCGTGAAGTGATCTTGTTTATTTTATTGAAAGGTAATGTCTTCAATCTTTCTTTTTTGTACTTCTTACATTTAAGATCTGGAATTATAGGACTTGGCTGAGGAAGAGGGAGATGAACCTCAGAATGTCTCATAAATCTCTGGCTTGAGAGTCAGGGTAGATGTTGATGTTATTAATGAAGAGGGAAATCATAGAATTGGGAGGGTGAATTCAGTCTGAGATGTGTGGAATTCACATTGTCTTTAGGTTATCCAAATAGACACATCCTGTACACACTTTGACATGAGGGTTTTAAGCTTGAGAGAGAGGCCTGGATTGGAGACTGCAGTTTATAGGTAATGCAGATGCTCCCTGACTTATGATGGGGCTATATCTAAATCAATGCATCATAAGTTGAAAATATCATAAGTCAAAAACACATTTAATACTTCTAACCTACCAAATATCATAGCTTAGCTTAGCCTACTTGAAATGTGCTCAGAACACTTAGATTAGCCTACAGTTGGGCAAAATCATCTAACATAAAGCCTATTTTCTAATGAAGTGTTGAGTATCTCATGTAATGTATTGAATATTGTACTGGAAGTGAAAAACAGAATGGTTGTATGGGTACTCAAAGTATGGTTTCAACTGCATGTGTATCACTTTGGCACCATTGTAAAGTTGAAAAATCCTAAGTTGAACCATTGTAAGTCGAGGACTGTCTGTAGTTGAAGTTTTATGTAAGTGCATGGGATCACAAGGAAGAGTGTATAATATGAGAAGAGCATAGAGCTGAGTTTGGAGTCCTGGGTAATAATAACATTTAGTTGGTAGGCAAAAGCAATGTTTTGAAAAGCAGCTTAAAAGCAATGTTTTCAAAAGTGGCTTAAAAGACACAGCCATAGCCAGGTGTTGTGGCATGTGCTTGTAATCCCAGCTGCATAGGAGGCTGAGGTGGGAGGATTGCTTGAGTCCAGGCATTCAAGACCAGCCTGAGAAACATGCTGAGACCCTTGTGTCAAAAAAAGACACAGCCATAAGGATAGGATATAAATCAGGGTGGCTAGGGAAGAGAGTTTGGAGGCGTAGGAAACATTTAACATTGGGCAAATGTTACAGCTATCAAATAAGATAAGGGTAAACAATGCTTGCTAAATTTAGAAATGTGGAGGTCATAACCTTATAAAAAGTTTCAATAAAGAGGTAATGATATAAGTTACTAATCAATAGATAGAGGAGTCACTGGAATGCAGGGAAGTGGACAGGGGGAGTGTAGACTGCTCTTCAAGAAATTTGTCAGTGAGAGTGGCAGTAAATAAGATTGTAGCCAGTACCTGAGGTTGAGGGAAGATTGATTTTCTATGGAAGAGACTTGAGCATGTTCATATTTTGAGAGGACAGAGTAAGTAAGCACAGAAAAATATTGGAGATATAAGAGATGGGATACGGGTAATGAAACAAATTCAAGGCTCAGGGTTAGGAGGATGGGCTGGGCAATATCAAGTGTGCTTAGGTGGGAAGACTTAGTCTTGTATGGAGGAGGGACATTTGTCCCACCAAAAGATTAAGCAAGAACGCATGGAAATTTAAGTAAGTTTGTTAGTGGTGAAGGAGCAAGCTGAGGAACTTCTCTCATCTGATGGCCTTGATGTTTTTCATAGATTAGAAAGGAACGTTGCCTCTGAAAGTGAGGCAAGAAAAGGTGCATTATATTGTTTGAAGAAAGTGATAATTCTTTGAAGTAACCACTGGAGGAATAGGAGAGGGTGATATTTATGGACGTCAGGCTCAGTGAAACTAGAGTTGATGAATTTGTAGTGTAATCTTCACCAGCAGTGTCCATCACCCTGGAGAAGCTGAATGATTGGATTGATCCAGGGATGAGGTTTGGTGAGCAGGTGTGAAGGAAGGACAAAGGAACAAAATAAATAAAAATCATTTCAAGGGAGAAAGCACATAATGAGCCATAAGAACAAAGTAGACCCCGAAAAGCACTGATAAATTCAGAAAGTATGGAAAAGGAAAAGAGACTAAACACTGTGTTGAGAAGTAATAGTAGATTTATTGTCAATAAAGGTAGAGACAGCTGTATTAATATGAAAAAACAAAACAAAAACATAAAACTAGGATAGTGGAATTTACAATTTTGAAGACAGAACATTTTTGTTGCTGAAGAGTGGGTTGCCAAAATGGTGGTGAGACATTATTGAAGCTGAGCATATCCAGCAACTGTGAGGCCAAGGAGTTAAAGTCATTCTGGTTAATGACAGAATTGATGTAGAAAAACAGTGAACCTCCTTATTAATGTCCTTATTAATGTAGAGGAGCAGGAAGTAACAGTAACAATGTACTGTTTGGGTAACAGTAACAAGGAGGAATAGAGCAGGGGTTCACAAATGCAAATCCTACAGAGGCCTACAGGTGAGGGAAAGAAGCCAAATTTAAGAGAAGATACCCCACCTAAAGGAGGCAACCACCACTAAGCTTCAGAAGACAGTTACTATTTGGAAAGATGAGCCTAAAATTGCTAGAAATCTACATTTTGAAGATAAATGGCAAATGCCTTTTAAAAATGTGAAATTTTTCATTGTGAAATATTGGTAATTAATTTTAAAAAATACTGTGATGACCAAACAAAGCATCTCTTAAGTGTGAATGCAGTTCATGAGGTGCCAGTTTGCAACCTCTAGGATAAAAAGTAGTATGCCCAAATGGCCTGAGACACAAAGCAGGAAAGACTTATACAATGGTATCTTCACTCTTTCTTCTCTAGGCTATGGCAGACATCACTAATTTGATCAGATATGCAGAGCTTCCAGAGGCAAGTAAAAATCAGTTGTATTTGGCACACAAGGTGAAACCTTATTTGCCATAATGTTTCTATAATTTTCAAGAAAGTTTCTGAATCTTTGAACTTTCGTTGGTCTTTGAAAAAGAACAGGCATGCTGTAATGTTTCAATTCAGTTTTGCCCTCGCAGGATTTTCAGGTGGGCTTTCTTGTTGAATGTGTGCTTTGTATGTTTTCAGAAACCTCTTCACACCAGTAACTGTGTCTTAAAAATTTCCAGTAATGTGCTCAGAGGTCCTGAGTGGGAACTAGTTTAATGTTGAAGGTGAACAAACAAAACCTTTCATCTGTTCCCAGGTATGTCTGGCTTCTGGCAGCTTTGCCATTAATAGTTGAGAGCCTGTTTGCTGCCTGGAACACTGAAGGGTTGTTAAACAGCTCTCTGCCTTTTAAAAAGAGTGGGAGATGATTGGGAGGCTTCTAGACTGAGGCAAAAATTGAAAATATCATGCATGTTTAGCTATATGGTTTATTAACTCATTTGCTGAAGTGTGTACTTGATTTCTGTTAAATCTTTTTATGCTTAGGCATTTTTGCTATTGAGAGACTTTTCTTTTGGGTATTTAAATACTCAAATAACTCATTCATATTCAAATACCTCCTTTAACACATTTCTCATTTCCTTTAGAAGCAAAACATACTCTCTTTGCAGGAACTGTTTTCAGCCCCGCCCCGACCTCTCAAAACTCTGCACTTAGCCAGCTGTTTCCATGGCCAATGCTGTAAGCCCCCAGGCCCGATTCACGTGGCAGGAGGGGAAGAACAGCTGAAGCTGGAGCAGCGAGCTGCCTTAGCTGCCAAAGTCCACTTGATTCTGACGCAATGCAACTGCATTCTCCGTTTTTAATTTGTTCCTGTTCTGCTTTTGGTTTTCAGTCTCTACCACTATCCCCTCACTCTCCAGCGTCTACCCACCCTTTCCTCTTTTAGGTTTCTGAAAAACAGACCATTTGGTTGACCCTGCAAGGCTTCCAATTTGCCTATTTTGTCATGATGCCCTGTTTCTCCCCATCATGCTCACACTTGCTTCTAAAATGCCTCTGGCTCTTCTGGTGAGCTGCTGTCTACCTATTCCTGTCTCTGGCTCTGGGTCCTGTTGTCTGTCTCCAGCTGCCTGCCTAACACAAACTGCCTTACTGCCTGTGGTGTGTCATGGATCTGCTGATTTTCTGTGGCACCTGAAACAATAGAAGCTGAAAAATCCATGACTTCTGTTTAACTGTGCTTCTTCACAGTTTTCCTTATTAGACATTATGTGGTCAAAACTCTGAAACTAAACTCTTTAACTGAAGTACAGGTGTCAGCCCTCTGAGCTGAAGCTCAGCCATTATAACTTCTGTGACCTGCACATACACATCCAGGTGGCCTGCAGGGGCCAAGAAGTCTGGAGCAGCCAAAAAACCACAAAGAAGTAAATCAGTCAGTTCCTGCCTTAACTGATTAACCAAAATTACATTTTACCATTGTGACTTGTCCCTGCCCTACCTTAGCTGATCAATCAACTTTGCAACATTCTTCTTTTGGACAATGAGTCTTATGATCTCCCCACCATGTACCTTGTGACCCCCTCCTCTGCTAACAATAGATAACCACCTTTTACTGTAATTTTCCATTACCTACCCAACTCCTGTAAAGCAACCCCTTCCCCATCTCCCTTCACTGACTCTCTTTTCGGACTCAGCCCACTTGCACCCAAGTGAATAAACAGTGTTATTGCCCACACAAAGCCTGTCTGTTGGTCTCTTCACATAGATGTGCTTGACATTTGGTGCCATGACTCAGATCGGGGGACCTCCCTTGGGAGATCAATCCCCTGTCCTCCTGCTACATTTGGTGCCGTGACTTGGATCAGGGGACCTCCCTCGGGAGATCAATCCCCTGTCTTCCTGCTCTTTGCTCTGTGAGAAAATCCACCTATGACGTCAGGTTCTCAGACCAGCCCAAGAAACACCTCACCAATTTTAAATTGGGTAAGCAGTCTTTTTTTATTCTGTTCTCCAACCTCTCTCACTATCTCTCAACCTCTTTCTTCTTTCAATTTCAGCACCACCCTTCAATCCCTCCATTCCTTTCATTTCCTTTTCCTTTCTGGTAGAGATAGCAGAAACGTGTTTTTTCCATGGATCCAAAATGCTGGTGGCACTGGTCATGGACTCAGGAAGACAGTCTTCCCTTGGTGTCTAATCACCGCGGGGACACCTGCCTGATTATTCACCCGCATTCCAGAGGTGTTCGATCACCATGGGGACACCTGCCTTGATCCTCCACCTTGGTGGCAAGTACTACCCCCCCCTTTTTACTCCTCTTTTCTCTAAATTTCCCTTTTTTTTACTATGGGCAACCTTCTGCCCTCCATTCCTCCTTCTTCCCCCTTAACCTGTGTTCTTAAAAACTTAAAACCTCTTCAACCCTCACCTGACCTAAAACCTAGCATCTTATTTTCTTCTGCAACACCGCTTGGCTCCAATACAAACTTGATAATGGCTGTAAATGGCCAGAAAATGGCACTGTTGATTTTTCCATCCTACAATATCTAGATAATTTTTTTCATAAAATGGGCAAATGGTCTGAGGTGCCCTATGTCCAGGCATGTTTTACACTTTGTCCCCTCCCTAATTTCTGTTCCCAATGCAACTCATCCCAAATCTTCCTTCTTTCCCTCCTGCCTGTCCCTTCAGTCCCAACCCCAAGTGCCACTGAGTCTTTTGAATTCTCCTTTTTTTGCGGACCCCCCTGACCTCTCTCCCCTTCCTCAGGCCACTCCTTGGCAGGCTGAATCAAGTCCCAATTCTTCCTCAGCCTCCACTTCTCCACCTTATAACCCTTCTGTCACCTCCCCTCCCCACACCCAGTCTGGCTTACAATTTCATTCTGTGGCAAATACTCCCCCGCCTGCCCCAAAATTTCCTCTTTGAGAGGTGGCTGGGGCTGAAGGCATTGTCAGAGTGCGTGTACCATTTTCTCTATCAGACCTTTCCCAAGTTAATCAATGCTTAGGCTCCTTCTCATCAGACACCACAAAATATATACAGGAATTCCAATATTTAACTCAGTCCTACAATTTAACCTGGAGTGACTTAAATGTGATACTAACTTCTACCCTCTCCCCAGATGAATGAGAAAGAGTTTTTTCTCTAGCCCAGTCCCACGCTGACACCTGCCGACATCATGAGCCGGACCTTCAAGAAGGCATCAGGGCAGTTCCCCAAGAGGATCCCCGATGGGAGTATCAGGCAGGTTCCCCAGGTATAGCTAGATGAGATTACATGATTTCCTGCCTAGTTGAAGGGCTTAAAAGGGCAGCATACAAAGCTGTTAATTATGACAAAATTAAAGAAACTACCCAAGGTAAAGATGAAAACCCAGCCCAGTTCATGGCTCGTTTGGCAGCAACCTTGAGATGCTTTACAGCCTTAGACCCTGAAGGGCCTGAAGGCCATCTTATTCTCGATATGCATTTTATCACCCAGTCAGCTTCTGACATTAGAAAAAAGCTTCAAAAATTGGAATCCACCCCACAACAGGAATTAACCAGCCTCGCCTTCAAGGCGTACAGTAATAGAGACGAAGCAGCCAAGTGGCAACACATTTCTGAGTTACAATTACTTGCCTCTGCTGTGAGACACAACCCAGCTGCACCTCCAGCACACAAGAACTTCAAAACACCTAAGCCACAGTGGTCAGGCATTCCTATAGGACCTCATCCCTCAGGATCTTGCTGTAAGTGCCAGAAATCTGGCCACTGGGCCAAGGAATGCTCGCAGCCTGGGATTCCTCCCAAGCCATGTCCCATCTGTGCAGGGACCCACTGGAAATCAGACTGCCCAGATCACCCGGCAACCACTCCCAGAACCCCTAAAGCTCTGGCCCAAGGATCTCTGACTGACTCCTTCCCAGATCTGCTTGGCTTAGTGACTGAAGACTGACACTGCCCAATTGCCTTGGAAAACCCCTGGACCGTCACAGATGCTGAGCTTCGGGTAACTCTCACAGTGGAGGGTAAGTCCATCCCCTTTTTAATAGATACAGGGGCTACCCACTCCACATTACCTTCTTTTCAAGGCCTGTTTCCATTGCCCCCATAACTGTTGTGGATATTGATGACCAGGCCTCAAAACCTCTTATAACTCCCCAACTTTGGTGCCAACTTGGACAAAATTCTTTTATGCACTCCTTTTTAGTTATCCCCATGTGCCCAGTTTCCATTTAGGTTGAGACATTTTAACCAAATTATCTGCTTCCCTGACTATTCCTGGACTACAGCCACATCTCATTACTGCCCTTCTTCCTAATCCAAAGTCTCCTTCATGTCTTCCTCTTGTATCCCCCATCTTAACCCACAGGTACGGGACAGCTCTACTCCCTCCCTGACAACTGATCACACGCCCATTACTATCCCATTATAACCTAATCATGCTTACCCTGCTCAATGCCAATATCCCATCCCACAGCAGGCTTTAAACGAACTGATGCCTGTTATCACTCACCTGCTACAACATGGCTTTTAAAGCCTATACATTCTCCTTACAACTCTCCTATCCTACCCATCCAGAAACTGGACAAGTCCTACAGGCTAATTCAAGACCTTCACCTCATAAATCAGATAGTCCTTCCCATCCATCCTGTTGTGCATTTTTATTAAGTCTCTTCTTCCTTACTCTACTCTTTACAACTGCTTTATGCAGTCAACCCCTCCTTCTTGCACTGCACCTCACAAACTTTTTCATCCCTGCTATTTTCCTATTCACCATTCTCACCTACTCATAAATGCCCTGCTTTTGTTTACATTGCCAGTTTACACTTTTTCTCCAAACCATCACAGCTTATATCTCCTGGTGCTATCCCCAAACCACCACTCTTGACTCCCTCTTGTAATGGATAGGTGATTTTTGCTGGCAGGGCACACTCCAATACTTTCACCATGATGAAGTCCTATTCTTTACCTTTATACTTACTTTTAACCTCATTCCCGTTCTTATGCTGCCCTCTGCCCTTGAATATTCTTTAAGGTGTCTGTGCAGTCCCTGGTCACACTTGAAGCAGTCCCAAGAAACATCGCCCCTACCCCAATAACCCTCAGTAAAAAGTTATATTTTCTTTATCTTTTCTTATAGCTTTATATTTTATAAATAAAAAGACAGGAATGTCAGGCCTCTGAGCTGAAACTCAGCCATTATAACTTCTGTGACCTGCACATACACATCCAGGTGGCCTGCAGGAGCCAAGAAGTCTGGAGCAGCCAAAAAATCACAAAGATGTAAAACAACCAGTTCCTGCCTTAACTGATTAACCAAAATTACAACATTTTACCATTGTGACTTGTCCCTGCCCTACCTTAGCTGATCAATCAACTTTGCAACATTCTTCTTTTGGACAATGAGTCTTATGATCTCCCCACCATGTACCTTGTGACCCCCCCTCTGCTAACAATAGATAACCACCTTTTACTGTAATTTTCCATTACCTACCCAACTCCTATAAAGCAAACCCTTCCCCATCTCCCTTCACTGACTCTCTTTTCAGACTGAGCCCACTTGCACCCAAGTGAATAAACAGTCTTATTGCTCACACAAAGCCTGTTTGTTGGTCTCTTCACATGGACGCGCTTGACATAGGTTGCTGGGTACATAGCACTGAGCAACCGGTACTTTAGTTAAATGTCAGAGTCAGGGTTAAGATCAATAAAAGTTACAATACAGTAACACTTGCCTAGACACAGTGGGAAATCTTGTTTATGATGATTTCCAGATGAGAAGCCATTTTCTAGGTTGGAAGTAGGATGCATGTATGTATGTATGTGTGTTGCCATACATAATATCTTGCATTCTAGACTTCTGAATTGGGATTTTATGATTAAAAAAAATTGACCTTTAGGCTGGGCGCAGTGGCTCATGCCTGTAGTCTCAGCATTTTAGGAGTCTGAGGCAGGCAGATCACCTGAGGTCAGGAGTTTGAGACCAGCCTGGCCAACATGGTAAAACCCTGTTTCTACTAAAAATACAAAAATTAGCAGGGCATGGTGGCTCACACCTGTAATCCCAGCTACTTGGGAGGCTGAGGTGGGAGAATTGCTTGAACCTGGGAGGTGGAGTTTGCAGTGAGCTGAGATTGCACCACTACCCTCCAGGCTGGATGGCAGAGGGAGACTCTGTCTCAAAAAAAAAAAAATCTTTAAGGAATAATGACTACTTAACAAATTGAATAAATATGCTTCTTAATTTTAATCTGCCATATTTTTGTTTCCTGAAGTGACACATATTATTGTCTATTAGCCTAAGAATTAAAATATTACCACCCTCATTAGATCACCTTGGTTAATTTGATTTTTGTCTTCCTTGAAGTTGAATTCATTCTCATTTGATCTGATCTTTAGAATATGTTCACACTATGACAAGTATTATAGATATCTTGAAATGTGAAAATAATTTACCATTTACATTTCTATTATACATCTGGGAAATTAGTACAGTAATAATAATATAATAATAGTTGTCAATATGATTGAGTTTTTGCTATATGCTGGATATTGCACTAAGGGCTTTATTTGTATTATCTAATTCTGTCAACTGCCATTTAATGGGTTCTAATGTTACCCACATTTTACAGTGGGGAAAACTAAAATGCACAGAAATTTGGTAATGTGTTCAAGGTCATAAAGCTAAATTAGTGCCATAGCTGAAATTTGAGCCCAGATTTGTAGGTATCCCAAAGTCTGAGCCTCTGAACATCAATGAGCACCATTTCTCATAGCAATAATTTATGTTTGAAGTCTCTTCTTTGCTTCTACACTTCCCTTGAAATTTAAATACCTCTTTTACAATGTCATATAGTCATATTTAGATATACTATCTCTTCTTACTAAAATAATACATTCATGCAAATGTATTATTTATTAGAGGAGGTTGCATTAGAGGTTTAAATAGTAAGACATGGAACCAAAATGCCTGGGATGATATTTTAATTCTGCCACTTATTTTCTGTGACTTTCAAAAATTACTTTATCTCTCTGTATTAGTCAATTTTGGATTCCTATAAAGGAATAGTAGAGACTGGGTAATATATAAAGAAAAGAGGTTTATTTGGCTAATGGTTCTGCAGGCTGTACAAGTAGCATGGTGCCAGCATCTGCTTCTGGTGAAGCCTCAGGAAGCTTACAATCATGGTGAAAGGTAAAGTGGAAGCAGACATGTCACATGGCAAGAGAGGGAATGAGAGAGTGAGGAAGGAGGTCCCAGACACTTTTAAACAGTCAGATTACACATGAACTCATAACCATGGGGAGGGTACAAAGCCATTCATGAGGGATCTGTCCCATGATCCAAACATCTCCTACTACGCCCCGCCTGCAACATTGGGGATCACATTTCAACATGAAGTTTGGAGGGGACACACATCCAAACCACATCACTCTCTGAACTTCAGTTTCTTAATTATATAACTAGTGCTAGAATTTAGTTCATTTGAAATTTGTGAGGATTAAGTGAGATAACACATATAAATTACTTGCAATAATGCCTTCATATAGTATGTGCTGAAAAATAGCTTGACATATAATTTGTAGATACCCTAAAAGTTCTGTTATAGCTTGATTGTTTCTTTTGTTTCCATTCATTTATCTATCTATCTATATATACATGTATTCATTCATCCATGTGTTCACTAATTCATTTTCCAAACCTATATTGAGCACTGAGCAAGGATTTCCCATCTATGGTGTTAAACTCTGTAAAATCTTCTAGAGTCCACTTCTTTTAGTGGAATTCTTGCTTAGAGCAAGATTTTGAACAAGAAAGATTTTGATTAATTTCTGGGAGATTAGGATATTGTGCAGGTCAAACGGCAACATAGGACATTGAAACTACAAAAGTATTTGTAGAAGACAATATTTCACTTGCCACCTTTCTAGATACTGGCAAAGTTGTAGACACTTCAGAGATCTAATTTTATGAATAACACTAAAAATGCTATATAGGAGGTAAACAATCAACTCAAGTGCTATCATTCTTAAATTGTAGCTTCTTTATGATCTGATAATATTGGAAGAAGATGACCTTCTAATGGGATGGTAAATGTTCTTATGAATAATTGGTATGTATATACAAGTGAGGGGCCTTGACCATGGAATTAGCCCTCTGAAGTAGGCCTACTTTTCAAACATGTGGGCTCTGGCAAGAGACTAATGTTGTGGTCATGCATGGATTTAGATAAACTCTTCTGCATTTACATATAATAATATATTACCAAGATCCCAGGAACGCTGGCCCAGAGGTGGCAAAATGTTGGAGTCTGGGAGATATTATTTGTGCTAGTAGCAGATTTCTGATGTAAAGCAGAGAGTGTGGTTTTTTTTAGGATAAAATTGTGAGCCTCTGGCCAAGTGATGCTAAGAATGAAGATGAAATAAAAGCAATTTGCAACAAATAGCTTTAGCTTCTTTAAAGTACTACCAAGGAGGGTTCTCTTGTGGTGTTCTCATGAGACTGGTTTTCACTGACATTGCTGTCAGTGTCTAACACTCACAGTTGGATGGGTTCAGGTGTGCTGTATTAGGGCTTGTTACACAAAGTTGCCAGATACCTCTATGACTATTATTATTTCAATTTGAAGAAACTCTACTAGAGTATTATATTAGTCTGTCTGGGCTACTGTAACAGAATGTCATAGACAAGATGGCTTATAAACAACAGAAATTTATCTCTCACAGTTCTGGAGTCTGGGAAGTTCAAGATCAAGGCATTGGAGATTTGGTGTTTGGTGATGGCCCACTTCCTGGTTCATAGATGGCACCTTCTACCTGCATCCTCAAATAGCAGAGGGGCAAAAGACCTCTTTGTTGTCTCTTTTATATGGGTACTAATCCTATCAGTCACTTCCCAAAGGCCTCACTTCTTAATACCATCACACTGGGGGTTAAGATTTCAACATAAAAACTTGGAGAAGGGCACAAACATTCATTCTATAGCAGACATATAATATGATCACCTACTGTCAAAAATTACTTTGCACTAGTAGAAGGTGACATTGCTTAGGAATAAGCCCAAATTCACTGTTGCACATACTGCAACCTCTGCCGGTCATTCTCTTCTTCACTCATTTTTTGGCCAACTCCTACTGATCTTTCTTTCTTTCTTTTTTTTTTTTTTGAGACAGGGTCTTATTTGGTCATCCAGCCTGGAGTGGCACTGTCATGGCCCACTGCAGCATTGAAATCCCTAGGCTTAGGTGATTTCCCACCACAGCCTCCCAAGTAGCTGGGACTACAGGTACGCCCCACCATGCCCAGCTAATTTTTGTATTTTTTGTAGAAACAGAGTTTCACCATGTTTCCCAGGCTGGTCTTAAACTCCTGAGCCCAAGTGATCCAGCCGCTTTGGCCTCCCAAAGTGCTAGGATTACAGGCATAAGTGACCGCACTCAGCCGTGATCTTTCAAATCTTGGCTGAAGCATTTATTTTTCAGAGAAGTCATTCCTGATTCCTCAATCAAACTTATGCCTCTCATTACTGTTTTTATAATCCTGTTCCTTTTCTTTATAGAATGGATTAAATTTTGTAGTCATATATTTGTTCATTTAATTATGTGACTCATCTATTAGATTTTAATTTATAAAACAGTAGATTTTGTTCATCAATGTTTTACTAATCAGTGTATGTCCAATGTCTTACACAGTCTCTACTATATAGAAGGACTTCAATTTATATTGGTTGATTACTGATTGAGAAACATGCTTTTACATACTAACGGGAAATTGCCAAGAACATAAATAAGTAAAATGTTGAAGCTATGAGAGAAGACTGTATAGGGTAGGGTATCAAGGTCAAGAGTGGTCCCTTCTACCCTGGAGGTTAGAAATGGTTTATCAGGTGAAGTAATGCTTGAGCTGATTCTAGAAAAATTAAAAGTTAATTTCTAAATAGATGCCATAATTAATACAATTTGATAATTTTTTATTTGGCTGTTCAATGTTTTTCTTCATCAGATAGGACAACTAACTAAACTGAAAGTGCCATGGAGAGAGGAATTATATCTGTTTTGTTCACTTCTTATACTCAACATTTAGTACACAGTAGGTGGTATATGAGGGGTCTTCAAAAAGTTCATGGGAAAATGCATATTAGGAAAAAACTATGCATTGATTTCAATTTTTTTTGCACCAACATAAACTCATACTATCTTATTGCATCATGTCTGAACAGGATTTAGTTTGAGGCACTAAGAAGCCTAAGACATCAGTTTGAAAAGAGCTCTTATCAGAGCACCATGAATTCTGTGAAAATTAAAGCAAGAACAAACATCAAATTTATAGTGAATCTTGGTGAATGAATGGTGAAGTCATTGATGCTTCACATAAAGTTTATGGAGACAATGTCTCAAGGAAATCAGTACATTACAAATGGATAACTTGTTTTAAGAAGGGACAAGACAATGTTGAAAATGAAGTCTACCACATAGACCATCCACATCAATTTGTGAGGAAAAAATTCATTTTATTCATGCCCTTGTTGAAGAACTGACAATTAACAGCAGAAAAAAAAGTTCAATACCATAAGCATCACAATTGATTCAGCTCACACAATTCTGACAGAAAGATTAAAATTGAGCAAACTTTCTACTTGATGGATGTCAAAACCATTGGGACTAGATCAGCGGCACTTAAGAACAAAGCTTTTAGTGAAAATTTTGAAGTGGGGTCAATATCCTGAAGCATTTCTTCAAAGAATTATAACAGGATATAAAGCATGGCTTTTACCAGTATAATCCTGAAGACAAAACATAATCAAAGCGATAGCTACCAAAAGGTGGAAGTGATTCGTTCAAACAAAAGTGGACTGGTCAAGAGCAAAGATTATGAAAACAGTTTTTTTGGATGCTCAAGGCATTTTGCTTGTTGACTTTCTGCAGGGCAAAACAATAATAACATCTGCTTATTCTGAGAATGTTTGAGAATGCTACATTGCACCTGAGTCAATTACTTATGAGTTTACAACAGCTTGTGTATGGAATTCTCTAAGTCAGGATCCTAGTGATAAGAATTATCAAAAGTCACTGTGAATTGGTTGATTAAAAAATTGTGGCTCCAAATCTTGCCTCTTTCTAGATAAGCATAATCCTAGAAGGTTGAATGAACCTACAGTAGTGTTTTGAGTTTCTAGGTCGAGTGGGGGTGAGGCAGGATTTATTCATGGACAATTACAAAAGAAAGCACCTTATATCTCCTGGAGAAATTAAAATTGAAAAACAGATAGGCCAACCAGCGTGTGCATCAATGCATAGAATGAGATACAGAGGGGATGCAAGTATTTCTTCTTTTACTCAGTAAATATTTATCACACTTTTCTAGTTGCAGAGGATACAGAGTTATATAATACAGATATAGTTGCTTACTTCATGGTACTTACACTTTTGTGAGAGAGTGAGACAGAAACTGGGAAAATCATTAAAAATTTGAAGCTTGAAAAGTGTAGAGGAAAGCAGTAGGTGAGAAAGTGTAAAGCAAATCCTTGAGTTACAGCACTATGATTACAGATAAGGCTTATGGGTCATGCTTCTTTGACTATGTCCTTGGAAGGAAAACTGGCAAGGATTACAAATGAGTTTCAACAATAATAATCATAGTTACCATTTATTAAGATCTATATGTAGGTGGCATTTTGCTAGGTACCTCACATACTTTATCTATCTGTGAGATCTACCTGTGAAAATGTATTGTTTCAATTTTACAGATAAATTAACTGTGGCTCAGACTGGATGAATAGTGGCCCTAGATCAATCAGCTGCAAATGGCAGATATGGGATTCAAACAAGGATTTTTACTTCAAAATCAGGTTATTTTAGAAACGATGTGATGACTCACAAAACATGTAAATAAATAAATTCCAATGGAGGTGAAAAGATATTGAATATCTTTAGTCATCAAATAAATGAAAATAAAAATCACAATGAGATAACTTGCTATGGTTTGAATGTTTGTCCCCTCCAAAACTCATGTTGAAATTTAATTGCTATTTTAACAGTATTAAGAGGTTGGACATTTAAGAGGTGATTAAGTCATGAGGGCTCCATCTTCATGAGTACAATTGGTGATGGTATAAAAGAGTGAGTCTTGCCCTCTCTCACCCTGTCTTAGTTCTTCTACTTCCATGTGAGAAACAGTGTTCCTCCCTACTGGAGGATGCAATGTTCAAGGCACCATTTTAGAAGTGGATACCAGGTTCTTACTAAACACCAAACCTGCCTGTGCTTTGATATTGGACTCCTCAGCTTCTAGGACTGTAAGAAACACATTTGTTTTCTTTAGACACAGTCTCAAGTATTGTGTTTCAGGAGCACAAAATGGACTAAGACATAATACTTCAGATTCATTAGAATGGCAAAAATTAAAAACCTGACCATGCCAAGTATTTTCTGAGTTATGGAGCAATTGGAGCACTCATATACTAAAGTTGCCATTTAGTATAATGTTTAGGTCATTATCAACAATAGACCATATATTATGTCACAAAACAAGTGTTAAAACATTAAAAATTTGAAATGATGTCAAGCATCCTCTCTGCTCCTAATGGAATAAAACTAGAAATTAATAACAAGAGTAATATTGAAAACTATACAAATACATGAAAATTAAAGATTATGCTTCTAAATTACCAGTGGATCAATGAAAAAATTAAGAAGGAAATTAAGATAATTTCTTGAAACAACTGATAATGGAAACACCAAAACACAACATATCAAAACTTATCAGATACACCAATAGTGGTACTCAGAAGGAAGTTTGTAGCTATAAGAGCTTACATTAAAAATAACACTTCAAATAAACAACCTAACAATGAGTCTAGGAAAACTAGAGCAAACCAAACCCAAAATTAGTAAGAGAACAGAAAGAATAAGGATCAGAGCAGCAATAAGTAAAACAGAAATGAAAAGTAAAAACAATACAAAAGATCAATGAAACAAAAAGTTGTTTTTTTGGAAAGTGAAAAATGGACAAAGCTTTAGTCAGACTAATTAAGAAAAATAGAGAGATCTGTATAAATAAAATCTGAGATGAACAAAAAGACATTGCCACTGATACTGCAGAAATTTAAAGGATCATTAGTGGCTATTATGAGCAACTACATGCAAGTAAATTGGAAAATCTAGAATAAATTAACAAATTCCTAGATACATAAAACCTACAAAGATTGAACCAGAAAGAAATCCAAAACAAGAACAGACTAATAAGTAACGAGTTCAATGCCATAATAAAGTCTCTCAGCTAAGAAAATCCTAGGACCAGATGGCTTCCCTGCTGAATTTTACTAAACATTTAAAAAACTAATACTATTTATCCTCAAATTATGCTGAAAAAATAGAGTAGAAGGAAATACTTCCACACTCATTCTTTTAGGTCATTATTACCTTGGTACCAAAACCAGACAAAGACACATCAAAAAAAGAAAACCACAGGCCAATATCTCTAATGAATACTGATGTGAAAACTCTCAACAAAACACTAGCAAACCGAATTCAATAATACATTAGAAAGATCATTCATAATGACAAAGGGGGATTTACCTCTGGAATGCAAAGTTGTTTCAACATACGCAAATCAATCAATGTGATAAATCAGATCAAGAAAATGAAGGATAAAAACCATATGATCATTTCAGCTGATGCTGAAAAAGCATTTGATAAAACTCAACGTAATCTTATGACAAAAAAAACCCTCGAAAATTTAAGAATATAAAGAACATACCTCAACATAATAAGAGCCATGTACAACACACCCACAGTTAGTATCATACTCAGTGGGGAAAAACCGAAAGCCTTTCCTCTAAGATCTAGAGCATAACAAAGATGCCCAGTGTTACCACTGTTATTCAACACAGTACTGGAAGTCCTAGCTAGAGCAATCACACAAGAGAAAGATATAAAGGGCATCTCAATTAGAAAGGGAGAAGTCAAACAATTATTGTTTGCAGATTATATGATCTTTTTTTTGAAAAAACCTAAAGACTCCACAAAAAGCTCATAAAACTGATAAGCAAATTTAGTAATGTTACAGGATGCAAAATCAACATACAAAAATCAGTAGCATTTCTATATGCCAAGAGTGAACAATGTGAAAAAGAAATAAAAAAGTAATCCCACTTACAATAGCCACACGTAAAAGTAAATACCTGGAAATTAACTTAACCAAAAACGTGAAAGATTTCCTTAATGAAAACTATAAAACATTGATAAAAGAAATTGAAGAGGACACCAAAAAAATGAAAAGCTCTTTCATGTTCATGAATTGGAAGAATCAACATTGTTAAAATGTCCATACAATCCAAGCAATCTATAGATTCAATACAATTCCTATCCAAATTACCAATGATATTTTTCACAGAAATCGGAAAATCAATCTTAAAGTTTATGTGAAACCATATAAGACCCAGGATAGACAATGCTATTCCAAGCAAAAAGAACAAAACTGGATGAATCGCATCACCTGACTTCAAATTATACCGCAAAGCTATAGTAACCAAAACAGTGGGATATTGGCATAAAGATAGACAAATAAACCAATAGGACAAAATAGAGAACCCAGAAATAAATCCACAGACCTACAGTGAAGTCATTTTTGACAGAAGGGTCAAGAACATACAATGGGAAAAAGTCTCTTCAATAAAGGGTGCTGTGAATACTGGATATTCATATGCAGAAGAATGAAACTAAACCTCTATCTCTCACTATATATAAAGTGAAAATGTATCACAGAATAAAATCTAAAACTTTAAACTATGAAATCACCACAAGAAAACATTGGAGAACATCTCTAGGACATTGGGCTGGCCCAAAATTTCTTCAGCAATTACCCACAAGCACAGGCAACCAAAGCAAAAATAAACAAATGGAATCATATCAAGTTAAAAACCTTCTGCACAACAAAGGATACAAGCAATGAAGTGAAGAGACAGCTCCAAAAATGGCAGAAAATGTTTTTATACTACCCATCTGATGAGGAATTAATAATCAGTATACATAAGGAACTCAAACAATTCTATAGGAAGAATGAAATAATCCAAAAAAAATGGACAAAAGACTTGAATAGACATTTCTCAGAAGAAGGCACACAAATGGCAAACAAACGTATGAAAAGGTGCTCAACATCATTGATCATCATAGAAATGTAAATAAAAACTACAATGAGATATGATCTCACCACAGTTAAAATGGTTTTTATCCAATATACAGGCAATAACAAATTTTGGCAAGGATGGAGAAAAGGGATCTCTAGTACGCTGTTTGTTGTGAATGTAAATTAGTACAACAACTATAGAGAACAGTTTGCAGGTTCTTAAAAAGACTAAAAGTTGAGCTACTATATTATCCATGAACCCCACAGCTGGGTATATATCCAAAATGAAGGAAATCAATATATTGAAGAGGTATCTGCACTCTTACATTTGTTGCAGCACTTTTCACAATAGCTAATATTTTGAAGAAACCTACGTGTCCATCAACAGATGAATGGATAAAGAAAATGTGGTACATATACACAATGGAGTACTATTCAGCCGTACAAAGAATGAGATCTAGTCATTTCCAACAACGTGAATAAAACTGAAGATCATTCTGTTAAGTGAAATAAGCCAGGCACAGAAAGACTAACATCGCATGTTCTCACTTATTTGTGGGATGTAAAAATCAAAACAGTTGAACTAATGGACATTGAGAGTAGAGAGATTACCAGAGGCTGGAAAGGGTAGTGGGGAGCTGGGAGGGAGTTGGAAATGGTTAGTGTGTACAAAAATAATAGAATGAATAAGACCTAATATTTGATAGCACAACAGGGTGACTACCATCAATAATAACTTAATTTTACATTTTAAAATAACTCAAGGAGCATAATTGGATTGTTTGTAACTCAAAGGATAAATGTTTGAGGGAATGGATATGATTTTCCATGATATGCTTATGTAATATTGCATGCCTGTATCAAAAATATCTTGTACCCTATAAAAATATACATCTACCATGTACCCTAAACATTAAAAATTTAAAAAAATTAAAAATTCATAAAATTCTTAAGTTAATTACTATTAACAGTCTAGTCTCACTCTTTCTTTTTCTCTGTTTAAGAAAAATAAAATTGGGATAATCATAATATTTTGTGACCTCGGTTTTTACTGAATATAACATGAATATTTTAATGTGCCATCTAAAATTCTTCAGAAACATTATTTTGTAATGGTTATATATAGCTTCACTATGTGAATATAGTATAATTCACCTTAGCAATTTATAATTTTAGACATTTGGTGATTTCTAAATTTTGCTATTACAAAAAATGCCATAATAAATATCTAGGTAGTTAAATCTTTGCACACATTTCTAATATTTTATCTTGATGTAATTCTAGAAATGAAATTGATGGGTCAATTGAGTGACATTTTGATTGATATTATTAGAAGAGAAACATTGTATCGAATATCCATATCCTATTACTTTTCTAAAATTAAAATTTAATTTTTAATTACCAGGTAATGTAAAATTCAAATGTTAATGGTAAGAGTTTTTGAAGTTCCTTTTGAATTACCCTTAAATATGATGCCATTCTCCCTTCCTAGAGGTGCCTACATTTATCAATTTGGTGAGTATCCTTTAAAATACTTATATATATCTCCATAGAAAGGTTTCAGTATTATATGTTTATGTGTGTACACTTAAATGGCATTGTAATGTATCTATAGTTAGACAAATTATATTCTTTCAATTATATCTGGCATATATTTCTACTTAAAAAATTAGAAATTGTTTATTTTTTTCAGCTTCATTGAAGTATAACTTACAAATAAACATTGTATGTATTTAAGTTATATGATGCACTGATTTGTTACATGTACATATACATTGTGAAAAGATTACTGCTCAAGCTAGTTAATACATTCACTGCCTGAAAGTTACCTGTTTTTGTTGTTGTGGAAAGAACACTTAAGATCTATGCCCATAGCAAATTTCAAGCATACAATATCATATTATTAACTATAGTTCACATGCTTTACCTTACCTTCTCAGAAATTATTTATCTTATAACTGAAAATTTGTACCCATTGACCACCATATCTCCATTTCTCCTACCCACCCACTATCCTCTGGAAACAACCTTTCTACGTTCCATTTCTGTGAATTGATTTCTTTTTCTGGAAAACATTTATTTCTCAAGGTGACAAACATTCATATTAGGATTAATGGGCTCATCTTTGTTTTAAACCAAGGACCATTTCCTTTAGCTAACAATATAACTATTTAATTTTTAAAATTTTAAACATTTTTATTATAATTTTTATGGGTACAAGGGAGATGTATATATTTATGGGGCAAATGAGATGTTTTGATACAGACATGCAATGCATAACAATCACACCATGTAAAATGGGGTATTTAGCCCCTCAAGCATTTATCCTTTGTGTTAAAAACAATACAAATATACACTATTAGTTATTTTAATATGTACAATTAAATTATTATTGACTACAGTCACTCTACTGTGCCATCAAATAGTAGGTTTTATTAATACTGTCTATTTTTTGGTAGCCATTAACCATCCTCACCTCACACTCAACCTCCTACTACTCTTCTCAGCCTCTGGTAACAATCCTTCTACTCTATCTCTATGGGTTAAATTGTTTTGATTTTTAAATTCCATAAATAAGTGAGAACATGTAATGTTTCTGTTTCTGTGCCTGGCTTACTTAGCATAATAAACTTCAGTTCCACCCATGTTGTTGCAAATTACAGGATCTTGGTTTTTTTAAAGGCTGGATAGTACTCCATTGTGTATAAGTACCACGTTTTCTTTATTCATTTATCTGTTGATGGACATTTAGGTTGCTTCCAAATGTTGGCTCTTGTGAACAGTGTTTTAACAAACATAGGAGTGCCGATATCTCTTCAATGTATTGATTTTCTTTCTTTTGGGTGTAATCTGAGCAGTAGGATTGCTGGGTCACGTGGAAGCTTTATTTATAGTTTTTAAAGGAGCCTCTAAATTGTTCTCCATAGTAGTTGTACTAATTTACCTTTCACCAACAGTGTACGGGTGTTCTCTTTTCTCCATATCCTCACCAGTAGTTGTTATTGGCTGACATTTGGATATAAGCCATTTCAACTGGGTTGAGATATCTCATTGTAGTTTTGATTTGCATTTCTCTGATGATCAATGATGTTGAGCACCTTTTCATATACCTGTAGGTCATTTTTATGTCTTCTTTTAAGAAATTTCTGTTCAAATATTTAGCCTATTTTTGAATCAGATTAGTATGTTTCCACCTATAAAGTTGTTAGAGCTACTTATACATTCTGATTATTAATCCCACGTGAGATGGGTAGTTTGCAAATATTTTCTTTCATTCTGTGGGTTGTGTCTTCACTTTGTTGATTATATACTTTGCTGTGCAGTAGCTTTTTCACCTGATATTATCCCATTTGTCCATTTTTCCTTGTGTTGCCTGTGTTTGTGGGATATTACTCTAGAAATCTATGTTAAGATCAGTCTCCTGGAGAGTTGCTCTGATTTTTTTTCTAGTAGTTTAATAGTTTAAGGTCTTAGATTTAAGTCTGTAATCCATTTGTATTTGATTTTTGTATACAGTGAGAGATAAGGGCCTACCTTTATTCTTCTGCATACGGATATCCAATTTTCCCAGTACCATTTGTGGAAGAGACGGTTTTTTCTCCAGCGTGCGTTCTTGGCAACTGTGTCAAAAATAAGTTCATTGTAGGTGTGTGGATTTGTTTCTGAATTCTCTATTCTGATCCATCAATCTGTGTCTCCATTTGTATGTAGTATGCTGTTTTGGTTACTATAGTTCTGTAGTATAATTTGAAGTCAGGTAATATGATTCCAAATGTTTTGTTCTTTTGCTTAGAATAGCTTTGACTACTCTCGGTATTTTGTGTTTTTTTATATTTTTTAGGATTGCTTTTTCTATTTCTGTGAACAATGCCATTGGGATTTTGATAAGAATTGCATTGGATCTGTAGATTGCTTTGGGTAGGATGGTCATTTAAACAATATGGATTCTTTTAATCCATAAACATCAAACATTTTTCCATTTCTCATGAATTTTTCAATTTCTTGCATCAATGTTTTATTATTTTTTTCTAGAGATCTTTCACTGTTTTGGTTAACTCCTAGCTATTACATTCTATATATGGTTATTGTAAATGGGATTACATTATATATATTTTTTCTCATTGTTCTCTGTTGGCGTATAGAAATGCTATTGATTTATAATGTTGTTTCAGTATTCTACAATCATATACAAACAAGGATAATTTGGTATGTTGTATTATTATTATTTGCTTCAAAAAATTTTCACTTTTATTCTTAATTTCTTCTGTGACCTACTGATTATTCAGGAGCATATTGCTTAATTTCCATGTATTCACATAGCTTCCAAAATTATTCTTGTTATTAATTTCTAGTTTTATTTCTTTGTGGTTAGAGAAGATGCTTGATAATTCAATTTTTTCACTGTTTTAAGATTTGTCTTGTTACCTAACATATGGTCTATTCTTGGGAATAGTTCCTGTGCTGAGGAAAAGAATGTGTATTATGCTGACATTTAATAAAATGTTCTATAAATATCTATTAGCTCCTTTTGGCCTATATTGCAGATTAAGTCCAATGTTTGTTGATTTTTTTGTCTGGAAGATCTGTTCAGGGTTGAAAGAAGCAAGGTGTTGGTGTCTCCAGTTATTATCGTATTGGGCCCTAGCTCTGTCTTTAGCTTTAATAATACTTGCTTAATATATCTGACTGCTTTAGTGTTGGCTGCATGTATATTTAAAATTGTTATAACCTCTTGCTGAATTGTCCCATTTATCATTGTATAGTAACCTCCTTTTGTCTCTTCTTATAGTTTGTTGCTTGAAATCTAGTCTGTCTAATATATGTATAATAACTCCTGCTCTTTTTTTGTTTCTTTCGGCATTAAATATCTTTTTCCATCTCTTCTTTATTTTCTTTCTATGTGGGTTTTTTTTTTTTTTTTTTTTTTGGTAGGTGAAGTGTGTTTCTTGTAGGCAACAGATCATTGGGTCTTGTTTTTTATCGATTAAACTACTCTATGTTTTTTAATTGGAAAGTTTAGTTCATTTACATTCAATATTTATATTGATAAGTAAGGGCTTACCTCTGTCATTTTGCTATTAATTTTATGGTTGTTTTGTGTTCTCCTCTTTTTTCTTTCTTTCCTCTCATCTTCTAGTGAAAGTAATTTTCTCTGCTAACATAATTTAGTTTCCTGCTTTTTATTTTTTGTGTATCCATTGTATGCTTTTTGTTTGAGGTTACCATAAGGCTTGCAATTACTATCTTATAACCCATTATTTTAAGCTGGTAACATCTCAACACTACATAAACAAAGAAATAAGCAAATAAAAAACTGATAAAAGCTCTATGCCTCAACTAAATCCCCTTGCTTTTAAAATCTTTGTTGTTTCTATTAATATTTTATTGTACTGTCTATGTCTTAAAAAATTATTGTAGTTATTGTTTTTGACTGGTATATAGAGCAGTCTTTTTACTTTAGTTCAGAGTAGTTTATAAATGACAGTAACAGTGTTATCATATTTTGTGGGTTTTTTGTGTACTTCTATTACCATTGTGTTTTGTACCTTCAGATGATTTCTTATTGCTCATTAATGTCCTTTTCTTTTTGATTGAAGCTCTCCCTTTAGCAATTTGTAGAACAGAGTGGATGTTAAAGACATCCCTCAGCTTTTGTTTATCTGGGAAAGTTTTTATTTCTCCATGTTTGAAGTATAGTTTCACTAAATCTATTACAATTTTAGCTTTAAGGTTTTTACTTTAACACTTTAAATATGTCATGCCACTCTCTTCTGGCCTGTGATGTTTTCACTGAAAAGTCTGGTGGTAGCTGTATTGGAGCTCTATTGTATGTCATTTGTTTCTTTTCTCTTGCTGCTGTTAGAATTCTTTCTTTATCATTGACCTTTGGGAGTTTGATTGTTAAATGCCTTGAGATAGTCTTCTTTCAGTTGAATTTCTTTCATGTTGTATAATCTTCTTGTATTTGGATATTGATATCTTTCTCTAAGTTTGGGAAGTTCTGTTATTATTACTTTGAATAAATTTTCTACCCCTATGTCTTTCTCTACCTTCTGTTTAAGGCCAATAGAAATTAAACTCATCCTTTGTGGCTATTTTCTAGATCCTGTAGGCATGCTTTATTGTTTTCTCCTCTAACTGTATTTTCAAATAACTTGTCTTCAAGGTCACTAATTCTTCCTTCTTGATCAACTCTGCTGTAAAAGACTCTGAGGCATTCTTTAGCATACCAATTGCATTTTTCATCTTCAGAATTTCTGCTAGATTTAAAACGTATTTTAATATTTTCATTACATTTATGTGATAGAAATCTATATTTCTTCTTTGTGTTCTCCTGAATTTATTTTTGTTTCCTCAATGCAGCCATTTTGAATTCCCCTTCTGAAAGTTTGCATAGGTGTTTTTTTAGGAGGCTTCCTGGTGCCTTATTTAGTTTATTTGGAGTCGTGATTTTTTTTTCCTGAAATGTGTTTATACTTGCAGATGTTCTTCTGTGTCTGGGCATTGAAGAGTCAAGTATTTATTGTAATTATTACTGCCTGGTCTCTTGTGTTCTTGTCTTTCTTAGAAAGGCTTTCCAGATATTCAAAAGGACTTGGGTGTTGTGATTTAAGCTCTGACTTCTGTTGGGTGCATCATTAGCCCAGTAATGCTGTGGGTTTTGTAGATTTGTACAGGTGCCACCTTTATGGTCCTGGACAAGATCTGGGAGACTTTTCTGGATTACCAGACAGAGACTGGTGTTCTCATCCATTATTTTCTCCCAAACAATGCAGTCTCTCTCTCTCTGTGCTGTGTCTCCCAGAGCTGGGGATGGAGTGACACAAGTAACTCTGTGACTACCACCACTATGACTGTGCTGGGTCAGACCTGAAGACAATACAGCATTGACTCTCACCCAACCAGTGCTGTAATCACTCCCTGGCTACTTTCTATGTTTTCTGAAGTCTTTGGGGTTGTACAGTCAGCAGATACCAAATTAAGCCAGGCTTGTTTCTTGTGTTCCTTGCCTTTTGGGAGCTAGGGAATAGAGTCAAAAACCTTAGAAGCCTACCAGATGTTCTATTGTGCTGTAGCTGAGCTGGCATTCAAAACGCAAGATGGAATCTTTCCCACTTTTCCCTCCCCTTTCCAAATGCAGAGGAATCCCACTGCTTGGCCACCTCTATGACAGGTCCACAGGGAGTACTGCTGGACTACTGCCAATCTTCCCTTAAGGCCCAAGGGCTTTTGAATCAACTTGTGGCATGCAAAGAACATACCTCAATGTAATAAAAACTATCTATGACAAACCCACAGCCAACATAACACTGAATGGGGAAAAGTTGAAAGCATTCCATCTGAGAACTGGAACAAGAAAAAAATGCCCACTCTAACTGCTCCTGTTCAACATAATACTGGAAGTCCTAGCCAGAGCAATCAGACAAGAGAAAAATATAAAGGGCATTCAAATTGGTAAAGAGAAAGTCAAACTGGTGCTGTTGGTTGATGATGTGACTGTTTACCTAAAAAACCCTAAAGACTCCTCCAGAAATCTCCCAGAACTGATAAAAGAATGCAGCAAAGTTTCTGGATAGAAAGTTAATGTAGATATCCTTCCCTCAATTTTTTGATGGGGTTATTTGATTTTTTCTTGTAAATTTGTTTAAGTTCTTTGTAGATTCTGGATATTAGCCCTTTGCCAGACGGGTAGATTGTAAACATTTTCTCCCATTCTGTGGGTTGCATGTTCACTCTGATGGTAGTTTCTTTTGCTATGCAGAACCTCTTTAGTTTAATTAGACCCCATTTGTCAATTTTGGCTTTTGTTGCCATTGCTTTTGGTGTTTTAGTCATGAAGTACTTGCCCACGCCTATGTCCTGAATGGCATTGCCTAGGTTTTCTTCTAGGGTTTTTTATGATTTTAGGTCTAACATTTAAGTCTCTAATCCATCTTGAAATAATTTTTGTATAAGATGTAAGGAAGGGATCAAGTTTCAGCTTTCTACATATGGCTAGCCAGTTTTCCCAGCACCATTTATTAAATAGGGAATCCTTTTCCCATTGCTTGTTTTTCTCAGTTTTGTCAAAGATCAGATAGTTGTAGATATGTGGCATTATTTCTGAGGGCTCTGTTCTGTTCCATTGATCTATAGCTCTGTTTTAGTACCAGTACCATGCTGTTTTGGTTACTGTAGACTTGTAGTATAGTTTGAAGTCAGGTAGCGTGATGCCTCCAGCTTTGTTCTTTTGGCTTAGGATTGACTTGGTGATGCAGGCTCTTTTTTGGTTCCATATGAACTTTAAAGTAGTTTTTTCCAATTCTTTGAACAAAGTCATTGGAATCCAGTCTATCATTGATGGACATTTGGGTTGGTTCCAAGTCTTTGCTATTGTGAATAGTGCCACAATAAACATACATGTACATGTGTCTTTATAGCAGCATGATTTACAATCCTTCGGGTATATATCCAGTAATGGGATGGCTGGGTCAAATGGTATTTCCAGTTCTAGATCCTTGAGGAATTGCTACACTGTCTTTCACAATGGTTGAACTAGTTTACAGTCCCACCAACAGTGTAAAAGTGTTCCTATTTCTCCATATCCTCTCCAGCACCTGTCATTTCCTGAGTTTTTAATGATCGCCATTCTAACTATTGCAAGATGGTATCTCATTGTGGTTTTGATTTGCATTTCTCTGATGGCCAGTGATGATGAGCATTTTTTTCACGTGTCTCTTGGCTGCATAAATGTCTTCTTTTGAGAAGTGTTATTGTGGCACTATTCACAATAGCAAAGACTTGGAACCAACCTAAATGTCCAACAATGAGAGACTGGATTAAGAAAATGTGGCACATATACACCATGGAATACTATGCAGCCATAAAAGAGGATGAGTTCATGTCCTTTGTAGGGACATGGATGAAACTGAAAACCATCATTCTGAGCAAACTATCGCAAGGACAGAAAACCAAACACCACATGTTCTCACTCATAGGTGGGAATTGAACAATGAGAACACTTGGACACAGGGTGGGGAACATCACACACTGGGGCCTGTCATGTGGTGGGGGGAGGGGTGAGGGATAGCATTAGGAGATATACTTAATGTAAATTATGAGTTAATGGGTGCAGCACACCAACACAGCACATATATACATATGTAACAAACCTGCACGTTTTGCACATGAACCCCAGAACTTAAAGTATAAAAAAAAAGAAAGTTAATATACACAAATCAGTAGCTCTCCTATACACCAACAACAACCAAGCAGAGAATCAAATCAAGAACTCAATTCGTTTTACAATAGCTGCAAACAAACAAACAAACAAACAAAAAAACCTCAGGAACATACCTAACAAAGGAGGTGAAAAACCTCCACAAGGAATAGTGCAAAACACTGCTGAAAGAAATCATAGATGACACAAACAAATGCAAACACATCCCATGCTCATGGATGGGTAGAATCAATATTGTAAAAAATCACCATACTGCCAAAATGAATCTGCAAATTCAGTGCAATCCCCATCAAAATACCACTGTCATTCTTCACAGTTAGAAAAACAATTCTAAAATTCATATGGAACCAAAAAAGAGCCCACATAGCTAAAGCAAGAAGAAGCAAAAAGAACAAATCTGGAGACATCAATTACCTGATTTCAAACTATACTATAAGGCCATAGTCACCAAAACAGCATGGTACTCGTATAAAAATAGGCACATAGACTAATGGATCAGAATAGAGAACCCAGAAATAAACCCAAATATTTACAGCCAACTGATCTTTGACAAATGAAACCAAAACATAAAGTGAGGAAATGACACCCTCTCCAACAAATATTGCTGGGTTAATTGGCAAGCCACATGTAGGAGAATGAAACTGGATTCTCTTCTCTCACCTTATACATAAATCAACTCAAGATGTATCAAGCACTTATATCCAAGACCTGAAACTATGAAAATTCTAGAAGATAACATTGGAAAAATGTTTTCTAGACATCAGCTTAGGCAAGGATTTCATGACAAAAACCCAAAAGCAAATGCAACAAAAACAAAGATAAATAGCTGAAACTTAATTAAATTAAAGAATTTTGCATGTCCAAAGGAACAGTCAACAGAGTATAGAGAAACCCCACAGAGTAGGATAAAAATCTTCATAATCTATGCATCTAACAAAGGACTAATATCCAGAATCTACAATTAACTCAAACAAATTAGCAAGAAAGAAACAAACAATCCCATCAAAAAGTGGGATAAGGACATGAATAGAAAATTCTCAAAAGAAGATGTATAAATGGCCAAAAAACATATGAAAAAATGCCCAACATCACTAATAATCAGGGAAATGCAAATCCAAATCACAATGCAATACCACCTTGCACCTGCAAGAATGGCCACAATGAAAAACTAATTAAAAAAAAGATCTTGATGTGGATGTGGTGAACAGGGAACACTTTTACACTGCTGGTGGAAATGTAAACTAGTAAAATCATTATGGAAAACAGTGTGAAGATTCCTTAAATAACTAAAAGTAGAACTACCATTTGATCCAGCAATACCACTACTGCGTATCTACCCAGAGGAAAAGAAGTCATACGAAAAAAAGTACTTGAACACGCATGTTTATAGCAGCACAATTTGCAATTGCAGAAACGTGGAACTATCCCAAATGCCCATCAATCAATGAGTGTATAAAGAGACTGTGGTATATATATACAATGGAATACTACTCAGTCATAAAAAGAAATGAATTAATGACATTTGCAGCAACCTGAATGAGATTGAAGACCATTATTGTAAGTGAAGTAACTCAGGAATGGAAAATCACACATTGTATGTTCTCACTCATATGTCAGAGCTAAAGAATGAGGATGCAAAGGCATAAGAATGACACAATGGAGTTTTGAGACTCAGGGGGAAATGGTGGGAAGGGGATGTTTTGGGAACAGGCACCTAAACTGGCCATAAACAAAATCTCTGCAGCACTGTGATATGTTCATGATGACCATGACACCCACTCTGAAGGTTGTGGGTTTACTGGAATGAGGGCAAGGAAAACCTGGCCCACCCAGGTTGGCAAATTGCTTAAGGCATTCCTAAGCCACAAACAATAGCATGAGCAATCTGTGCCTTAAGAACATGTTCCTGCTGCAGATAACTAGCCAGAGCCCATCCTTTTGTTTCAGCCTATCCCTTTGTTTCCCATTTTAGTTAATCTACAGTCTATAGAAACAATGCTTATCACTGGCTTTCTGTCAATAAATATGTGGGTAAAACTCTGTTCATGGCTCTCAGCTCTGAAGGCTGTCAGTCACCTGATTTCCCACTCTACACTCTACATTTCTGTGTGTGTGTCTTTAATTCTTCTAGCGCCACTGGGTTAGGGTGTCCAGGACTGAGCTGGTCTTGGCATGTGGTGCCCATACATGAGGGTCAAACCTGGGTTGAAGTGTCACGGAGTGATGGTTGGAGAATCTGAAACTAAGCTGGAGGACACCTGAGTACTCTGAAGCAATCCCCGTGGTGAGTAAGAAGGGGAGCTCAGAAGCATCAGGGTAACAATGGGACAAGTGTGGGCTCTGGTTTGTTCCACCTTGGAACATTTTCCATTGATGATGAGGAGGAAGGAGAGTATAATGAAGTAACAGAAGAGGCGACAGAGCAGGTTTGTTTGTCAGCTAAAGCTAAAGTGGCAAAGGAGGGAGAGGTTCATCCCTACCCTTCTGCACCCCCTCATTATTTTGAAGAAAAAGAATGGCCTGACCCTCCAGATTTTTCTTTTCCAGAGGACACTGGGCAAAAAGTAGTTGCCTCAGTGACTGTTTGGGCAGTGCCTTGAGTGACCACTCTCAGTTCTATTCAGGCAGGAATCCAGCAAGTTAGACAAGAGGGTGATATAAAGGCTTGGCAGTTCCCTGTTAGTATACACCACCCAGATTAACAAGGAAATATTATAGTTACATTTGAGCCTTTTCCTTTTAAATTACTCAAAGAATTTAAGCAAGCTATTAATCAATATAGACAAGGTTCTCCTTTTATAATGGGACTGTTAAAGAATGTTGCTCTCTCCAGTCAGATGATGCCAGTGGTGACGGTAGGATTACTTCTAGGTAGATCTAGTTTAACTTTAAAAGGAGTGCAAGTACATACAGGAGTCATTGATTCAGATTACAATGGGGAAGTTCAAATTGTTATATCTACCTCTCTTCCCTGGAAAGCAGAGCCAGGAGAGTGTATAGCACAACTCCTGATTGTGCCGTATGTGAAAATGGGGAAAAGTGAACCTAAACGAACAGGAGGATTTGGAAGCGGAAATAAACAAGACAAAGCAACTTATTGGGTGAATCAAATTACTGATAAATGTCCTACCTGTGAAATAACTATTCAGGGAAAGAAATTTAAAGCTTTGGTAGATAAAGGAGTGGACATTTCAGTCATTTCTCTACAGCACTGGCCGTCCATGTGGCAAATTCAACCCATTCAATTTAACATAGTTAGAGTTGGTAAAGCCCCTGAAGTATATCAAAGTAGTTATATTTTGCATTGTGAAGGGCCCTATGGACAACCTGGGACTATTCAACCAATTATAACTTCTGTACCTATAAATTTTTAGAGGGGAGATTTATTACAACAATGGGGAGTGCAAGTTCTAATTCCTGAACAATTATATAGCCCTCAAAGTCAACATATGATGCATGAAATGGGGTATGTCCCTGGTATGGTACTAGGAAAAAATTTGCAAGGTTTGAAGGAATTGTTTCAATGGGAAGACAAAGTTCCTGCCAAGGTTTAGGATATCATTTTTGATGGCAGCCATTGTTAAGCCTCCAGAACCTATACGTTTAAAATGGTTAACAGATAAGCCAATTTGGTTAGAACAATGGCCAAGGTAAAGAGAAACTGGAGGCTTTAGCAGACTTCGTTACTGAACAGTTAGAAAAAGGACACATAGCTCCAACATTTTCCCCCTGGAATTCTCCAGTTTTTGTAATTAAGAAAAAATCAGGTAAATGGAGAATGTTGACAAATCTTAGAGTCATTAATTCAGTTATACAACCCATGGGGACATTACAGCCAGGATTGCCTTCTCCTGCTACGATTCCAAAAAACTGGCCTTTAATAGTCATAGATTTAAAAGACTGTTTCTTTACTATCCCCTTACCTGAGCAAGACTGTGAAAGGTTTGCATTTATAATCCCTGAGGTTAACAACCTGCAGCCTATTAAGCATTTTCATTGGAAAGTGTTGCCACAAAGCATGTTAAACAGTTCAACAACTTGCCAGATGTATGTAAGGCAAGCAATTGAACCTACTCTTAAAACATTTTCACAGTGTTACATTATTCATTATATGGATGATATACTTTGTTCTGTCCCACTCAAGAACTATTACTCCAATGTTATGATCACTTGCAAAACTCGATTTCTTGCATTGGTTTAATTATAGCTCCTGACAAAATTCAGACTACCACTCCTTACTCCTACTTGGGGACCTCAGTGAATACACTACAATAATGCCAAGAAAGTAACCATATGTAAGAATCAATTGAAAACATTAAATGACTTTCAAAAGTTAATAGGGGACATTAATTGGATACAACCTGCTGTAGGCATTCCTACCTATGCCATGAGTAATCTATTTTCTATCCTTAGAGGAGATCCTAGTCTCACTAGCCCTTGGCAATTAACAAAGGAGGCTGAGGCAGAGTTACAACTGATTGAAAAGCAAGTCAATAAAGCTCAAATAAATAGAATAGATCCAGAGAAGACTCTAGATTTGCTAATTTTTCCAATTCAACCTTCACTTACTGGTGTTATTGTCCAAGAGCAGTACTTAGTAGAATGGCTTTTTCTTCCACATACTAATTGAAGGACTCTAACTCCTTATTTGGATCAAATCACTACCATGATAGGAAATGGGAGAACTCAGATTGTTAAATTATGTGGATATGATCATGGAAAAATTACTGTCTTTCTCATGAAGGCACAAACACAGCAAGCTTTTATAAATAGTCTTACTTGGCAAACCCATTTAGTTGACTTTGTGGGTATTCTTGATAATCATTTTCCTAAAACAAAATTATTTCAATTTTTGAAATTAACTAATTGGAGTCTACCTAAAATAACTAAATTTAAACCAATTTAAGGTGCTGAGAATGTCTTCACAGATGGGTCTAGTAATCATAAACCTTCTTATTCTGGATTGAAAGGTAAAGTTTTTCAGATGTCCTAAACCTCAGTCAAAAAGCAGAGCTTGTAGCTGTAATTGAGGTATGGAGTGTGTTTGATATGCCTATTAATATGATTTCTGATTCTTCATACATGATTCATTCCACACAATTAATTGAAAATACTCAGCTTTGATTTCATATGAACAACTGATGACTTTATTTACCCAATTGCAAACAGCAGTTAAGAGTAGAATGCACCATTTTTACATTACTCATATTAGAGCTCATACACCTCTTCCAGGACCTTTGACTGCAGGGAATCGAATAGCTGATTACCTAGTTGCTACTGCAATATCTAATGCCAGACACTTTCACAATTTAACCCATGTTAATGCCTCTGGTCTCAAACACAGATACAGAATCACCTGGAAAGAAGCTAAAGCTATTATCCAGCAATGCCCAACTTGTCAAATGGTGCATTCTTCATCTTTTACAGGAGGAGTTAATCCTTGGGGATTGGAACCTAATTCTCTTTGGCAAATGGATGTCACACATGTTCCCTCATTTGGGAGACTATCTTATGTACATGTATGTGTGGACACCTTTTCTCACTCTGTCTGGGCTACATGCCAATCAGGAGAGTCTTCTGCCTGTGTTAAACATCACCTTTTGCAGTGTTTTGCAGTGTTGGACATTCCAGCTTCTATCAAAATGGACAATGCCCCAGGCTATACTAGCCAAGCTCTAGCTACATTGTTCTCTATATGGAATATTAAACACATTACTGGTATCCCATATAATTTTCAAGGACAAACCATTGTGGAAAGAATGAATCTCTCACTGAAACAGCAGTTGCAAAAGCAAAAAGGGGGAAACAGGGACTACAGGACACCCCATATGCAATTGAATCTAGCATTATTGAATTTAAATTTTTTGAGCCTGCCTAAAGGCCAGATGCTATCAGCAGCTGAACAGCATCTACAGAAACCAGCTGCAAAGACAGAAGCAGAACAACTGGTTTGGTGGAGAGATCCGATAAAAAGTTGGGAAATAGGTAAAATAATAACTTGGGGTAGAGGTTATGCTTGTGTTCCTCCAGGCCAGAACCAGCAGCCGATTTGAATACCATCAAGACACCTGAAACCTTATGATGATCCAGATACCTAGGAAGAGATTCCAGGAGGATCCTGAGGACCCCCTGGTTGCAGCCATGTTGAGACTGATGCTGAGGAGGACCCCAAGTGTCACAAGCAACACCCTTCGAACACAGCCACCTACCTGGCGACAGATCAAGAAGCTGTCACAGATAGCAGAAGAAAACCCGAGGAAAGTGGGGCAACCAGTCACAATGAGTAATTTAATGATAGCTATGATAGCGGTGATCACCATTGCTGTGAGTATTCCTTTAGCAATGGCTGACACAGAGAACAATTATACCTATTGGGCATATTTACCTTTTCCACCACTTCTATGGCCTGTAACTTGGCTGGACCCCCCAGTGGAGGTATACACTAATGATAGCTCTTGAATGCTTGGTCCTACAGATGATAGAGGCCCATCTCACCTACATGAGGAAAGAACCATTATGAATATTTCTTTAGGATTTGAACATCCACCTATCTGTTTGGGAAAGGCCACTAGTTGCATACTCCTCGCTATCAATCTTGACTGGCAATAATGCCTGGATGTAATCACTCTATGACACAATTACACATGCTTTCTGATCTCAGTATTTACCATAATAAATCTACTCCTATAATTGAGGCATACCACCCTCAAAAACCTATTTGTAAACAGAATTGGACCTGACCAGAAATAATGAACGTACTTGTTTGGGAAGATTGCATTGCAGAACAGGCAGAGGTGCTGCATAATGATTCCTGTGGAATCATTATTAGTTGGTCCCCTAAGGGGATGTTTAGCTTGAATTGCACCTCTCAGTCTGTGTGCCATGGCCACAGTATGTTCAGCTGGTCTGACCAAAATGGTCAGATGGTAGAAATGGTAAGAAGTATGGCAAGAGTTCCTATTATCTGGAAACATAGTGGTATAGTGGCACCTCAACCTCAAATGGTATGGCCTGCTGTAGGAGCTAAACATAAGGATTTGTGGCTACTATTAATGGCTCTTAATAAGATCAAAATTTGGGAAAGAATGAAAAAGGATCTAGAAGGACACTCTACAAACTTGTCTTTGGATATTGCAAAATTAAAAGAACAAATATTTAAAGCATCCCAGGCACACTGACCTTAATGCCAGGAACTGGAGCGCTTGAAGGAGCTGCAGACAGATTAGCAGCTAGTAACCCATTAAACTAGATAAAAACACGTGGAAGCTGTGTGACTTCAATGATGATTGTGCTTTTAATCTGTGTTGTTCGTCTTTGTATAGTCTGCAGTTGTGGATCCCAACTCCTGCGAGAAGTAGCTCACTGTGATAAAACCACCTTTGCTTTTAATGTCTTGCAAAAACAAAAAGGGGGAATATGTTGGTAAGAGGCCCCAAAACTGGCCACAAACAAAATCTCTGCAGCACTGTGACATGTTCATGATGGCCATGACGCCCTTGCTGAAGGTTGTGGGTTTACTGGAATGAGGGCAAGGAACACCTGGCCCACTCAGGGCAGAAAATTGCTTAAGGTGTTCCTAAGCCACAAACAATAGCACGAGCAATCTGTGCCTTAAGGACATGTTCCTGCTGCTGATAACTAGCCAGAGCCCATCCCTTTGTTTCAGCCCATCCCTTTGTTTCCCATTTTAGTTAATCTATAATCTATAGAAACAATGCTTATCACTGGCTTGCTATCAATAAATATGTGGGTAAAACTCTGTTCGTGGCTCTCAGCTCTGAAGGCTGTCAGCCCCGAAGGCTGTCAGTCACCTGATTTCCCACTCCATATTCCATACTTCCGTGTGTGTGTCTTTAATTCCTCTAGCACCACTGGGTTAGGCTCTCCATGACCGAGCTGATCTCGGCAGGAATGAGGGATAAAAGAGTACAAATTGTGTGCAGTGTATACTGCTCAAGTGATGGCTGCACCGAAATTCCACAAATTACCACTAAAAAACTTACTCATGTAACCAACCACTACCCATTCCCCCAATAACATATGTAAATCAAAAGTTAAAAAAAATCATATGAACAGAGGTGGGAGGAGGAGGAAGAGAGCATTTCTTAAAGGAAAATAAAGATTTCAGGTCAAGAAAAAGAGAGATTAATTAATTTGCAGAGAAAATCAACTAGTGACTTCCTATTTTCATATAAAATCAAAATCCCATTTATTTTGTCTGCATGGTGTAAAATAAACATGTTGTTAGAATGATTTTTCTCTGAAATAATCTAATTTTTGATAATATTTGGTCAAAATTGACTAGATATTTCATACTATAAGAGTCTGACATCTGCTATAATCTCATCCTACAGGCTGTCATAATGCTGAACTCCAGTAGCCACTTTTAATAAAATAATAAATTATTTTCAACTGAAGTACTTCTTCTTCTCCTCAAGCTCTTTGATTTTTGACATCAATACCCTAGAATATGCAATAACATATGCAATTATCTTTGATAATTATAAAAAGAAGGGGGAGAGCATCCTTGAAAATTAGTGTCTTTATGGAATCAAAGAGCTAGTTCAAGGTTGCAAAGAAAACACTTATACACTGTTGATGGGAGTGTAAATTAGTTTAACCATTGTGGAAAGCAGTACAGTGATTCCTCAAAGAGCTAAAAACAGAACCACCATTCAACCCAGCAATCCCATTATTGGGTATATACCCAGAGGAATATAAATCATTTTACCACACACACACAATCTTGTGAATGTTCATTGCAACACTATTCACAATAGCAAAAAGTGGAATCAATCTAAATGGCCATCAATGACAGAGTTCGTGATACAGACACACCATGGAATACTATGCAGTCATAAAAAGAATGACATCATGTCTTTTGCAGGAGCATGGATGGAGCCACAGGCTATTATCCTCAGCAAACTAACACAGGAACAGAAAACCAAATACCACACATTATCTCTTATAAGTGGGAGCTAAATGAAGAGAACTCATGAATACAATGAAGGGAACAACACACTGGGATCTACTTGAGGGTGGAGGGTGTGAGGAGGAAGTGGAGCAGAAAAGATAACTATTGGTTACTGGGCTTAATTCCTTAGTGATGAAATAATCTGTACAACAGACCCCCATGACACAAGGTTACCTATATAACAAATATTCACATATACCCCTGAACCAAAAATAAAAGTTGTTTTTTAGAAAGGGGGAAAAAACCTCTATGAAATTGGTCTGGGCAATGATTTTTTGGATGTGACTCTGAAAGCACAGGCAACAAAAGTAAAAAGAGACAAATGGGATTACATCAAACTAAAAAGCTTCTGCACAGAAGAAAACAATGAACAGGATAAGGAGACAATGTACTGAATGAGAGAATATATTTGCAAACTACACATTTGATATAGGGCTAATAACATTTGAAATACATAAGGAACTCAAAAGTAATAAAGCAATCTGATTAAAAATGGGAAAAGAACCTGAATAGACATTTCTTAAAATAAGACAAATGCTCAACAGGTATATCAGCAAATTCTTAACATGGCTAATCATCAGGAAAAAACAAATCAAAACCATAATGAAAATTTCTTGCCTATTAAAATGACTATTTTAAAAAAGCTGAAAGATAACACATATTGGTGAGAACATGGGGAAAAAGGAATCATGGTGCATTGTTGGTAGAAATGTAAATTAGTACAGCCATTATAGAAAAGAGAATGAAAGTTCCTCAAAAAATTAGTAATAGAACTACTATATGATCCAGCAACCCTATTACTGTGTATATATCAAAAAGAAATCAGAATTGCAAAAGGATAACTGCACTCCCATGATAAATGCAGCATTATTCACAGTAGCCAAGATATGGAATCAACCTAAGTATTTATCAACAGATAAATGTACATGGTTCTGGGTGGGGATCTAGGAGTACAGCAGCCATGATCAACCATCTTTTGCTCAACAACAGTGCCAAGATGTCCATCCTGGGGCCAGGTACCTGGAAGTCTCCTCCAGACCTGGTGACCGAGTCTGTAAATGTGGTGATTAACATTGGGTACTGCCACATAGATTGTGCCCACGTGTACCAGAATGAGAATGAGTCAGGGGTGGCCATTTAGGAGAAGCTCAGGGAGCAGGCAGTAAAGTGCAAGTAGCTCTTCATCATCAGCAATCTGTGGTGCACATGTCTTAAGAAGGGTCTGCTGAAAAAAACCTGCCAGAAGATGCTCAGTTACTTGAATCTGGACTACCTAGACATCTACCTTATTCACTGGACAACTGGCTTTAAGCCAGGGAAGAAATTTTTCCCACTGGATGATTCAGCCATTGTATATCCCAATGACACCAGCATTGTGGACACATGAGCAGCCATGAAAGAGCTGGTGGATGAAGGGTTGGTGAAAGCTATTGGCATCTCCAAGTTCAACTATTCTCATGTCAGGAGGATCTTAAACAAACGTGGCTTAAAGTATCAGCCAATGGTTAAAGAGATTGAGTTCTGCACATACCTAACTCAAAAGAAGTTAATCCAGTACTGCCAGTCCAAAGGCATCATGGTGACTGCCTATAGCCCCCTTGACTGTCTGGACAGGCCCTGGGCAAAGCTCAAGGATTCTTCTGTCCTGGAGGATGCCAGAAGCAAGGTGATCACAGTCAAACATAATAAAACTACAGCTCAGGTTCTGATTTGATTTCCCATTCAGAGAAACTTGGTGGTGAATCCCAAGTCTGTGACACAAAAATGCATTGCAGAGAACTTTAAGGCCTTTTACTTTGAACTAAGCAGCAAGGATATGACCACCTTACCTAGCTACAACAGAAACTGTGCCTTGGTAAGCTGTACCTCGCACAAGGATTACCCCTTCTAGGAAGAATTTTGAAGCTGTGGATGCCTGCTCATCTCCAAGTGAACTACATCTGTTTTTCCTGCCTCATTTTATTCTTGCCAATATAATGTGGCCTGTGACACTCAGTGGTGAGACAGCCATCTATAGATTGACCAGCGAGGGCTTGCCTGGCTTGATGTTGTGTCTGAAGAGCAATACCCATAGAGTAGAAGTTTCTTCCAGTTTTCTTTGCCCCCATTTTTGCCCAGCTGGGGAAAGTACAATCTGAATACCCTTTTATGACTAAGGAGAAAAACAATCTACAAGGTCAAAATAGTGCAACTAACAGTTGAGATTTGACTGCTCGGAATTTTAATCCTTTCAGCAAGACTTCTTTTTGCCTCAAATAAGAAGTGTTTTTGTGAGCTTGGAAAAAAACCCAAACAGATAAATGGATGAAAGAAAATGTGATAAATATATGTAATGGAATAGTATTCAGCCATAAAAACAGAAATCATGTCATTTGGGATGACATCAATGAATCTCAAGGACATTATGTTAAGTGCAATAAGCCAGGCACTGAGAGACTTTATGATCTTGCTGATATGTGGAATCTAAAAATGTCAAACTCATAGAATGAGAGAGTAAAATGGTGGTTACCGGAGACTGAGGTAGGGGGATTGAAGAGATGTCAGTTGAAAAATACAAAATTTCAGTTAGACGGGAGGAAGAAGTTAATGTGCAAGATGTCAGTTGCACATCATGTTTACTATAGTCAATGACAACATATTATATACTTGAAAATTGCTAAGAGAATATATTTTAAATGTTCTAACAACAAAAAAATGAGGTAATGTGTATGTTAATTAGCTTGATTTAATTATTCTGCAATGTATATATTTTCTACCATAAATATACCTTAAATAGATACAAGAAAAGCAATTTAAAAAAGAGAATTAAAGAGATAGTTACTTAAAATTCTACATGTGTTCCTAAATTTTAAAAAGCAAGAAACCAAAGTCTTAACTAGGAATATAAATAAATTTACATAATATCTACACAGGAACATACAGAGCGGAAAAATAGACATTGGAGACTACAAAAGGTAAAAATGTGGGTTGGGGATGAAGGTTGAAGAATTACCTATTTGGTACAATTTTCATTATTCAGGTGATGCATAGACTAAAAGGCCATACTTCACCATTACACAATATATACATGTAAAAAATCTGTACTTATAGCCCCTAAATATATAAAAAATAAACAAAACAAAAAATACTAAAAATAATTTCCATAATATGACAAAATATTCTCCGGTCAATACATAAGTTTATGTCTGATCATAAGAAATTAGAGATATTTTAATAAAATCTGTTTCTACTGCCATGGTTTCAATATTTTTTCTAGATATTCTACCTAATGTGATAAAAGGAGGAAAAAGTATGTATATTAGAAAGGAAGACACAAAATTATCACTATTTACAATCGTAAGATTGTTTCTTAGTAAAATTCAGAGAATCATCTAAAAAAATCATTGGGGAAAATAAAAATTCAATAACATTTCCAGTTGTAAAATACAAGGCAAGATTTCAGTTTTATTGTATACCTACAATAAGAAATTAACACATATAATGGGGAAAATCCTATTTATAAGAACAACGTATGTATCAAGAAATATGTAGAGACCTTTATGGGAAAACTATTAGGCCTTATGGATGTACATGAAAAAATGATTGGCCGGGTGCGGTGGTTCACGCCTGTAATTCCAGCAATTTGGGAGTCTGAGGTGGGCAGATCACATGAGGCCAGGAGTTCAAGACCATCCTGACCAACATGGAGAAACCCACTCTCTACAAAAAATACAAAAATTAGCTGGTCATGGTGGTACACATCTGTAATCCTAGCTACTTGGGAGGCTGAGGCATGAGAATCAGTTGAACCTGGGAGACAGAGGTTGTAGTGAGCTGAGATCATGCCACGGCACTCCAGGCTGGGTGACAGAGTAGGACTCTGTCTCAAAAAAAAAAGTGATTAAGTGGAGATTCCTATTTCTAGATTGGAAGACTATATTGTACTGATGCCTATTCTCTCCCAGAGAATATATATGCATACATGTAATACAATTCCAATAAAATTCCAGAGCTACAATGGTATCTATAATATGTTGCTAGTGCTAGAATAAGCACCTATATAAATGGTAAAGAAAAGAAAACCCCTTCATTTACTTTAAACATTTAATATTTAATATATGATTAAAATTTATTTGGCTTATTTTCACATTCCTGTTTGTTCTACTTATGGATAGTTGTAGATAAAGATGTAGATATAGTTACAGTGTTATCCTTTCAAATTCACTTTATTTCATTCATGTCTCTTTTACAAATTCCTTCATTGAGTTTACGGTTTTGATGTCATCTGTGTTTCGCAACAGATCAGCGGGTCTTGTTTTTAAAGTCCATTCAGCCACTCTATGTTTTTTGAATGGAGAGTGTAATTCATTTACATTTCATTTTATTTTTATTTATTTAATTTTCTTTATTTCATTATTCTACTTTAAGTTTTAGGGTGCATGTGCACAATGTGCAGGTTAGTTACATATGTATACATGTGCCATGCTGGTGTGCCGCACCCATTAACTCGTCATTTAGCATTAGGTATATCTCCTAATGCTATCCCTCCCCCCTCCCCCCACCCCACAACAGACCCCAGAGTGTGATGTTCCCCTTCCTGTGTCTATGTGTCCTCATTGTTCAATTCCCACCTATGAGTGAGAATATGCGGTGTTTGGTTTTTTTGTTCTTGTGATAGTTTACTGAGAATGATGATTTCCAGTTTCATCCATGTCCCTACAAAGGACACGAACTCATCATTTCTTATGGCTGCATAATATTCCATAGTGTATATGTGCCACATTTTCTTAATCCAGTCTATCGTTGTTGGACATTTGGGTTGGTTCCAAGTCTTTGCTATGGTGAATAGTGCCGCAATAAACATACGTGTGCATGTGTCTTTATAGCAGCATGATTTATACTCATTTGGGTATATACCCAGTAATGGGATGGCTGGGTCAAATGGTATTTCTAGTTCTAGATCCCTGAGGAATGGCCACACTGACTTCCGCAATGAATGAACTAGCTTACAGTCCCACCAACAGTGTAAAAGTGTTCCTATTTCTCCACATCCTCTCCAGCACCTGTTGTTTCCTGACTTTTTAATGATTGCCATTCTAACTGGTGTGAGATGGTAACTCATTGTGGTTTTGATTTGCATTTCTCTGATGGCCAGTGATGATGAGCATTTTTTCACGTGTTTTTTGGCTGCATAAATGTCTTCTTTTGAGAAGTGTCTGTTCATGTCCTTTGCCCACTTTTTGATAGGGTTGTTTGTTTTTTTCTTGTAAATTTGTTTGAGTTCATTGTAGATTCTGGATATTAGCCCTTTGTCAGATGAGTAGGTAGCGAAAATTTTCTCCCATTCTGTAGGTTGCCTGTTCACTCTGATGGTAGTTTCTTTTGTTGTGCAGAAGCTCTATAGTTTAATTAGATCCCATTTGTCAATTTTGGCTTTTGTTGCCATTGCTTTTGGTGTTTTAGACATGAAGTCCTTGCCCATGCCTATGTCCTGAATGGTAATGTCTAGATTTTCTCCTAGGGTTTTTATGGTTTTAGGTCTAACGTTTAAGTCTTTAATCCATCTTGAATTAATTTTTGTATAAGGTGTAAGGAAGGGATCCAGTTTCAGCTTTCTACATATGGCTAGCCAGTTTTCCCAGCACCATTTATTAAATAAGGAATCCTTTCCTCATTGCTTGTTTTTCTCAGGTTTGTCAAAGATCAGATAGTTGTAGATATGCTGCATTATTTCTGAGGGTTCTGTTCTGTTCCATTGATCTCTATCACTGTTTTGGTACCAGCACCATGCTGTTTTGGTTACTGTAGCCTTGTAGTATAGTTTGAAGTTAGGTAGCATGATGCCTCCAGCTTTGTTCTTTTGGCTTAGGATTGAATTGGAGATGCAGGCTCTTTTTTGGTTCCATATGAACTTTAAAGTAGGTTTTTCCAATTCTGTGAAGAAAGTCATTGGTAGCTTGATGAGGATGGCATTGAATCTGTAAATTACCTTGGGCAGTATGGCCATTTTCATGATATTGATTCTTCCTACCCATGAGCATGGAATGTTCTTCCATTTTTTTGTATCCTCTTTTATTTCCTTGAGCAGTGGTTTGTAGTTCTCCTTGAAGAGGTTCTTCACGTCCCTTGTAAGTTGGATTCCTAGGTATTTTATTCTCTTTGAAGCAATTGTGAATGGGAGTTCACTCATGATTTGGCTCTCTGTTTGTCTGTTATTGGTGTATAAGAATGCTTGTGATTTTTGTACATTGATTTTGAATCCTGAGACTTTGCTGAAGTTGCTTATCAGCTTAAGGAGACTTTGGGCTGAGACAATGGGGTTTCCTAGATATACAGTCATGTCATCTGCAAACAGGGACAATTTGACTTCATCTTTTGCTAATTGAATACCCTTTATTTCCTTCTCCTGCCTAATTACCCTGGCCAGAACTTCCAACACTATGTTGAATAGGAGTGGTGAGAGAGGGCATCCCTGTCTTGTGCCAGTTTTCAAAGGGAATGCTTCCAGTTTCTGCCCATTCAGTATGATATTGGCTGTGAGTTTGTCACAGATAGCTCTTATTATTTTGAGATACATCCCATCGATACCTAATTTATTGAGAGTTTTTAGCATGAAGTGTTGTTGAATTTTGTCAAAGGCCTTTTCTGCATCTATTGAGATAATCATGTGGTTTTTGTCTTTGGTTCTGTTTATATGCTGGATTACATTTATTGATTTGCATATATTGAACCAGCCTTGCATCCTAGGGATGAAGCACACTTGATCATGGTGGATAAGCTTTTTGATATGCTGCTGGATTCGGTTTGCCAGTGTTTTATTGAGGATTTTTGCATCAGTGTTCATCAAGGATATTGGTCTAAAATTCTCTTTTTTGGTTGTGTCTCTCCCCGGCTTTGGTATCAGGATGATGCTGGCCTCATCAAATGAGTTAGGGAGGATTTCTATTGATTGGAATAGTTTCAGAAGGAATGGTACCAGTTCCTCCTTGTACCTTTGGTAGAATTCGGCTGGGAATCCATCTGGTCCTGGACTCTTTTTGGTTGGTAAGCTATTGATTATTGCCACAATTTCAGAGCCTGTTATTGGTCTATTCAGAGATTCAACTTCTTCCTGGTTTAGTCTTGGGAGAGTGTATGTGTCGAGAAATTTATCCATTTCTTCTAGATTTTCTAGTTTATTTGCATAGAGGTGTTTGTAGTATTCTCTGATGGTAGTTTGTATTTCTGTGGGATCGGTGGTGATATCCCCTTTGTCATTTTTTATTGTGTCTATTTGATTCTTCTCTTTTTTCTTCTTTATTAGTCTTGCTAGTGGTCTATCAGAATGTGTTTGCTCTTGCTTTTCTAGTTCTTTTAATTGTGATGTTAGGGTGTCAATTTTAGATCTTTCCTGCTTTCTCTTGTGGGCATTTAGTGCTATCAATTTCCCTCTACACAGTGCTTTGAATGTGTCTCAGAGATTCTGGTATGTTGTGTCTTTGTTCTCGTTGGTTTCAAAGAACATATTTATTTCTGCCTTCATTTTGTTATGTACCCAGTAGTCACTCAGGAGCAGGTTGTTCAGTTTCCATGTAGTTGAGTGGTTTTGAGTGAGTTTCTTAATCCTGAGTTCTAGTTTGATTGCACTGTGGTCTGAGAGACAGTTTGTTATAATTTCTGTTCTTTTACATTTGCTGAGGAGAGCTTTACTTCCAACTATGTGGTCAATTTTGGAATAGGTGTGGTGTGGTGCTGAAAAAAATGTATATTCTGTGGATTTGGGGTGGAGAGTTCTGTAGATGTCTATTAGGTCCACTTGGTGCAGAGCTGAGTTCAATTCCTGGGTATCCTTGTTAACTTTCTGTCTCGTTGATCTGTCTAATGTTGACAGTGGGGTGTTAAAGTCTCCCATTATTATTGTGTGGGAGACTGAGTCTCTTTGTAGGTCACTCAGGACTTGCTTTATGAATCTGGGTGCTCCTGTATTAGGTGCATATATATTTAGTATAGTTAGGTCTTCTTGTTGAATTGATCTCTTTACCATTATGTAATGGCTTCCTTTGTCTCTTTTGATCTTTGTTGGTTTAAAGTCTGTTTTATCAGAGGCTAGGATTGCAACCCCTGCCTTTTTTTGTTTTCCATTTGCTTGGTAGATCTTCCTCCATCCTTTTATTTTGAGCCTATGTGTGTCTCTGCACATGAGATGGGTTTCCTGAATACAGCGCACTGATGGGTCTTGACTCTTTATCCAATTTGTCAGTCTGCATCTTTTAATTGGAGCATTTAGCCCATTTACATTTAAAGTTAATATTGTTATGTGGAATTTGATCCTGTCATTATGATGTTCGCTGGTTATTTTGCTCGTTAGTTGATGCAGTTTCTTCCTAGCCTCGATGGTCTTTAGAATTTGGCATGATTTTGCAGTGGCTGGTACTGGTTGTTCCTTTCCATGTTTAGTGCTTCCTTCAGGAGCTCTTTTAGGGCAGGCCTGGTGGTGACAAAATCTCTCAGCATTTGCTTCTATGTAAAGTATTTTATTTCTCCTTCACTTATGAAGCTTAGTTTGGCTGGATATGAAATTCTGGGTTGAAAATTCTTTTCTTTAAGACTGTTGAATATTGGCCCCCACTCTCTTCTGGCTTGTAGAGTTTCTGCAGAGAGATCCACTGCTAGTCTGATGGGCTTCCCTTTGTGGGTAACCTGACCTTTCTCTCTGGCTGCCCTTAACATTTTTTCCTTCATTTCAACTTTGGTGAATCTGACAATTATGTGTCTTGGAGTTGCTCTTCTTGAGGGGTATCTTTGTGGAGTTCTCTGTATTTCCTGAATTTGAATGTTGGCCTGCCTTGCTAGATTGGGGAAGTTCTCCTGGATAATATCCTGCAGAGTGTTTTCCAACTTGGTTCCATTTTCCCCGTCACTTTCAGATACACCAATCAGACGTAGATTTGGTCTTTTCACATAGTCCCATATTTCTTGGAGGCTTTGCTCGTTTCTTTTTATTCTTTTTTCTCTAAACTTCCCTTCTCGCTTCATTTCATTCATTTCATCTTCCATCACTGATACCCTTTCTTCCAGTTGATCGCATCGGCTCCTGAGGCTTCTGCATTCTTCACGTAGTTCTTGAGCCTTGGCTTTCAGCTCCATCAGCTCCTTTAAGCACTTCTCTGTATTGGTTATTCTAGTTATACATTCGTCTAAATTTTTTTCAAAGTTTTTAACTTCTTTGCCTTTGGTTTGAATTTCCTCCTGTAGCTCAGAGTAGTTTGATCATCTGAAGCCTTCTCTCAACTCGTCAAAGTCATTCTCCGTCAAGCTTTGTTCCATTGCTGGTGAGGAACTGCGTTCCTTTGGAGGAGGAGAGGAGCTCTGCTTTTTAGAGTTTCCAGTTTTTCTGCTCTGTTTTTTCCCCATCTTTGTGGTTTTATCTACTTTTGGTCTTTGATGATGGTGATGTACAGATGGGTTTTTGGTGTGGATATCCATTCTGTTTGTTAGTTTTCCTTCCAACAGACAGGACCCTTAGCTGCAGGTCTGTTGGAGTTTGCTAGAGGTCCACTCCAGACCCTGTTTGCTTGGGTATCAGCAGCGGTGGCTGCAGAACAGCAGATTTTCGTGAACGGTGAATGCTGCTGTCTGATCGTTCCTCTGGAAGTTTTGTCTCAGAGGAGTACCCGGCTGTGTGAGGTGTCAGTCTGCCCCTACTGGGGGGTGCCTCCCAGTTAGGCTGCTCGGGGGTCAGGTGTCAGGGACTCACTTGAGGAGGCAATCTGCCCATTCTCAGATCTCCAGCTGCATGCTGGGATAACCACTGCTCTCCTGAAAGCTGTCAGACAGGGACATTTAAGTCTGCAGAGGTTACTGTTGTCTTTTTGTTTTTCTGTGCCCTGCCCCCAGAGGTGGAGCCTACAGAGGCAGGCAGGCCTCCTTGAGCTGTGGTGGGGTCCACCCAGTTCGAACTTCCCAGCTGCTTTGTTTACCTAAGCAAGCCTGGGCAATTGTGTGCACCCCTCCCCCAGCCTCACTGCCGCCTTGCAGTTTGATCTCAGACTGCTGTGCTGGCAATCAGCGAGACTCCATGGGCATAGGACCCTCTGAGCCATGTGCGGGATATAATCTCCTGCTTCACCGTTTTTTAAGCCCTTTGGAAAAGTGCAGTATTAGTATGGGAGTGACCCGATTTTCCAGGTGCCATCTGTCACCCCTTCTTGGACTAGGAAGGGGAACTCCATGACCCCTTTGCCTCCCGAGTGAGGCAATGCCTTGCCCTGCTTCAGCTCGCGCAAGGTGCGCTGCACCCACTGTCCTGGGCCCACTGTCTGGCACTCCCTAGTGAGATGGACCCGGTACCTCAGATGGAAATGCAGAAATCACCCATCTTCTGCGTTGCTCACGCTAGGAGCTGTAGACTGGAGCTGTTCCTATTTGGCCATCTTGGCTGCCTGACCTCATATTGAATTTTATTATTGATAATTTGTTAATTGTTTTATGGCTGTTTTGCAGTTTTTCTTCCTTCTTTTCTTTCTTTTCTTTTGTTTCTTCCTTCTTTTCTTTCTTCTTGTCTTCACTTTTGTGAAGGTTATTTTCTCTGGTGGTATGCTTTAATTTCTTGCTTTTTATTTTTTGTGTATTCATTGTGAATTTTTTGATTAGAGGTTACCATGAGGCTTGCAAATACTGTTATAACCCATTATTTTAAACTGATGACAACTTAACATTTATTGCATAAACAAACACAGAAAGAAAAGTAGTAAAATTTCAATCCTTTAAGTGTGTTTCTCCACTTTTTAACCTTTGGTTGTTTCTGTTTATGTCTTATTGTACTTTCCCCATTTTTAATGTGATTATTTGTTTTTTTGCTTGTTGGTTTGTTTAAGTTCCTTTATAGGTTCTGGATATTAGCCCTTTATCAGATGTGTAGTTTGTGAATATTTTCTCCCATTCTGTAGATTGTCTATTTACTCTGATGATAGTTTCTTTTGCTGTGCAGAAGCTCTTTAGTTTAATTAGATCCCATGTGTCAATTTTTCTTTTGTTGCAACTTCTTTTGGCATCTTTATTATGAAATATTTGCCAGAGCCTATGTCCAGTATGGTATTACCTACATTGTCATTCAGGGTTTTTATAGTTTTGGGCTTTACATTTAAGTATTTAATCCATCTTGTGTTGATTTTTTATGTTGTAAAAAAGAGGTTTACTTTCTATCTTCTGCACATGTCCAGGCAGTTATTCCAACACCATTTATTGATAGGAAGTCCTTTCCCCATTGCTTATTTTTTTCAATTTGTTGAAGATCAGATGATTGCAGTTGTGTAGCCTAAGGGCTGGCCTCTCTATTCTGTTCCATTTGTCTATGTGTCTGTTTTTGTACTTGCACCATGTTTTTTTGGTTACAATAGCTCTGTCGTATAGTTGTATATCAGGTAGCATAATTTCTCCTTCTTTGTTCTTTTTACTTAGGATTGCCTTAATTATTCAGGCTCTTTTGTTGTTTTATATAAATTTTAACATAACTTTTTTCTAGTTCTCTGAAATATATCATTGGTAGCTTGACAGGAATAGCATTGAATCTGTAAATTGCTTTGGGCAGTATGACCATTTTAACAATATTGAGCGTTCCAACTCATGAGCAGAGAGTTTTTTTCCATTTATTTTTGTCATTGCTAATTTCTTTGAGCAGTGTTTTAAAATTCTCATTGTGTGTTTTTTTTTTTTTTTTTTACCTTTCTGCTTTGCTGTATTTCTCAGTAATTTATTTTATTTCTGGCTACCATGAATGGGATTACATTTCTGATTTTGCTCTCAGTTTGGCTGTTGCTGATGTATAGGAATACTACTTTTTGCTGTACATTGATTTTGAATCCTGAAACTTTGCTGAAGTTGTTTATCAGCTTAAAGATTTTTGGGGCTGAGACTATGGGGTTTTCTAATACAGAATACTGTCATCTGCAAACAGGGATAGTTTGACTTCTTCTCTTTCTATTTCAATGCACTTTATTGCTTTCTCTTGCTTTGTTGCTCTGGCCCAGACTTCCAATACTTTGTTGAATAGATGTGGTGAGAGATAGCATCTTTGTCTTTTGCCAGTTTTCAAAAGGAATGCTTCCAGCTTTTGCTCCTTCAGTATGATGGTGGCTGTTATTATTTTGAGATATCTTCCTTTAATGCCTGGTTTTTGGGAGTTTTTTAACCATGAAGGGATGCTGAATTTTATTGAAAGTCATTTTTGCATCTATTCAAATAATCATGTTTTTTGACTTTAGTTCTGTTCATGTGATAAATTACATTTATTGATTTGCATATGTTGAACCAACCTTGCATCTCAGGGATAAAGCCTATTTGATCATGGTGGATAAGCTTTCTGATGTGCTTCTGGATTTGGTTTGCTAACATTTTGTTGAGGATTTTTTGCATCAATGTTTATCAAGGATGTTGACCTGAGATTTTTTTGTTGTTATTTCTCTGCCAGGTTTCAGAATCAGGATGATGGTGGCCTTATAAAGTGAGTTGATGAAGAGTCCCTCATCCTCAATTTTTTCCAATAATTTCAGTAGAAATGGTACCAGCTCATCTTTGTACATCTGGTAGAATTTGGCTCTGAATTCATCTGTTCCAGGGCTGTTTTTGTTTTATAGGCTATTTTTTACTTATTCAATTCCAGAGATTATTATTGGTCTGTTCAGGGATTTAATTTTTTCCTAGATCAGTCTTGGGAGCATGTATATGTTTAGAAATTTATTCTTTTTTTTCTAGATTTTCTAGCTTGTTTTCATAATATTCTGATAGTTATTTGTATTTCCATTGAGTCAATGGCAATATCCTCTTTGTGATTTCTGATTGCATTTATTTGGTTTTTCTCTCTTTTATTCTTTATTAGTCTAGCTAGTGGTTTATCTATCTTATTAATATCTTCAAAAAACCACCTTCTTGATTCATTGATCTTTTAAACGTTTATTTTGCATCTCGATTTCCTTCATTTTCCATCTCAATTTCCTTCATTTTCCACTCTGATTTTTATTATTTCTTGTCTTCTGTTAGCTTTGAGGTTAGTTTGCTCTTGCTTTTCTAGTTCTTTCAGTTGTGATGTTTGTTTGTTAATTTGAAATTTTTCTAACATTTTGTTGTTGATGTTTAGTACTATAAACTTCCCTCTTAATTCTGTTTTAGATGTGTTCCAGTGATACTGGTATGTTGTATTTTTGTTCTCATTAGTTTCAAAGAACTTTTTGATTTCTTCCTTAGTTTCATTACTTGCTCAAAAGGCATTCAGAAGCAGGTTGCTTAATTTCCATGGTTTTGGGCAATTTTGTTAGTATTGAGTTCTGTTTTTTTTTTTGTGCTGTGGTGTGAGATTCTTTGGTATGATTTCTGTTCTTCTGCATTTGCTGAGAATTACTTCATGTTCTATTGTGTGTTTGATTTTAGCATGTGTGCCATGTAGCAATGAGAGGAATGTATATTTTGTTGTTTTGGGGTGGAGAGTTCTGTAGATGTCTATCAGATCCATTTATTCCAGTATTTTGTACAGGTTCTGCATATTTTTGTTTATTTTCTGCCACAATGATCTGTCTAATACTGTCACTGGAGTGTTGAAGTCTCCCACTTTTATTGTGTTGGAGTCTAAGTCTCTTTGTAGATCCCTAAGAACTTGGTTAATAAATCTGGGTGCTTCTGTGTTGGGTGCATAAATATTTAGGATAATTAAGTCTTCTTTTTGAATGGAATACTTTACCATCATATAATGCCCTTCTTTGCCTTTTTTGATCTTTATTGATTTGAAATCTGTATTTTCTAAAATTACTATTGCAACCCATGTTGTTGTTGTGTGTGTGTGTGTGTGTGTGTGTTGTAAATTTTTCTCCATCCCTGTATTTTGAGCCTATGTGTGTCATTGCATGTAAGATGGATCTCTTGAAGACAGCATACCATTGGGTCTGCTTTCTATCCAGATTGCCAGTCTGTGCCTTTAAATTGGGGGCATTTGGCTCATTTAAACTCAAGGTTAGTATTTATTTGTAAATTCAATTCTGTAATCATGTTGTTAGTTGTTTATTATTCTTACTTGTTTGTGTGTTTGCTTTATGGTGTCACAGGTCTGTGTACTTAAGTGTGTTTTTGCAGTGGCTGGTAACAGTCACTCTTTTCCATATTTAGTGCTTTTTTCAGGAGTTCTGGTAAGAGAAGTCTGGTGGTAATGAATCCTCTCAGCATTTGCTTTTCTGAAAAAGAATGTCATTTCTCCTTTGCTTTTGAAGCTTAGTTTTGCCAAATCGAAAACTCTTGGTTGGAATTTCTTTTCTTTCAGAATGTTGAATATAGGCTCCCAATCTCTTTTGCCATGTAGGGTTTCTACTGAGAGGTATGCTGTTAGTCAGATGGGCTTCCCTTTGTAGGTGACTTGAATTTTTTAGTGGCCCTTAACATTTTAAAATTTCATTTCAATCTTGGAGAATCAGATGATTATTGGTTTTGGAGATGATCTTCCTGCGAAGTATGTTGTGTGGGTTCTCTGCATTTCCTGAATTTGAATGTTGGCCTCTAGAGCTATGTTGAAGAAGTTCTCATGGATGACATTCTGAAATATGTTTTCCAAGTTGCTTTCATTCTCTCCATCTCTTTCAGGGGTGCCAATGTGTTGTAGATTCAATTCCTTTACAGAGTCCCATATTTCTCAGAGGTTCTGTTCATTTCTTTTCATTCTTTATTTAAAATTATTGTCTTAATGTCTTATTTCAGAAAAACAGTTGATAGGATTTGGCTCTGTGTCCCCACCCAAATCTCATCTCAAATTGTAATCCCCATGTGTCAGACGAAGGGCCTTGTGGCAGGTGATTGGATCATGGTGGCAGATTTTCCCCTTGCTGTTCTTATGATAGTCAGTGAGTTCTCATGAGATCTGATGGTTTTAAAGTGTGGCACTTCCCTTCTTTTCTCCATCTTTCTCCTGCTCCACCATAGGAAGATGTGCCTTGCTTCCCCTTTGCCTTCCACCATGATTGTAAGTTTCCTGAGGCCTCCCCAGCCATGTGGAACTGTGAGTCAATTCAACCTGTTTTCTTCATAAATTACCCAGTCTCACATGGTTCTTCTTAGCAGTGTGAAAATGGACTAATACCTCAGTCTTCACGTTTTGAGATTCTTTTTTTCAGCTTGGTCTATTCTGCTGTTAATACTTGTGATTGAATTATGTTTTTCAGCTCTATCAGGTTGGTTATGGACTTTTCTTCACTGGCTATTTTGTCTGTCACCTGCTGTACCATTTTATTGTGATTCTTAGCTTGCTTAGAGTAGGTTTCAACATCATCCTGAATTTAAATGATTTTTGTTCTCATCCATATTCTGAATTATATTTATGTCATTTCAGTCATCTCAGCCCAGTTAAGAACCATTGCTGGAGATCTAGTGTGGTCATTTGGAGGAAATAAGGCACTCTGGCTTTTTGAGTGATCAAAGATCTTGATCTGGTTCTTTCTTCATCTTTGTTGGTTAATGTTCCTTCAATCTTCGAAGTTGCTATTCTGTGGATTAGTTTTTTATTTTATTCTATTTGATAACCTTGGGAGTCTGATTGTAGTATAAAGTATGTTAAGTCTACTGGCTTTTTTACTGGAAGATTTTAGGGGGCCAAGACTCATCTCAGAATTCCTGGACTATGTACTCCAAATTTGGAGGACTGGTATCAAGCCCTAGCTTTGATCTCTGGCTCTTGAGATTAGGAAGCAGCTGTGAAAAGGCTGAGCTGGTCCCACACCATTAGTCACACACTCTGATGGGTGTTGCCAGCCAAAGCACTTCATAGTTCAGGGACAGTGAGATGTGTTCTCAGCCACATATTCCAGCTGCAGTGGCAGCAGCAGCATGGCTGGTTGCATGCTTGTTGGCTATGGCAGGATTCTAATGGGTGCTGGAGTGCCAGGCTCTGTGTAGCAGCAGCATCAGTAGTATGGCTCAAGGTTGCAGGGAGCCCCCAGTGGCAACTGTCCACGTGTTCATGCCAGTGGTGGGGTGCTGGTGGGCATAGGACTCTGTGTAAAGTTTGTGCACATTCATACTGGTGACACTGGTTGCTCAGAGATGGGAGCAGATATGCTTTGTTCTGTGCTCAGTTTCACACCAGCTGCTCTAGCACAGGTGTGAAGCAGCTGGTGGGGCTGCTGGGCTTCTTGCTCAGAGATGCTTCAATACAAATTATGGTGTGGCAGAAGGGATGGGGATGAGGTGCACTAATGCTGGCAGTGGTTGCATGGCAGGTTGCATGCACACACATGTGCTGGTGGGGAAGGGAAGGCTATGTCTGCCCACACACACATGCACTGGCATAGTAATGTTGGGGTTGTTCATGGGCAAGTGCCTGCAGGCAAAGTGGCATGGGGGAGACTGCAGTGGGAAAGGTGTGGGCAGGCTGATGTGTGTCCACAGGGGCCACTCTGCTGGAGCACTCTGCTGGTCAGGAGTGGTCCACCAGCACAGGAGTTATAATGCAGTTCCCAGGAGGTACCTGGGGGCTGCACTGTAAGTGGGTGCAGCCAGACTTGGGCCCCAGTAGAGGCCAGCAGGCCAAGAGGTGCTCAGGTTGGACCAGCCCCATCTTATGGGCAAGACTACCCTAAAGATTTCAAGTCTGACAGTTCTTCTAGGGCTAAAGTCTCCTCTGAGAACACGTTGAGCCTAGGAGGAAGGGCATCCCTGGCTGTGCTCCACTACAGATGCTTCCATACTGAACCCTCTGGGCTCTGTATAGGCTGGAGTTCTGCTCCTACTATTTATCTAGGCAGCTTCACTGCTAACTGAGGTGTTCATGGTGGTTGAGGGGTCTCCACCTGCTGAGATTCCAGAGGCCGTTGGTGAGAGTGGGTTGCTACTTGGCTGGTCAACTCATTGCCTAACCCCTGCAGGTGTCTAGGGAGGCCAGGAACAAGTCCTAGTGCATGGTAGTCCCATGCAGGCTTCCCAGATTTCTCCTTCAGCACAGCCTCCGTGTCTTCCTTCTGTCTGCACTCAATGCCTTCCCTCTGAATATGTGATAGAACTGCACCAGTTTTCCTGATGTCCTGGTCTCTCAGTGGGAGATCTTCCTCCTGGCTGTATCTAGCTGGCCCTATTGGGGCAGAAATCTTTATGCATTTTTAACCTGTGTTCTTTGTCTTTTTGCTGTTGCATAGTAAGTAGCTTTTAGAAAAATAAATTCTGGACACTAGACCATTATTAAATATATAATTACAAATATTTTCTAATTCTCCAGGTGGTTTTCTGACTTTCTAGATAATACTATTTGATACGCAAATTTTTTGATTTTGATAAAGTCCAATTGATCTATTTTTTATTGCTTATACTTTTAATACCCTATCTAATAATACAATCTCAAATTCAAGGTCGTGAATATACCACTATGTTTTCTTTAAACACTTTTAATAGTTCTAGCTCTTTTATTTAGGTTATTTTATACTTACAGTCATATACATTTATTTTCATAGAAAATAAAAACAAAATAATTTAAAAATACATGACCATAATTTTCAACTCGAGAAACTAGAAATAAAAGAACCACCAGAATAAACCCATGGAAAATAGAAGGAACAGAACTACAAAGATAAAAGCAGAAATCAAAACAATAGATATTTTTTAAGTTGACAGATACAGTTGTATGTATTTTTCGTGTACCATATGATGTTTAAAAAATTTTATTTCATTTTTTATTGTCACATAATAATTGTACATATTTATGGGATACAGTGTAATGCTTTTATATATATATACATATATATATAAAACAATAATCAGATCAGAGGTAATTAACATGCCTATCACCTAAAAAATTTTTATTTCTTTGTGTCAAGAACATTTAAAGTCCTCTCAGCTATTTTGAAATATAGAATACATTGTTGTTAACAATCATTACCCTACTGTGCAATAGAGCATCAGGACATATTTCTTCTAACTTTAATTTTCTACCAGTTGACCAATCTCTCCACCCTCTACACTACCTTTTTGAGTATAATTATTCTTTTGAATGTTTGCTCAATTCTTTTTTTGATACTACCTATTGTAGTTTTTCTTTCATCTATTGTATTTTTCAGCTCTAGGATTTCTGTCTGATTTATTTTTGTTATGTCAATCTCTCTGTTACATTTTTAAAATAAATTTCTGAATTGATTTTCTGTGCTTCATTGGATTCCATTGAGCTGCCTTCAAACAGCTATTTTAAATTCTTTCTCTGCAAGATAACACATATCTATCACTTTAAGGTCAGTCTATGTAACCTTATTTTGTTCATTTGATGAGATATTACACTAAATGTTTTTGATGCTTGTGAATGTGCAATAATATCTACACATTGAAAGATTAGGTATTTATTCCAGTCTTTAAAACATGGTATTGTTTGTTACCATTCTTCAGAGATACTTCCAAAGATTCTAAGCAGACTGACTGTTGAGTTCTCTGAGCTCTTGACCAACGCAGCCATGTTAGCACTAGAGGACTCGCTAAGCCTCAGTTTCCTTTGAGTCTCATGAGGCCTACAAGTATGGCCAGCTTCCAGCCTGGTAGGTTCTGGAGAAAGTACGAAAGAGAGTACCCAGGCTTTGAGGAAAGTTTGACCAGAGATTTTAGCCTAGAAGACTGTCCCAGTGGCCCAGACAGGTTTGCCTCTCAGCAAGTCCCTGCACAGGTGTGTTAGGTCCCTGACTGTAGTGAGAGGGACTGGGGCTGAGACAGGACCTTCTGAGAATCTGCTGTTGAATGGAGGCTGGAGATCCTTTCTCATTAGCTCAGGTGGGTGTATATCTCCAACTGGTAATTGCAGAGGTTGGGTAGTTCCTTAACTGCAGCAGGTGGGACTGGATCTGATACGTATCCCCCTTGAGATATGCTATGTGATGGTGGCTGGTGACTCTTTTTATTGGTTCAGATGACTGCATGTCTCCCAGGGGGTCCCTGCACAAACAGGATAGTTCTCTGACTACAGCAGGGGTGGGTGTAGGGGAGGAGGTTTGCATCTGAGACTGACCCTTTTTGGGATCTGGCATGACATGAAGGTTGGCAAGTCTGTTGTAAAGGCTCAGACTCTTGAGCTGCAAGATATGGGTGAGTCTCTCTCTGGGTCCTTGTATGAGCAGTCTTGAACTGGGACCTTAGCTGAGGGGTCTAGAGTCAAGCCACAGAGCAACTTTCAGGTTTACTGCCAAGACCAATGTCAGTGGGCAGGGGGGCCTCTTTACCAGGACACTAGTATGTGTGATTCTGCCTGGACCCTTGGTAGATGGATTTGATTGCAGGCTGAAGACCAAACCTGGCTGTAGCCAAGCCTTCTGGGGAATGAGGTTGTCTCTGGGCTCAATTGCAGGAGCAAGATCAATGGGTCAAACTCCTGGGTGCTGGTCTTCATTCTCAAAATGACACTTTTAAGGTTTTGTGATCCATCTGGTGTTCACAACCTTCTACCTGAATCCCAGACTTTCATAGAGAGACTTTTGTCTGTGAATGGATGCAGAATTCATGTTGTGAGGGAATATGAGTGCTGACATCCTACAAGATAATTTTTTTGAGATACATATATATTATGGAATGATTAAATTTAGTTAATTAATAAACATTACCTCATATAGTTATCATTTTGTGGTGAAAATACTTAACATCTACTCCCTCTGCATTAAAAATATATTAATAATACATCTTCATTAAGAATATTGTCATCATGCTGTATAATACACCTTTTGAACTTACTTCTCCCATCTAGCTGTAATTACATACCCTTGACCAACATCTCCCCATTGTTCCCTCCACCCTAACCATCCCAGACTATGGTGATCACCATTCTATTGTAGACTTCTATAAGGTCAACTTTTAAAGATTCCACATGTGTGAAATTATGTGGCTTCTGTCTTTCTGTTCTTTGCATATTTCACTTAACATAATGACCTCCTGGTTTATCCATGTTTTTGCAAATAACAAGATTTTATTCATTTTTAGGGCTGAATAAAATTCCATCCAGTATATGTACCACATTTTCTTTACATATTCATCAATTGATAGACACTTAGGTTGATTCCATTTCTTTGCTACTATGAATATTGCTGCAATCAATATGGGAACACAGATATCTCTTTGACATAGTGATTTTATTTCTGTTGGATACCTACTCATTAATGGAATTGCTGGATCATAAGGTATTTCTAATTTATTTTTTTAGAAACGTTCATGCTGCTTTCCATAATGGCTGTATTAATTTACATTCCCATCAATAGTATATAAGGGTTCTCTTTTCCTAACATCCTTGCCAACATTTGTTGTCTTTTGACTTTTTGATAATAACCATTCTAACAGTAGTGAGGTGGTATCCCACTGTGGTTTTAATTTATATTTCCCTAATGATTACTGATGTTGAGTATTCAAAAAATTTATCTGTTGGTTATTAGTATGTCTACTTTTGAGGAATGTGTATTCAAGCCTTTTGAACATTTTTCAATCAAGTCTTTTGCTTTTTTGTTATTGCTTTTTTTCATTCATTTTATATTTTAGACATTAACCCTTTAGGATATGTGGTTTACAAATATTTTCTCCCATTTTGTAGGTTTTCTCTTCACTCTATTAATTGCTTTCTTTGCTGTGCAGAAGCTTTTCAGTTAGTTGTATTCCCACTTGTCTATTTTTACTTTTGTTTACTGAGTTAATTTTTGTTTATGGTTTGAGAAAGAGATCCACTTCATTCTCTTGCATATATATATTCTGTTGTCTGAGCATCATTTTTTAAACGTATTCTTTTTTCTACATTGAATAATTTGAGCACCCTTGCCCAACTAGCCACAAATGTTTGGGTCTATGTATGGCTAAATCAATTAGCCATAAATTTGTGGGTTTATTTCTAGATTTCCAATTCTATTCCATTGACCTATATATGTATCATTAGGTCAGTACCACGCTGCTTTTGTTACCATAGCTTTTTGTTATATTTTGAAATTTGGAATGTTAGTCCTCCAACTTTGTTTTTTTCTTTAAGATTATTTTGGCTATTATATGTTCCTTACATTTCCATGTACATTTTAGCATCATCTTTTCTGCAAAAAGGGACCTTGGGAATTTGATGAAGATGATACTGAATCTGTTGATTTGTCTGGGAGAGTGTGTCATCTGAACGATGTCAAATACTCCAATCCATTAACATGAACTGTCTATCCATTTATCTAGGTAATCTGTAATGTCTTTCAGCAACATATTGTAACTTTCAGTTTACAAGTCTCACCCCATTGGTTAAATTTGTTTCTAAATAATTTATTATTTTTACTTTATTATTTATGATACTATTTTAAATGAAATTGTTTTCTTGATTTCTTTTTCAGAATTTTTATTGCTTTTACATAGAAATACAACTGTTTCACAGGTTGCTCTTGGATCCTGCAATTTTGCTGATTTTGTTTGCTTGCTTTAATTTTTTTTATTATACTTTAAGTTTTAGGGTACATGTGCACAACGTGCAGGTTTGTTACATATGTATACATGAGCCATGTTGGTGTGCTGCACCCATTAACTCATCATTTAACATTAAGTGTATCTCCTAATGCTATCCCTCCCCCATACCCCCACCCCACAACAGGCCCCAGTGTGTGATGTTCCCCTTCCTGTGTCCATGTGTTCTCATTGTTCTCTATGAGTGAGAAGATGCAGTGTTTGGTTTTTTGTCCTTGGAATAGTTTGCTGAGAATGATGGTTTCCAGCTTCATCCATGTCCCTAAAAAGGACATGAACTCATCATTTTTATGGCTGCATAGTATTCCATGGTGTATATGTGCCACATTTTCTTAATCCGGTCAATCATTGTTGGACATTTGTGTTGGTTCCCAGTCTTTGCTATTGTGAATAGTGCCACAATAAACATACGTGTGCATAAGACTTTATAGCAGCATGTTTTATAATCCTTTGGGTATATACCCATTAATGGGATGGCTGGGTCAAATGGTATTTCTAGTTCTAGATCCCTGAGGAATCGCCACACTGACTTCCACAAAGGTTGAACTAGTTTACAGTCCCACCAACAGTGTAAAAATGCTCCTATTTATCCATATTCTCTCCAGCACCTGCTGTTTCCTGACTTTTTAATGATTGCCATTCTAACTGGTGTGAGATGCTATCACATGGTGGTTTTGATTTGCATTTCTCTGATGGCCAGTGATGATGAGCATTTTTTCATGTGTCTTTTGGCTGCATAAATGTCTTCTTTTGAGAAGTGTTTGTTCATATCCTTCGCCCACTTGTTGATGGGGTTGTTTCTTTTTTTCTTGTAAATTTGTTTGAGTTCATTGTAGTTTCTGGACATTAGCCCTTTGTCAGATGAGTAGATTGCAAAAATTTTCTCCCATTCTGTAGGTTCCCTGTTCACTCTGATGGTAGTTTCTTTTGCTGTGCAGAAACTCTTTAGTTTAATTAGATCCCATTTGTCAATTTTGGCTTTTGTTGCCATTGCTTTTGGTGTTTTAGACATGAAGTCCTTGCCCATGCCTATGTCCTGAATGGTATTGCCTAGGTTTTCTTCTAGGGTTTTTATGGGTTTAGGTCTAATATTTAAGTCCTTAATCCATCTTGAATTAATTTTTGTATAAGGTGTAAGGAAGGGATCCAGTTTCAGCTTTCTACATATGGCTAGTCAGTTTTCCCAGCACCATTTATTAGATAGGGAATCCTTTCCCCATTTCTTGTTTTTGTCAGGTTTGTCAAAGATCAGATAGTTGTAGATATGTGGCATTATTTCTGAGGGCTCTGTTCTGTTCCATTGGTCTATATCTCAGTTTTGGTACCAGCATCATGCTCTTTTGGTTACTGTAGCCTTGTAGTATAGTTTGAAGTCAGGTAGCCTGATGCCTCCAGCTTTGTTCTTTTGGCTTAGGATTGACTTGGCAATGCAGGCTCTTTTTTGGTTCCATATGAACTTTAAAGTAGTTTTTTCCAATTCTGTGAAGAAAGTCAATGGTAGCTTGACCGGGATGGCATTGAATCTATGAATTACCTTGGGCAGTATGGCCATTTTCATGATATTGATTCTTCCTACCCATGAGCATGGAATGTTCTTCCATTTCTTTGTACCCCCTTTTATTTCATTGAGCAGTGGTTTATAGTTGTCCTCAAAGAGGTCCTTAACGTCCCTTGAAAGTTGGATTCCTAGGTATTTTATTCTCTTTGAAGCAATTGTGAATGGGAGTTCACTCATGATTTGGCTCTCTGTCTGTTATTGGTGTGTAGGAACGCTTGTGATTTTTGCACATTGATTTTGTATCCTGAGACTTTGCTGAAGTTGCCTATCAGCTTAACGAGATTTTGGGCTGAGACGATGGGGTTTTCTAGATATACTATCATGTCATCTGCAAATAGGGACAATTTGACTTCCTCTTTTCCTAATTGAATACCCTTTATTTCCTTCTCCTGCCTGACTGCCCTGGCCAGAACTGCCAACACTATGTTGAATCAGAGTGGTGAGAGAGGGCATCCCTGTCTTGTGCCAGTTTTCAAAGGGAATGCTTTCAGTTTTTGCCCATTCAGTATGATATTGGCTGTGGGTTTGTCATAGATAGCTGTTATTATTTTGAGATACGTCCCATCAATACCTAATTTATTGAGAGTTTTTAGCATGAAGGGTTGTTGAATTTTGTCAAAGGCCTTTTCTGCATCTATTGAGATAATCATGTGGTTTTTGTCTTTGGTTCTGTTTACATGTTTACATGCTGGATTATGTTTATTGATTTGCGTTTGTTGAGCTGCCTTGCATCCCAGGGATGAAGCCCACTTGATCATGGTGGATAAGCTTTTTGATGTGCTGCTGGATTCGGTTTGCCAGTATTTTATTGAGGATTTTTGCATTGATGTTCATCAGGGATATTGGTCTAAAATTCTCTTTTTTTGTTGTGTCTCTGCCAGTCTTTGGTATCAGGATGATGCTGGCCTCATAAAATGAGTTAGTGAGCATTCCCTCTTTTTCTATTGATTGGAATAGTTTCATAAGGAATAGTTCCAACCCCTCCTTATACCTCTGGTAGAATTCAGCTGTGAATCCATCTGGTCCTGGACTTTTTTTGGTTGGTAAGCTATTAATTATTGGCTCAATTTCAGCTCCTGTTATTGGTCTATTCAGGGATTCAACTTCTTCCTGCTTTAGTCTTGGGAGGGTGTATGTGTGGAGGAATTTACCCATTTCTTCTAGATTTTCTTGTTTATTTGCATAGAGGGGTTTATAGTATTCTCTGTTGGTAGTTTGTATTGCTGTGGGATCGGTGGTGATATCCCCTTTATCATTTTTTATTGCGTCTATTTGATTCTTCTCTCTTTTCTTCTTTATTAGTCTTGTTAGCAGTCTATCAATTTTGTTGATCTTTTCAAAAACCAGCTCCTGGATCCATTGATTTTTTGAAGGTTTTTTTTGTGTCTCTATTTCCTTCAGTTCTGCTCTGATCTTAGTTATTTCTTGCCTTCTGCTAGCTTTTGAATGTGTTTGCTCTTGCTTCTCTAGCTCTCTTAATTGTGATGTTAGGGTGTCAATTTAAATCTTTTCTGCTTTCTCTCATGGGCCTTTAGTGCTATAATTTTCCCTCTACACGCTGCTTTAAATGTGTCCCAGAGATTCTGGTATGTTGTGTCTTTGTTCTCTTTGGCTTCAAAAAACATCTTTATTTCTGCGTTCATTTCTTTATGTACCCAGTAGTCATTCAGGAGCAGGTTGTTCAGTTTCCATGTAGTTGAGCAGTTTTGAGTGAGTTTCTTAATCCTGAGTTCTAGTTTGATTGCACTGTGGTCTGAGAGAGAGTTTGTTATAATTTCTGTTCTTTTACATTTGCTGAGGAGAGCTTTACTTCCAACTATGTGGTCAATTTTGGAATAGGTGTGGTGTGGTGCTGAAAAAAATGTATATTCTGTTGATTTTGTGTGGAGAGTTCTGTAGAAGTCTATTAGGTCTGCCTGGTGCAGAGCTGAGTTCAGGTCCTGGATATCCTTGTTAACTTTCTGTCTCGTTGATCTGTCTAATGTTGACAGTGGGGTGTTAAAGTCTTCCATTATTATTGTGTGGGAGTCTAAGTCCCTTTGTAGTTTTCTAAGGACTTGCTTTATGAATCTGGGTGCTCCTGTATTGGGTGCATATATATTTAGTATAGTTAGGTCTTCTTGTTGAATTGATCTCTTTACCATTATGTAATGTCCTTCTTTGTCTCTTTTGATGTTTGTTGGTTTAAAATCTGTTTTATCAGAGACTAGGATTGCAATCCCTGCCTTTTTTTGTTTTCCATTTGCTTGGTAGATCTTCCTCCATCCCTTTATTTTGAGCCTATGTGTGTCTCTGCACGTGAGTTGGGTTTCCTGAATACAGCACACTTATGAGTCTTGACTCTTTATCCAATTTGCCAGTCTGTGTTTTTCAATTGGAGCATTTAGCCCATTTACATATAAGGTTAATATTATTATGTCTGAATTTGATCCTGTTGTTATGATGGTAGCTGGTTATTTTGCTAGTTAGTTGATGCAGTTTCTTCCCAGCCTTGACGGTCTTTATAATTTGGCATGTTTTTGCAGTGGCAGGTAGTGGTTGTTCCTTTCCATGTTTAGTGCTTCCTTCAGGAGCTCTTTTAGGGGAGGCCTGGTGGTGACAAAATCTCTCAGCATTTGCTTGTCTGTAAAGTATTTTATTTCTCCTTCACTTATGAAGCTTAGTTTGGCTGGATATGACTTCTGGGTTGAAAATTCTTTTCTTTAAGAATGTTGAATATTGACCCCCACTCTCTTCTGGCTTGTGGAGTTTCTGCCGAGAGATCAGCTGTTAGTTTGATGGGCTTCCCTTTGTGGGTAACCCGATCTTTCTCTCTGGCTGCCCTTAACATTTTTTCCTTCATTTCAACTTTGGTGAATCTGACAATTATGTGTCTTTGAGTTGCTTTTCTCGAGGAGTATCTTTGTGGCATTCTCTGTATTTCCTGAGTTTGAATATTGGCCTGCCTTGCTAGATTGGGGAAGTTCTCCTGGATAATATCCTGCTGGTGAGGAGCTGCATTCCTTTGGAGGAGGAGAGGCACTCTGATATTTAGAGTTTCCAGTTTTTCTGCTCTGTTTTTTCCCCATCTTTGTGGTTTTATTTACCTTTGGTCTTTGATGATGGTGACGTACAGATGGGGTTTTGGTGTGGATGTCCTTTCTGTTTGTTAGTTTTCCTTCTAACAGTCAGGACCCTCAGCTGCAGGTCTGTTGGAGTTTGCTGGAGGTCGACTCCAGACCCTGTTTGCCTGTGTTTCAGGAGTGGAGGCTGCAGAACAGCGGATATTGGTGCACAGCAAATGTTGCTACCTGATCGTTCCTCTGGAAGTTTTGTCTCAGAGGAGTACCCAGCCGTGTGAGGTGTCAGTCTGCCCCTCCTGGGGGATGCCTCCCAGTTAGGCTACTCGGGGGTCAGGGACACACTTGAGGAGAGAGTCTGTCTGTTCTCAGATCTCCAGCTGCATCCTGGGAAGACCACTACTTTCTTCAAAGCTGTCAGACAGGGACATTTAAGTCTGCAGAGGTTTCTGCTGCCTTTTGTTTGGCTATGCCCTGTCCCCAGAGGTGAAGTCTACAGAGGCAGGCAGGCCTCCTTGAGCTGCAGTGGGCTCCACCCAGTTCGAGCTTCCCGGCTGTTTTGTTTACCTACTCAAGCCTGGGCAATGGTGGGCGCCCCTCCCCCAGCCTCACTGCCACCTTGCAGTTTGATCTCAGATTGCTGTGCTATCAATGAGCGAGGCTCCATGGACCCTCCAAGCCATGTGCAGGATATAATCTCCTGGTGTGCTGTTTGCTAAGACTGTTGGGAAAGTGCAGTATTAGGGTGGGAGTGACCCAATTTTCCAGGTGCTGTCTGTCACCCCTTTGACTAGGAAAGTGAATTCCATGACCCCTTGCACTTCCCAGGTGAGGCGATGCCTCACCCTGCTTTGGCTCACACTCGGTGCACTCCACCCACTGTCCTGCACCCACTGTCTGACCCTCCCCAGTGAGATGAACCTGGTACCTCATTTGGAAATGCAGAAATCACCTGTCTTCTGTGGTACTCACGCTGGGAGCTGTAGACTGGAGCTGTTCCTATTTTGCCATATTGGCTCCACCTATTTGCTTTAATTTTTTTGTGTGGATTCTTAACACTTTTTATATATAAGAGTATGTCATGAGAAAACAGAAATGGCTTTAGTTCTTTCCTTCCCATTTGAATGTGTTTTATTTCTTTTTGTTGACTAATTTCTCTGGTTAAAACTTGTCATATAATGTTGAGTAGAAATAGTCAAAAGAATCATACTTGTCTATTCCTGATCTTAGGGGGAACCATTTCAGTTTTTCATCGAGTATGAATCTGTAAATTTTTAAATCAAACTTTTTATGGTGTTGAAGAAGTTTCCTTCTGTATCACATTTGTTGACTAAGATATAAAAATATCAGTCTTATGGGATTGGGGCCCACCCTACTCCAGTATGACTTCATTTTAACTTAATAAATTACATCTGCAATGACCCCTTTTTCCTAAGAAGTTACATTCTGGGGTACTGGCTGTTAGGACTTCAAAATATATTGATATCAATAATATGTTGAATACTTCAACATTATTACAGAAAAGTTTTGTTTTTTCTGGATTTTTTTTTCTCAAATCAATTGAGACATTCATGTGTTTTCCCCTTTTGTCTTATTAATGTTGTGCATTACATTGATTTATTTTGGTATGCTGAGCTCCTCCTGCATGTCTAGAATAAATTCCAATTTGTCACTCTGTATGATATTTTTAATGTGCTCCCAGTTTTTGGTTTCCTAGTATTTTCTTGAGCATTTTTTTATCTGTATTCTTAAGGTATAATAGTTGGTAGCTTTCTATTGTTGTGACATCTTTGGCTTTTTCTGGCTTTCAAATCAGTGGTATGCCAGACTCATAAATGAGCTAGGAGGTGATCCTTTTTCTTTTGGTTTTGAAGGAATTTGAGAAAGAGTGATGTTAATTCTTTTTAAAATAATTGATATTATTCTCCAGTACAGCCATTTGTCTTGGGCCTTTCCTTTTTTGGGAAAGTGTTGATTACTGATTCTATCTCATTACTTGTTATAAGTCTGTCCAGTTTTAAATTTTCTTCTTTTGTCAGTTTGGTAGTGTGTATTTTCCTAGTACTTTGTCAATTTCATGTATATAAGTCATTTAATTTTTTGGCATAAGACTTTTAATAGTATTCTTTTATAATAATTTTGATTTCTGTTTGGTCACTAGTAAAATCCTCAGTTGCATTTCTGATTTTAATAATATGAGGCTTCTCCCTTTTTTTGGCCAGTGCTAATGGGCGAATTATGTCTCCTCAAAATATATGTTGAAGTGCTAACTGCCAGTACCTCAGATTGTAATCTCACAGGGAAAAACGGTCATTGCAGATGTAATTTATTAACTTAAAATGAAGTCGTACTGAAGTAGGGTGGGCCAATCCCATATGACTGATTTTTTTTTATATCTTAGCCAGCCATGTGAAGACACTTAGAAACAAGGAGGACTCCACGTGAAAACAGAAGCAGATAGTAGAGTAATGCATATGTAAGGCAAGGATGCTAAGAATTGCTTACACTCACAGAAACCAGAAGGGAGGCATGGAATAGATTCCCACGGAATCCATAAAAGGAACGAATTCTGCTAATACCTTGATTTTGGACCTCTAGCCTCCAGCACTGCACAAATACATTTCTGTTGTTTTAAGCTACACAGTTTGGAATACTTTCTTATGGCAGCCCTAGGAAATTAATACAATGTAGTCTAGCTTAGAGTTTGTCATTTTTGTTGTACTTCTCAAAGAATCAACTATTGGTTTTGTTGATTTTTAGTTGTTTTTTTTTCTATTTCCTGTTTCATTTATTTTTACTCTAATCTTTATTATATCTATTCCTCTTTTTTTTTTTAGTTCCTTATGGTGTAAAATCAGGCTACTGATCTGAGATAATGCTTTTAAAAAATGTTTGTGTTTACAGCTATAAATTTTCCTCTGAACACTGTTCTTGATGCATCCCATGAGTTTTGGTATGTCTTGTGTTCATTTCTATTTTTCTTAAAGTTTTTTAAAAGTTACTTTTTGTTTTTTTACTTTAAGTGTGTATTGTTTAACTTTCACATATTTTTAAATTTTCTAGTTTCTTCTGTTGTTGATTTCTAGTTTCATTACATTGTCATTAGAGAAGATTCTTTGTGTGATCTTAATCTTTAAATCCATTGAGAATTTTTTGTGGCCTCATATGTTCTATCCTGGAAAATGTTCTATGTATACTTGCAGAAATCATGTTTTCTGCTGTTTCTGGGTGGAGTATTTGATATATAGTAGATGTAGTTGGTGTGTAGTTTTTGAGTCCTCTATTTCTTTATTGAATTTAAAAAATACTCCTATTTAATGGTGAAAGTGGGATTCTGAAGTCTTTAACTATATTTGTAGAACTATTTATCCCTTAAGTTCTGTTAATGTGTGTTTCATGTATGTTGATGCTCTATTGTTAGGTGTGCATATATTTTTAATTGTTTTATCTTCTTAGTAGGTTAAATTTCATCAATATCTAATGTCTTTCCTTGTTTCTTCTATTAGTTTTGAGTTAAAGTTTATTGTATCTTATATTAACACAGCCACCTTAGCTCTCTTTTGGGTACTACTTGCATAGAATATATTTTCTATCTTTTTACATTCAATATATATTTGTGTCTTTGAATCTAAAGTTATTCTATTGTGTAAAGTTTAGAGTCAGGTCATTTTTATACATTTATTTTTAAAACCTCTGATTTTAATTGAAATGTTAAATGCACTTATGTTGAATGTAATTATAGACAAGAAATAACTGAATTTTCTTGTTTTCTTATTTGTCTTCCATAAGTCTTACTTTTTTGTTGTTACTCAATCTCTTCATTACTGCCCTCTTTTGCATTTAAGTGATTATTTATAGTGTACTTTTAGAAATTCTTTCCTCACTTACTTTTCTGTGCATTTAAAAATGATCATCTTAGTGATTACTCTAAAAGTTGTAAATTGTATCTTAAACTTATGCTTTGAATTAATACAACCTTATGTTTAATAGTATACAAAACTGTGGTTTCATATAGCCCTTCCCTCTCCATTTATGTTCAAGTCATACATTACATTTTTATACATTTTTGCCCAATAACATACATTTTAATGATTATTTTATTTTTTTCTTTTAAATCATATAGCATAAAAAGGGAGTTACAAACATATATAGAATGGCATTTGTATTTAGAGACCCACAAAGAGACTTAGACTCCAACATAATAATAGCAGGAGACTTTAACACCCCCTGTCAATATTAGACAGATAAATGAGATGAGACAGAAAATTAACAAGAATATTCAGGACTTGAACTCAACTCTGGACAAAGTGGAACTAATATACATCTCCAGAACTTTCCATCCCAAATCAACAGAATATACATTCTTCTCAGCACCACATAGCACTTATTCTAAAATTGACCACATAATTGGAAGTAAAACACTCTTCAGCAATTGCAAAAGTACAGAAATATAACAAACAGTCTCTCAGACCACAGTGCAAACAAATCAGAACTCAGGATTAAGAAACTAACTTAAAACCACACAACTCCATGGAAATTGAACAATCTGCTCCTGAATGTCTCCTGGGTAAATAATGAAATGAAGGCAGAAATCAAGAAGTTCTTTGAAACCAATGAGAACAAAGAGACAATGTACCAGAATCTCTGGGACACAGCAGTGTTAAGAGGGAAATTTATACCACTAAGTGCCCACATCAGAAAGCATGAAAGATCTCAAATTGACACCCTAACATTACAATGAAAAGAACCAGAGAAGCAAGGGCAAACCAAATTAAAAGCTAGCAGAAGACAAGAAATAACTAAGATCAGAGCAAAACTGAAGGAGATACGGACACAAAATACCTTCAAAAAATCTTCAGCATTCTTAAATAAATTAAAAAAACCCTGAAATGAAGAATTTCATACCTAGCCAAATTAAGCTTCATAAGCAAGAAATAAATAAGATCCTTTTCAGACAAGGAAATGCCAAGGTCTTCTTACCACCAGACCTCCCATACAATAGTTCCTTAAGGGAGTACTAAATGTGGAAATGAAAGACCATTATTGGCCACCACAAAAACACACTTAGGTACATAGACCATTGATACTATGAAGTAACTACATGATCATGTATACTAGTTAACCACATGATGACAAGATCAAATTCATACATATCAATATTAATCTTGAATGTAAGTGGTCTGAATGCTCAAATTAAAAGGCACTGAGTGGCAAGTTGGATAAAGAAGAAAGACCCAACTATATGCTGTCATCAAGAAACCCATTGCACAAGCAAAGACACCCTCAAGGTAAAGAGATGAGGAGATATCTACCAAGCAAATGGAAAACAAAAAAAAGAGGGGTTGCTGTTGTAATTTTAGACAGACTTCAAACCAACAAGGATCAAAAAAAAAAAAAAAAAAGAGGGCATTACATAATGGCAAAGAGTTCAATTAAACAAGACTTAACTATCCTAAACATATTTGTACACAACGTAGAAGCATTCAGATTAATTAAACAGGTTCTTAGAGACATATGAAGAGACCTAGATAGCCACACAATAACAGTGAGGGAGACTTCAACATCCCACTGACAGTATTAGACAGATCATCAAGACAGAAATCTAACAAATATATTTGGGAGCTAAACACACTTGACCAAATGGATTTTACAGAAAGCTACAAAACTCTTTCCCTCAAAAATAGAATATACATTTTTCTCATCTGCACATGGTACATATTCTAAAATTGACCACACGACCTGCTGCAAAACAATTCTCAGCAAATTAAAAAAAATCACAAAATTATACCAACCACACTCTTGGACCACAGTGTAATAAAAATTGAAATCAATACTAACTAGAGATCTCAAAACCACACAATTATAGAGAAATTAAACAACCTGCTCCTTAATGACTTCTGGGTAAACAATAAAATTAAGGCAAAAATCAATAAATTATTTGAAATGAATGAGAACAAAAGTACAACATATTAGAGTCTGTGGGCCACAGCTAAAGCAGTGTTAAGAGGAATATTTATAGTGTAAAATGCCCACATCAAAAAGCTAGAGAAATCTCAAATTAACAACCTAACGTCACACCTTTAGAAACTACAGAAACAAGCAAACCAACATCAAAGCTAGCAGAAGAAAAGAAATAGCCAAAATCAGAGTTGAACTGAATAAAACTGAGATGCAAAAAGCCATACAGAAGATCAACACAATGAAAAGGTGTTTTTTTAAGAATAAATAAGATTAATAGACCACTATCTAGACCAATAAGGAAAAAAGAGAGAAGATCCAAATAAACACAATCAGAAATGACAAAGGAGATATTGCCATTAACCCCACAGGAATACAGAAATCCTTCAGAGACTATTAAAAACACTTCTGTACACACAAACTAGAGGACCTACAAGAAATGGAGAAATTTCTGGAAACATAGAATGAACCAGGCAGAAATTGAAACCCTGAACACAGATTACTAATGAATTATGAAATTGAGTCAGTAACAAAAACTCTACCAATGATAAAAAGCCCAGGACAAGAAAGATTCACAGCCAAATACTATCACATGTATAAGGAGGAGCTAATATCATTCCATCTGAAACTACTGCAAAAAATAGAGGAGATACTCCTCCATAATTCGTTCTATGAGGTCAGCATATTTCTGATATTTAAACCAGGCAGAAACACAAGAAGAAAGGAAAACTTTATGCAAATTTCCTTGAGGAATTTAGATGAAAAATTCCTCAACAACATACTAGCGAACTGAATCTTGCAGCAGATCAAAAACTCATCCACCACAATCAAGTAGGCTTTATTTCTGGCAAGCAATATTGGTTCAACATAAGCATATTAAAAAATTCCTCAACAAAATACTAGCAAACCAAATCTCGCAGCAGATCAAAAATCTCAACCACCACAATCAAGTAGGCTTTATTTCTGGAATGCAATATTGGTTCGACATAAGCATATCAATAAATGTAATTCAGCACACAAACAGAAGTAAAAACAAAAACCATATGATTATCTCAATAGATGTATAAAAGGCTTTCAATAAAATCCAACATTCCTTCATGTTAACAAACCTTAACAAATTAGTCACTGAAGGAACATATTTCAAAATAATAAGAGTCATCTATGACAAATCCACACTTACTATTATACTGAACATACAAAAGCTGAAATCATTCCCTTTGAGAACCAGAATAAGACAAAGATGCCCACTCTCACCACTTCTATTCAGCATAGTACTGAATGTCCTGCCTAGAACAATTTGGTAAGATAAAGAAATAAAAGGCATTTAAATAACAAGAGAGGAAGTAAAACTATCTCTGTAGTCAATATAATTTTAGACCTGGAAAACCCTATAGTCTCTGCCCAAAAACTCCTTGATCTGATAAACAACTTCAGCACAGTTTCAAAATACAAAATGGATGTAAAAAAATCAGTAGCATCCTTATGAACCAACTGTGTTCAAGCTGAGTGCCAAATCAAGAACATAATCACATTCACAATAGCTACAAAAATACATAGGATTATAGCTATCCAGAGATGTGAAGGTTTCTACCATAAGAATTACAAAACACTGCTGAAAGAAATCGGAGACAACAGAAACAATGGCAAAACATTTCTTGCTCATGGATAGGAGGAATCAGTTTTGTTAAAATGGCATGCTGTCCAAAGCAATTTATGGGTTCAATGCTATTTCTATCAAAATACCAGTGACATTCTGCATAGAATTAGAAAAAAAATTCTAAAATACATGGGGAACCAAAAAAAAAAAAAAAAAGCCCAAATGGCCAAAGTAATCCTAGGCAAAAAGAACAAAGATAGTGGCATCACATTATTCCACTTCAAACTATGCTACAAGACTATAGTAACCAGAAGCAATATGACACTGGTACAAAAATGGATGCATAGACCAATGGAACAGAATAGAGTTCCCAGAAATAAAGCTGCACATCTACAACTATCTGTTCATTAAGAAAATTGACAAAACCAGTGGGGAAGGCACCGTCCATTCAATAAATGGTGCTTTAATAACTAGCTAGGCATTTGCAGAAGATTGAAACTAAACCCCTTCCCTTCCACTATATACAAAATCAAGTCGAGATGGATTAAAGACTTAAATGTAAAACCTAAAACCATAAAAACCCTTGAAAATTACCTAGGCAAAACAATTCTATACATAGGCCCTATCTAAAATATGGTGATAAAGATGCTAAAAGCAATTGCAACAACAACAAAAAATGATAAATGAGACCTAATTAAACTAAAGGGCTTCTGCCCAGCTATTAAATTATCAACAGATTAAGCAGACAGCCTACAGAATGGGAGAAAATATTTGCAACCTATGCATCCAACAAAGGTCTAGCGTCCAGAATTTGTAATGATTCAACAAGCAAAAAACAAATAACCCCATTAAAAAGTTGACAAATAGCATGAACAGACACTTCTCAAAAGAAGATAGTTAAGCAGCCAACAAATAAGAAAAAATGCTCAACATCACAAATTATCAGAGAAATGAAATTAACCCACGAGATACCATCTCACACTTGTCAGAATGGCTATTACTAAAAATTAAAAAAAAACAGATAAAAAGTTGCAGAGAAAAAAGAATGCTTGTATACTGCTAGTGAGGATGTAAATTTGTTCAGCCACTGTGGAAAGCAGTTTGGAAATTTCTCAAATAACTTAAAACAAAACCACCATTTGGCTCAGAAATCCCATTATTGGTTATACACCCAAAGGAATAAAAATAATTTGATCATAAAGGCACACGCATGTGTATGTTCATTGCAGCACTGTTCACTATAGCAAAAACATGGAATCAATCTAAGTCTATCTTGTAGAATGGATAAAGAAAATGTGGTACATATACACCATGGAATACTATGCAGCTATAAAAAGAATCAGATCACATCCTTTGCAGTAACATGGATGGAGTTGGAGGCCATTATTCCAAGTGAACTAATGCAGGAATAGAACATCAAATACTGTGTGTTCTCACTTATAAGTGGGTGTGAAATATTGCATACACATGGGCACAGAGAAGGAAACAATAGATACCAGGGCCTATTTCAGGGTGGAGGGTGACAGGAGGGTGAAAAATAAAAAAATACCTATTGGGTACTATACTTATTACCTGGATGATGAAATTATCTTTACACCAAACCCTCATGACTTGCAAATTACCAATGTAACAAACTTGGACATGTTTCTCTGAAATGAAAATAAAAGTTAAAAAAATTTAAAAATAAAATGTGTTATATAGTTAAAAATATATATGAGAGTATGTCCATAGGTTATATGCAAACACACCACACCGTTTTTTATAAAGGACTTAAGCATCTACTGATTTTGGTATCTAAGGGGACTGTATAGGTTGGGGGAGGGGGTCCAGAAACCAACCTCCACAGCCACCGAGTGAAGACTGTACATTTATCTGTGCTTCAAAATTATTTATTGCTTTCAGTTAAGGATTGCTCCCTCTCTCATTCTCTACCTTCTTTTAAAATGGTATAAGAGTACATCACCAAAAGCTTAGCTGGAATAAATATATTAGATACATTATTTCCACATGTACGTATTGGATTTGTATGGAAAATGTTGCAAGAAATGGAAATATAAAATATAACATTTATTTATAAGATAAAATTATGCTTCCTTAGGACTTCTATGTTTGCAGAAAAAGTGCAGTCTCCTGAAAATCTTTCTGGGATTTTTCTTTTTCTTTGGGATTTTTCACAAATCACTTCTGCCCCCACCACACATACAATTGGATTCTACTTCTTCAATTATGTGATTCAACTTGGTTTGGCCTAACAAAGCACGACTTTATTTAAGGCCCTAGAGTAACAAAAGATGAAAATAGAGTACCATAAAGCCAGAAAGTCTGTGTTAAGAAATAGCTTGCTCTACTGAAAGGAAGTATGACATCATGGTGAAAAATCACAATCTAGGACCTATCTGTCTGGATTTTATTCTCAATTTTAACATTTATAAGCTTTGTGACTTGGGACAGTTTAATCTCTTTGTGTCTCCTTTTGCATTTGTTCTATGAGAGTAACAGTAGTACTTAGTTCCTTCTTGCCTAGCTCCCGAACTTTCTTCATACATCAGACAGCATCTTGAGTGCTTCTTGGACAGAATACAATAAAAATTCAGATGAGGAGAAGATGGGTTATGTGTTGTTGTTGTTGTTGTTGTTGTTGTTGTTTTGAGATGGAGTCTTGCTCTGTTGCTCAGGCTGGAGTGCAATGGCGTGATCTTGGCTCACTGCAACTTCTGCCTCCCGGGTTCAAGCGATTCTCCTGCCTCAGCCTCCTGAGTAGCTGGGATTACAGGAGTCCACCGCCACACCTGGCTAATTTTTGTATTTTTAGTAGGGACGGGGTTTCGCCATGTTGGCCAGGCTGGTCTCAAACTCCTGACCTCATATGATCCCCCCACCTCAGCCTCCCAAAGTGTGGGATTACAGGCGTAAGCTTCCGTGCCCGGCTAGGTTATGTTTTTTTACCCACCTAAGGCCTATATTCACATGTTGCCTGTATGACTGGCACCAGGATACATTTTCCCTTGAGGAAAAAGTAGTCACTTACCTGAAGGAATGCTTTCTTTTCCTTGCAGGCCAGAAGAGTATAGCCATACCCCAAAAGCACATGACAACTCTAGTATTTATATTACTAAATAGCATACCAGATTTTGCCAAAGCCAGACTGTCTTTATTGATAACATGTTCTATATGATGAACAATGAGTAGTATACCAAACATGTTTGACTTTTAATTAATTGATTATTTAACATAGACTGATGCCATAAAAATCAATGCTAGGTCATTCTAAACTTATTTTTTTTTTAATCGAGTAGCCCCTCTTTAATGGTGCAGAATAGTGCTCTAATTTATAAGTTGTGGAGATTTTGCAATGCGTGCCTCTAAAATAAACTGCTTCTTGTCAAGTGTTTACAATGGGGAGAACTATACACTCCATAGCTGATGCAATCTTGTCTCAGTGGGAGTGAGAATTACATTTACAACATCAGCTGAAACTTCAATTTTTAATTTCCTAGGCTTTACGTGCCAGGCTAGGATGGACTTAAGCCATCAACAGAGATAACCTGCTGGTGAGACTGTATTTTGGCTGGTGATGTGGAGTTTAATGAAGTCTGCCTGTATATACATCTTGATTCTGACAAAAAATAAACTGAAACCTTCATTTGAGAACTGAATAGCGTTCCTGGTCACAATATGTAGCAGATGTGTATGATGCTCAGGATGGTGACAAAATGTCCTTTGACTATAAGAGGACTTTACAGAAATAACAGCTATTTCTCATTGTAGCCAACTATATCTATTTTCTAAAGATATTAATACTGCTAGGAGATGTTTGAAAATAGATATGTCTTAATTTAAGTTGACGTCGCTGCAGACACCACCCACTCAAGGAAGGACAAGGAAACCATGTTATCCTAAACATATCTAAAACAAGACCCATTGCCTTGCAAAGAACTTCTGTGAGACAAAGAATCAAGCACACCACACTCCCTATAGTGGTCTATGCTGTTTACCTGAAAGAGGCCCCACCTGTTCTAATAAGAGGCTTACATTAGGCACCATTTTGAGAGTTTAAAACTGAACTGTGCCCCATTTTCATGCTGAGTTTGAGGGAACATGGCTGCCGCTACCACCTAGCTGGGGGAGGAAGCGGGAAGACTAAGCTCTCTTAAGCACACATAGGGCAATACCCACTGCTAGTCCCCAGTCACCCACCTGGGTGACTTCCAACAACGGAAACACAGACTGCTTGCCTTCCACTGCTACTGCCATCACCTACACCACACAAGCTTCCCAGGGACCTGAGAACCTGCCCTACACCTGGCCCACTACTCCCACAACTAGTTTCCAAGCAAGTCACCTGGAGGCCCAAAAATCAGCCCTTCAGTACCTCCAAAACACTGGAGCCAGTGTAATCTGCTCTGGGTCCTAAAAACAGGCACACTAATCCCACTGTTACCACCACCGGGACCTGAAGAATGGCTCGGTTGCTGTCAAATTTCTCTGCTAAACATCACCACAACCTCAACTAATAACTGTATCTTAAGTCATCGAAGAAATAACAGAGATCATTGACCCTGTGCACTGCTGAAGATGTCATACAGAGATCACAATACCTCAGTTATCCCAATCAAAGTCTAAGTATCTGACTCAATTAACAACAAACATACATATTCAGAAAAACATTCCTCCCTACAAAGCAGTTTTTAAAGATTGGAGCATGTGACTGCTATACCATTAACATATATTAATGGAAAGACACAGGAAACATGAAAAAGCAGGGAAATATGTCACCCCAAAAGGACCACGATAATTGTCCAGCAACAAGTTCCAATGAAAAAGAGATCCTTGAAATGTCAAATAAAGATTTCAAAATATTGATTCTTTTTTGAGAGAGAGTCTCATTTTGTCACCCAGACTGGAGTGCAGTGGCATGATCATAGCTCACTGTAGCAAAGATCAGAGCAGAACTAAATGAAATATGGAGTCAAAAATATACAAAGGATAAACCAAACAAAAAAATTGTTTCTTTGAAAACATAAAATTGATGAACCTCTATCTAAACTAACTAAGAAAAAGAGAAAAAAATCCAAACAAATAAAATCAGAAGTAAAAAAGGAGACATTGCAATCGATACCACAGAAATACAAAGAATAATTAGAGACTTACATGTACCACTATACATTCAAACTAGAAAGGCTGGAGGAAATGGATAAATTCCTGAACATATAACCTATCAAGATTGGACCAGGAAGAAATAGAAAACTCAAACAGATGAATAGCAATAAATGACATTTAATCAGTGATTAAAAAGTCTCCCAACAAAGAAAAGTCCAAGACTGGATTGTTTTACTGCTAAATTCTACCAAACTTTTAAAGAAGAACTAACATCAATTCTCAAACTATTTCAAAAAATGGAAGAGAACGGAATTTGTTCTATTTCATTCCACAAGGTCAATATGACCCTGATACCAAAACCAGACGAAGACACAATAACAGCAACAACAAACTACCGACCTATATCTCTGATGAGTATAGATGCAAAAATCCTCAATAAAATATTAGCAAATTGAATCCAAAAGCATATCAAAAGATAAAACACCACAGTCAGTTGGAATTTATCCCAGAGATGCAAGAATGGTGCAACATACAGAACCCAACAAATGTTATATAACACATCAACAGAATGCAGGAGAAAAATCATATGATCATCTTAATAGACACAGAAAGAAACATTCAGTAAAATTCGGCACCCATTCATGGATAAAAACTCTCAACAAACTAGGCATAGAAGGAATATACCTCAACAAAAAAATGGCAGTATATGTCAAATACCCAGCCAACATAATACATAGCAGAGAAGATTTGCAAGCATTTTCTATAAGAACTGGAACAAGACAAAGATGTTTACTTTTACCACTTTTATTAAGCGTGTTACTTGATGTCTTTGCTAGAGCAATGAGGCAAGAGAAAGAAATAAAAGGCATACAAATTAGAAAAGAGGAAGTCAAATAATTTATGTTTTCTGATGATATAATCTTAAGAAAACCCTAAAGACTCCACCAAAAACTCTTAACTTTGACAAATGAATTCAGCAAATTTTCAGGTGACAAAATTAATACAGAAGAGAACCTAGGTAATACCATTCTGGACATAGGAGTGAATGAGCATTTCATGAGGCAGACACCAAAAGTGATCATGACAATAGCAAAAATTGACAAATAGGATCTAATTAAATTTAAGAGCTTGTGCATAGCAAAAGAAACTATCAATAGAGTGAACAGACAATTTACAGAATGGGAGAAATTTTCTGCAAATTATACATCTGACAAAAGTCTAATATCCAGCATAAAGAACTTAAACAAATTTACAAAAATAAAACAAGTAACCCTATTACAACGTGGGCAAAGAACATGAACCATCATTTTTCAAAATAAGACATACATGTAGCCAACAAGCATACGATAAAAAGCTCAATATCACTAATCATTAGAGAAATGCAAATCAAAACCACAATGAAATACCATCTCACACCAGTCAGAATGGCTATTATTATTAAAAAATCAAAAACTAACAGATGCTAACAAGATTGTGGAGAAAAAGGAGCACTTATACACTGTTTGTGGGAGTCTAAATTAGTTCAACCATTGTGGAAAGCAGTGTGGCAATTTCTCAAAGAGCTAAAAACAAATTACCATTTGACCTAGCAATCCCATTACTGGGTATATACCCAAAGGAATGCAAAATGCAAATTGTTCTACCATAAAGGCACGTGCACTATTCGTTGCATCACTATTCACAATAGTAAAGACATGGAATCAACCTAAATAGTGATCAATGATAGACTGGAATATAAATCACTGTACCATAAAGACACATGCACTATTCATTGCAGCACTATTCACAATAGTAAAGACATGGAATCAACCTAAATGGTGATCAATAATAGACTGGATAAAGAAAATGTGGTACATATACACCATGGAATACTATGTAGCCATAAAAAAGAACAAGATTATGTCCTTTTCAGGAACATGGATGGAACATGATTCTTAGCAAACTAATGCAGAAAGAGAAAACCAAATACTGCATGTTCTCACTTGTAAGTGAAAACTCACTTATAAGTTGTAGGTAAATGATGTTAACTCATGGACACAGAGAGGAAAACAACAGACACTGGGGCCAACTTGAGAATGGAGATTGTGAGGAGAAGGAGCAGAAGAAACAACTATTGGGTACTAGGCTTTCTACCTGGGTGATGAAATGATCTGCACAGCAAACCCCAATGTCATGTGTTTGCCTATATAACAAACCTGCACATGTACCTCTAAACCTAAAATAAAAGTTAAATAAAAGGAATTAGTAGCATATCTATACACCATTAATTATCTAGCTGAGGACCAAATGAAGAAGGAAATCTCATTAACAATAACTATAAAAATATCTAGGTATATATTTAACCAATGTGGTAAAAGATCTCTAAAAACAGAACTAAAAACACAGAGGAAAAAAATTGTAGATGACACAAACAAATGGAAAAACATCCCATGCTCATGGACTGGAAGAATCAATATCATTAAAGTAACCATACTCTTTAAAGCAATCTACATGTTCAATGCAATCCCTATCAAATTACCAGCCTTGTTTTTCACAAAATTAGAAAAAATGATGGTAAAATTAATATGAAACCAAAAAGGGTCTGAATAACCAAAGCAATCCTAAACAAACAGAACAAAGCTGAAGGCATGACATTACCTGACTTCAAATTATACTGTGAGACTATAGGAACCAAAACAGCATGGTACTGGAATAACAAACAGACACATAGATCAATGGAACAGAATAGAAAAGCAGAAATGAAGCCACAAACCTATAACCAACTGATCTTCAACAAAGTCAACAAAAATATACACTGGTGACAGGAAATCGCCAATAAATGGTCCTGGGAAAATTGGATTGCCATATGCAAAAGAATGAACCTAGGCTCATACAACTCACCATATGCAAAAATTAACTCAAGATGGACTAAAGACCTAAATGTAGGACCTGAAACTATGAAAATCCTAGAAAACAGTCTAGGAAAATTCTTCTGGACATTGGTCTAGGCAATGAATTTATGACCAAGTTCTTAAAAGCAAACACAAGAAAAATAGAAAAGTGGGACTTAATTAAACTGAAAACCTTCTGCACAGTAAAATAAACAATCAACAGAATAAACAGACAATCTACAGAATGGGAAGACACTTTTGCAAACTATGCATCTATAAAAGGGCTCATATCTAGAATCTACAAGGAGCTCAAACAGCTCAAGAAGAAAACAAATAACGTCATTAAAAAGTGGGCAAAGGACATGAACATACATTTTTCAAAGGAAAACAAACAAATGTTAACAACTAATTCAGGGAGGAGGGGAGCTGATTTCCACAGTGGTCACATTATATTATTTGAATTGTGTAGTTTTAAACCAAAATATTTGACATGCAAAGAAACAGAAGAATATGACCCATGCACAGGAAAAATTAAGTCAACAGAAATTGTCCTTGAGGAAACTCAGATGTTAGACCTACTAGAAAAAAGATATCTTAAAGCAGTTCTTGCAAATATCTGTAAGACAATGAAGGAAGTTGGGTTTAAAGAACAAAAGGAACATCAGAGAATAATAGTTCACCAAAAAGAAAACAACAAGGAAAAGGTAGAATTTATTAAAAAAAAAAGAACCAAATAGAAATTCTGGAGTTCAAATATATAATAAACTAAAATAAAAAAATCTACTAGAGGGCCTCAACAGTAGTTGTGGATGGGCACAAGAAAGATTCAGTGACATTGAAGATGCTGAGGACAGATACAAAAAGACAAACTATAACAAGTGGTGGGCAGGATGTGGAGAGATTGGAACCTTTATACTATTCTGATGGGAATGTAAATTGGCGCAGATCCATTGGAAGTCAGTCTGGAAGTTTGTCAAAAGTTTAAGCATTGAGTTATCATATGAACAAGCAATTCCACTCCTAGTTATGTAATCAAGAGAAATAAAAACATATGTTTACACCAAAAACTGTGCACTGATGTTCATAGAAGCATTATCCTAAATAGAAAAACTGGAAAGTAGCCAAATGTCCACCGACAAATGACTAAATCATTAAAATGTGATACATCTATAAATTGACTGTTGGTTGTCAATCAAAAGGAATTAAATAATGATACATGCCACCACAAATGTTAACACTGCATACATTGTTCTGTGTGAAATAGTCAGGTACAAAAGGCCAAATAATGTGTGATTCCATTTTTTTGAAATGTCCAGAATACACACATCCATAGAGACAGAAAATAGAGACAGATATGTCCTGAACAGGAAAAGTCCTAGAGAGACAGTGTTTGCCATGGGCTGGGTGTGGCCACAGGATAGAGAATTACTGCAGCGTCTGTGGGATTTCTTTTTGAGGTGATGAAAATATTATAAATTTAGATAGTGATGATGCTGGCATAGGTCTGTGGATATACAAAAAATCACTGTATTATACACTTCAAAATGAATTGTATCATATGTGAATTATGTCTCAATAAAGCTATTATTAATATTATAATACTTAGAGGGTTAACAAAAATATATAGGCCACACAACAAAAATAATAACAATGAAACACACACTAAGGAAAAGACATACATGTATTATTTTACAACAGCATTTTTCATGAACCATAGTATTTCCCTGATAGTAAGATGAAGCATTTTTTCATATGCTTAGTTTCCATTTAATATTCCTCCTCTGTGTATTGCCTGTCTGCAACTTTTGACTGCTTTTCCCTTTGATTGTGTGACTTTCTCTGATTCATTTCTAGGTGCTCTTAATATATTCTGTATTCCAGCTTTTCAAACATGTTTATACCAAATATCATTTTCCACTCTGTTTGCTTGTTTTACTGTATTATAGTTCTTTTTTGAAATGCATTTTTAAAAATATCAAATTTTATCAATCTTTTGTACTTTTGTGTCTTGTTTAAAAAATGTTTTCCTAACCTTAAATCACATCGATATTTTTCTTATGTCTTTTATTGGATTTTCAAGGCCCAAATAGATATAATTGTTCTTTCCCACTACTTAAAAATCCCTTTGTGATAGTCTTTATTTCTTTACAGACAGAGCCCCAGAATTTCCACAGTCTCTTTCCCTTAATCTCTGCTAAATCAGATCGTTGATCCTAAACTGAAAAGTGCACATTTCACAACTCTTATGCATATTTCAACTCTCTTATGTTGTCTCATCTATGCCAAAGGCTACCAAAATTGTATGCATTTGGGGTCTTTTTCCTTCTTTGGCTCTCCTGAAGATAGGTCATTGTTCTTCCTTTGCTCTGATGCTATGAGCAGAAAAGTTCTTGCTCACTGGTCTTTGAATCTTTTAATTTACACGTTTTGGTAACACTGGAAGAGTACATATATAAACTCACTGAATGAGCAGAAAATTTCGGTAGAATCCTTTTGGACTATGAAGTAGCTAAAGAAATCACTTTTCAGAAAGATAATAGACATCTTTTAAAATTTGGAGGAAGAAATGATTTATCTATTATAGCTCACTGACTTACAGGTAGAAAAAACATGAATTGATGACTGCATACATCAAAATACAACTTGATGTGCTTTCTTTTAAGCAGAAAATGATAAAATTATGCATTAACCTAACAGTAACAGAGAATACACTTTACTATGCAATTAGTATAGCCAATGATAAAAATATGTCTCATTTCTACATTATTGTTAGTAAATTTTTTACATTTGATAATGACAAATCTGTGTCTCTCTTTAGAATTTAAAAACATTGTCATATACATTTGCATTTGACTTTCATAATAACACTGTGAGGCAGATAAGGGAAGTATTTTATTCTCATTTTTTAAATGAAGAAACTGAGATTCAGAAGGAATTTATGAGTTGTCTAAGATAAGATAACTAGTATCAGAACTGGAACTCAAATTCCTAGCCTAGCCTATTAAAGGGTACCAACAGAAAAGGAGGATTGGAGATAGAATGATAGCAGTGAAGATACACAACTATCCAGAAAAACTGTTACCAACCTTAAATACTTTACTCAGAGGTATCGAGACATTTATTTATCTTACTCTTTGTAAGTGTCATTAAGGACTAATCCTTCAGTCCAAACTTTCACTCAGTCCAGAAATATTTGTTAAAATAGCCCTGAAAGATGATGTGTCATCTTCTGCTGAAGACTTCTATTTTTCTTCCACAGACATAGCTGTTATGTATTGTCTTTTAGTTTTGAGACAAAACTGCCTCTTACAGTTTTAAAATATTTATTTAAAGCTCTTTAATCCCAGGACAATCATTCACTTACTATTATTTTTAATTTTCTCATATTATAAAATACACTCAAGAAAGTGCAGACATCATTAATGAACAAAATACAACCAGCCCACAAATAAAGAAACAGCATATGATCACAAGAGCCTCTTTGTGTGTCACCTTCCAATAACTATCCTCTCCTAATGAAGTTCCTGAATTTCCTAACAAGTAGAATAATATATAGTATGTATTCTTTTGTGTCTGGCTTTTTTCACTGAATGCAATGTTTTTGAGATTCTTCCACATGGTTGCATGTAATATTATTCATTCTCATTGTTGAGTAGTATTTCATTTTTTGGCACAACTTATTTATTCATTTTTCTGATAGTAGACATTTGAGCTGTTTCTGCGTTTTGGCTACTATTTAGCTACTGCTGTTTCATTCTTGTACATGCCTTTCAGTGGACACATACATGCATTTTTTTTGAGCCTATATCTAGAAGTATACTTTTTCCTTGTGTGTGGGTAATTCTGTTTATGTGTATGTACATATATATTCAGTTTTAGTGGGTCCTGCCAAACAGTTATTTAAAGTGCTTGTACCAATTTATGCTCTCATTTGCATGAGAATTCTAGTTACTTCAAATCTTGGCTAACACTTGATATTGTCAATTTTTTCAATTTTAGTCATTTTCTTGGATATGTAATGAGTGTAAATTGTGGTTTAGTTGTTGCTTTGCATTTCCCTGAAGATATTTCCCATTTTCTATGTTTATTTGCCACTTGGTTATTGCCTTTTAAAAAAATTACTTTAAATTCTGGGATACATGTGCAGAATGTGAAGGTTTGTTACACAGGTATACATGTTCCATGGTGGTTTGCTGCACCTATCAACCCATCATTTAGGTTTTAAGCCCCAGATGTGTTAGGTATTTGTCCTAATGCTCTCCCTCCCCAGGCCCCCAACCCCCAACAGGCCCCAGTGTGTGATGTTCCCTTCCTTGTGTCCATGTGTTTTCATTCTTCAACTCCCACTTATAAGTGAGAACATGTGGTGTTTTTTTTTCTGCTCCTGTGTTAGTTTGCTGAGGATGATGGCTTCAAGCTTCATCCATGTCCCTGCAAAGGACATGAACTCATTCTTTTTTATGGCTGCATAGTAGTCCATGGTGTATATATGCCACATTTTCTTTATCCAGTCTATCATTGATGGGCATTTGGGTTGGTTACAAGTATTTGCTATTGTAAACAGTGCTGGAATAAACATATGTGTGCTTGTGTCTTTATAGTAGAATAAGTTATAATCCTTTGGGTATATACCCAGTAATGTGATTGCTGGGTCAAATGGTATTTCTGGTTCTAGATCCTTGAGGAAGTGCCACACTGTCTTCCATAATGGTTGAACTAATTTACACTCCCACCACTGGTGTAAAAGCGTTCCTATTTTTCCAGAGCCTTGCCAGCATCTGTTGTTTCCTGACTTTTTAATAATCACCATTCTAACTGGTGTGAGACGGTATCTCATTGCAGTTTTGATATGCATTTGTCTAATGACCAGTGATGATAAACTTTTTTTCATATGTTTGTTGGCTGCATGAATGTCTTCTTTTGAGATGTGTCTGTTCACATACTTCACCCACTTTTTGATGAGATTGTTTGTTTTTTTTTTCTTGTAAATTTGTTTAAGTTCCTTGTAGATTCTGGATATTAGACTTTTGTCAGATGAATATCTTGCAAAAATTTTCTCCCATTCTGTAGGTTGCCTGTTCACTCTGATGATAGTTTCTTTCACTGTGCAGAAGCTCTTTAGTTTGATTAGATCCCATTTGTCAATTTTGGATTTGGTTGCAATTGCTTTTGGTGTTTTAGTCATGAAGTCATTGCCCATGCCTATATCCTGAATGGTATTGCCTAGGTTTTCTTCTAGAGTTTTTATGGTTTTGGATTTACATTTAAGTCTTTAATCCATCTCAAGTTTATTTTTGTATAAGGTGTAAGGAAGGGGTCCAGTTTCAGTTTTCTGCATACGGCTAGCCAGTTTTCCCAGCACCATTTATTTAATAGGGACTCCTTTCCCCTTTGCTTGTTTTTATCAGGTTTGTCAAAGATCAGATGGGTGTAGATGTGTGGTGTTATTTCTGAGGTCTCTGTTCTGTTCCATTGGTCTATATATCTGTTTTGCTACTAGTACCATGCTTTTTTGGTTACTGTAACCTTGTAGTATAGTTTGAAGTCAGGTAATGTGATGCCTCCAACTTTGTTCTTTTTGCTTAGGATTGTCTTGGCTATATGGGCTCTTCTTTGGTTACTTATGAAATTTAAAGTAGTTTTTTTTCTAATTTCATAAAGAAAATTACTGGTAGTTTTTTGGGAATAGCATTGAATCTATAAATTGCTTTGGACAGTATGGCCATTTTCACGATATTGATTTTTCCTATCCATGAGCATGGAATATTTTTTCATTTGTTTGTGTCTTCTTTGACTTCCTTGAGCAGTGGTTTGTAGTTTTGTATTTTGAGCCTATGTGTGTGTTTGCACATGAGATGGGTCTACTGAATATAGCACTCCTACGGGTCTTGAATCTATCCAATTTGCCAGTCTGTGTCTTTTAATTGTGGCATTTAGCCCATTTACATTTAAGGTTAATATTGTTATGTGTGCATTTGATTCTGTCATCATGATGCTAGCTGGTAATTTTGCGCATTAGTTGATGCAGTTTCTTCATGGTGTCAGTCTTTATATTTTGGTGTGTTTTTACAGTGGCTGGTACCAATTTTTCCTTTTTATCTTTAGTGCTTTCTTCAGGAGCTCTTGTAAGGCAGGCCTAGTACTGACAAAATTCCTCAGCATTTGCTTGGCTGGAAAGGATTTTATTTATCCTTCACTTTTGAAGCTTAGTTTGGCTGGATATGACATTCTGGGTTGAAAATTCTTTTCTTTAAGAGTTTTGAGGCCAGGCGCAGTGGCTCATGCCTGTAATCCCAGCACTTTGGGAGGCCGAGGCAGACGGATCACGAGGTCAGGAGATCAAGACCATCTTGGCTAATGTGGTGAAACCCCATCTCTACTAAAAATATAAAAAAATTAGCCAGGCATGGTGGTGGGTGCCTGTAGTCCCAGTTACTCAGGAGGCTGAGGCAGGAGAATGGTGTGAACCCGGGAGGTGGAGCTTGCAGTGAGCCGAGATCGACAGAGCGAGACTCTATCTCAAAAAAAAAAAAAAAAAAAAGTGTTGACTATTGGCCCTCACTCTCTTCTGGCTTGTAGGGTTTCTGCAGACAGATCCACTGTTATTCTGATGGGCTTCCCTTTGTAGGTTACCTGACATTTCTCTCTGGCTGCCCTTAACATTGTTTCTTTCATTTCAACCTTGGAGCATCTGACGATTATGTGTCTTGGGATTGCTCTTGCTTCCTTTCTCCCCATCACGTTCAGGTACACCAATTAATTGCAAGTTTGGTCTTTTCACATAGTCCCATATTTCTTGGAGGCTTTGCTTGTTCCTTTTCATTCTTTTTTCTCTAATCTTGTCTTCACATCTTATTTTAGTAAGTTGATCTTCAGTCTCTGACATCTGTTCTTCTGCTTGATCAATTCAGCTATTGATGCTTGTGTATGCTTCACGAAGTTCTCGTGCTGTGTTTTTCAGTTCCATCACGTCAGTTATGTTCCTCTGTATTTTGGTTATTCTAGTTAGCAGTTCCTGCAACCTTTTATCAAGGTTCTTAGCTTCCTTGCATTGGATTAGAACATGCTCCTTTAGCTTAGAGGAGTTTGTTATTACCCACCTTCTTAAGCCTACTTATTTCATTTCATCTATCTCATTCTCTGTCCAGTTTTGCGCCCTTCCTGGAGAGGAGTTGCGATCATTTAGAGGAGAAGAGGAATTTTGGTTTTTGGAATTTTCAGCATTTTTGCCCTGGATTTTACTCATTTCGTGGATTTATCTATCTTTGATCTTTGAGGCTGATGACCTTTGGATGGGGTTTTTGTGTGGGGGTCCCTTATGTTGATGTTGTTGTTTTCTGTTTGTTATTCTTCTAACAGACCAGCCCGTCTTCTGCAGGTCTGCTGCAGTTTGCTGGAGGTCCACTCTAGACCCTGTTCTCCTGGGTATTGCCAGTGGATGCTGCAGAACAGCAAAGATTGCTGCCTGCTCCTTCCTCTGGAATCTTCATCCCTGGGGGGCATTGGCCTTATGCCAGCCAGAGCTCTCCTGTGTGAGGTATCTGTTTACCCCTGTTGGGAGGTTTCTCCCAGTCAGGAGGCACAGGGGTCAGAGACCTACTTGAGGAGGCAGTCTGTCCCTTGCCAGAGCTGGTATGCTGTGCTGGGAGAATCCTTCTTGTCAGGATCAGCTGCTCTCTTCAGAGCTGGCAGGCAGGAATGATTAAATCTGCTGAAGCTGTGCCCACAACCCCCCCTTCTCCCCAGGTGCTCTGTTCCAGGGAGATGGGGGTTTTGTCTTTAAGCCCCTGACTGGGGCTGTTATGGTTCCTTCAGAAATGCCCTGCCCAGTGAGGAGGAATCTAGAGAAGCAGTCTGGCCAGAGCCTCTTTGCTGCACCCAGCCCAGATCTCCCAGCCTCCTTTGCACTGTCAGGGAAAAACCGCCTACTAAAGCCTCAGTAATGGCAGACTCCCCTCCTCACACCAAGCTCAATCGTCCCAGGTTGACCTCAGACTGCTGTGCTTGCTGAATTTCAATCCAGTGGTTCTTAGCTTGCTGGGCTTCAAGGGAGTGGGACCCGCTGAGCAAGACCACTTGGCTCCCTGGCTTCAGCCCTTTTTCCAGGGAAGTGAATGGTTCTGTCTTGCTGGGGTTCCAGGTGCCACTGGGGTATGAAAAAAATACTCCTGCCACTAGCTTGGTGTCTGCCCAAACAGCCACCTGGTTTTGTGCTTGAAACCCAGGGTCCTGGTGGTGTAGGCACACAAGAGGATCTGATCTGCAGATTGCAAAAGCCATAGGAAAAGCATAGTAACCCAGCCTGATAGCAGAGTCCCTCATGGCTTCCTTTGGCTTGAGGAGGGAGGTACCCAGCTTGCTGCATTTCCCAAGTGAAGTGACACCCCACCCTGCGTCTGCTCACCCTCTGTGGGATGGACCCACGGCCTAACCATTGCCAATGCGATGAACTGGGTATCTCAGTTGGAAATGCAGAAATTAACCACCTTCTGCATCGGTCTTGCTGGGAGCTGCAGGCTTAAGCTGTTCCTATTCGGCCACCTTGGTTATTGTCTTTAGTGAAGTACCTCTTCAAGTCTTTTGCCCATATTTTTATTTGGTTATGTGTGTTTTTCTTATTATTTTGTAACAGCGCCTTTTATAACCTGAATGTATATATATTTTGTTTAAATTTATGTACAGTAAACAACTTTTTCTACTCTGGTTCGCTTTTTCACCCTGTTGATGATTTTGTTTGTTGTAAGAAATTTAAAATTTTAATGTAGTCCAATGTATCTTTTAGTGATTAGTAATTCTTGTATCCTATTTAAGAAATGAGGGTCACAAGCACAGTCTCCAATGTTTTCTTCTAAAGGCTTTATTCCAAGTACAAAATAATTTTATTTTCACTTTTAAATTTATAATCAAATAGAATTTATTTTTTCAGAATGATGTATGGTAAAGATTAGTTTTCTTTTTTCCCTACATGAATTATCAAATGATAGAGCACCATTTCTTGAAAAGGACATTCTTTCCACATTGTGCCATTGTATTCCATTTTTCATAAATAATATACTATATATCTATATTAGTCTGTGTGGTGGGCTGTATAATGGCCATTCAATGATATCTACATTTTAATTCTTAGAACCTGTTACCTTACATGGCAAAAGAGAATTTACCGATGTGATTAAGCTAAAGATCTTGAGATGGAGAGTCTTTTCTGGATTATCCAGATAGGTCCTAAATGTTACCATAATGGTCATTATAAGAGGGAGGCAAGAAGTTCAAAGGAAGAAGTAGAATATGTGACCATGGAAGCAAGGGGTGAGGAAGTGGTCATGAGCCAAGGGATTCAGGCAGCCTCCAGGAGCTAGAAAAGGTAAGGAAATTGATTTACCCTTGAGTTTTCAGAAGGAATTGGACTTGCTGACACTTTGATTTTGTCCCATAAGACTCATCATGTATTTATGTCCCCCAGAGCTATAAGAGAATAAATATATATGGTTGTAAGCCACCATGTTTGTGGTAATTTGTTACATTAGACAAAGAAAACTCTGCTCCATTGGCCCATTTGACTATTCTTGCACCAATACCAGATTTTCCTAATTGATATAACAATATAATAACTCAGTATCTGGTAATGTAATTTCTCCAGCTTTCTTCTTCTTGGATAGTTTCTTTTTTTAACTTCCATCTGCTCTCCCTAATATTGGATTAAATTTCTCTGATAAATATGGAAACATTTATATTTTCTATTTATTCCTGTGTAAGTGATTGCATATTTTGGCATGTTGCACTTTCCTAGGATTATCCATTGCATATAAATTGTGTAATTATTGGGATAATGTTATTAATAATATTTTATTATTATGCATTATTAATTATTTTATTATTATGCATTATTTTATTATGCATTATGTTATGCATTATTAAAATAACACCTTTACTGAGATACAATTCACATACAATACAATTTAGCAATTTAAATTATACAATTCAATAGATTATAGCATATTCACGTAGTTGCGCAAACATAACCCCAAACAATTGTAGAACATTTTCAACACTCCCAAAAGAAACCCTATATGCATTAGAAATTAATTCTTATTTTCCCCCCGTAACCCTCAGTCCTATACAACTACAAATCTACTTTTTGTCTTTCTCTATTTGCCTATTATGGGCATTTTATATAAATGAATTAATGCCATGTATGGTTTTTGTGACTAGTTTTATTTACTTAGCTTCAGGATCTCAAGGTTCATCTATGTTGTAGCATATATCAGTACTTCATTTCCTTTTATTGCCAAATTATATCCCATTGTATGCATTCACCACATTTATTTACATATTCATTAATTCATGAATATTTGCATAATTTCCACTTTTTGGCTATTATGACTAATTCTGCTATAAAAATTAATAAATATCTTTTTTTCATGGACACATGTTTTTATGTTCTTTGGATATATACTTAGGATTGATATTTCTGGGTCATATGGTAATGCTGTTTAATATTTTTAGAAACTGGCTAGCTGTATTCCAAGGTAAATGTACTATTTTAAAATCCCACAAGCAGTATATGAGAATTACAACTTCTCTAATTTTTGCCAACACATGGTATTATCTATCTTTTTGTTTATAGCTATCATACTGCGGGTAAAATTGTATCTCATTGTGAATAAGATTTGCATTTCTTGATGGTTAATAATGCTGATCATCTTTTCATATCCTTATTGGTCCTTCTTTGAATAAATGTTTATTCAGATACCTTGGTAATTTTTAATGAGTTATTTGTCTTTTTATGGAATTGTGAAAATTCTTTGTATCTTCTAGTTATGAGAACCTTATTAGAAATATAATTTGAAAATATTTTCTTGTATCCTGTGGGTAATACTTTCACTTTCTTACTGGTGACCATTGAAGCCCTAAAGTTTTCAGTTTTGATGAAAACTAACTTATCTATTCTTTCTCAGTCTGCTTGAGCTTTTGGTGTCATATTTTGAAAACTCTTGCCAAATCCATAGTCACAAATATTTAATCTATGTTTTTTTTACTAAGAATTTTGTAGTTTTGATTCCTTATCTGTAGAGTTGTTTGAGCTTCTTATATATTCTGGTTATTAATCCCTTGCCAGATGGATAGTTTGCAAATATTTTGTCCCATTCTGTGGGTTGTCTCTTCACTTTGTTGATTATTTCCTTTTCTGGGCAGAAGTTTTTTTACTCGATGTCATCCCATTTGTCCATTTTTGCTTTGGTTGCCTGTTTGTGAGGTATTGCTCAAGAAGTCTTTGCCTACTCCAATATCCTGGAGAGTTCCTTGATGTTTTCTTGTGGTAATTTTATAGCTTGAATTCTTAGATTTAGTTTTTTAAATCTATTTGGATTTGATTTTTATATATGGTGAGAGGGGTCTAAATTCATTCTTGTGCATATAGATATCCTGTTTTCCCAGCATCATTTATTGACTGTGTTTTTCTCAGTGTATGTTCTCGTTGGCATCTTTGTAAAAAATAAGTTCACTTTATATGTGCGATTTTGTTTTTGGATTGTCTATCCTGTTCCACTGGTCTATGTGTCTGTTTCTATGCTAGTACCATGCTGTTTTGGTTACTATAAGTCTGTAGTATAATTTGAAGTCAGGTAATATGATTTCTTCAGTTTAGTTCTTTCTGCTGCAATGAAAGTAGGAGTTCTGTTATCTCTTTAGCATTTTGATTTAAATTCTTCTGAATAATTGTTTAGAAGTGGGATTGCTGTAACCACCGTCATTTTTTTTTACAGCAGTTGCACCATTTGGCATTTCTACCAATAGTGTGTTTCTGTTCCAATTTCTTTTCCTCCTTTCCAACACTTAGTGTCTTTTCTTTTATTTTTTTGATAGTAGCCATTTTGGCAGATGTGAGGTGATACCTCATTGTGATTTTGATTTTCATTTCCCTGAAGGTTAGTAATATTGAACATCTTTTCATATAACTATTGGTAATTTGTATGTCTTCTTTAGAAAAATATCTATTTAAGTCCTTTGTCCATTTTAAAAATAAGCTTATTTAGTTGCTATTGAGTTGTAAGAGTTCCTTATATATTTTGAATACTAAACTCCTTTTCTGATATGCTGTCTGCAAATATTTTCTCCCATTCCATAGATTGCCTTTTGATTTTGTTTGTTTTTTTTGCTGAGCACAAAGTTTTTAGCTTGATGTACCTCCAGTTGTTTATTTTTGCTTTCATTGCCTGTGCTTTTGGTGCCACACCAAAAAAAAACCTTGTCAGGACCAATTTCAAAAAGCTTTTTCACTGTGTTTTTTTCCTAGGAGTTTCATAGTAGTTGCTCTTAACCTTAAGCCTTTAATCTATTTTGAGTTGACTTTTGTATAAGGTAAGGGTCCAATGTCATCATTTTGTGGATATCTTGTTTTCAATCACTATCATTTTGTGTGCTTATTGGCTATTTGAGTATCTTCTCTGAAGAAATCCCTATTTATTTTTTCCCATTTTATATTGGGAGTAATTTGTCTTTTTTTGTTTTTGATTTCTAGTAGTTTTTTAAGTTTCTGGATACTAAATTATCAGCAGATGTGATTTGTATATATCTTTTCATTCTGTATGCTGTCTTTTCACTCTAAAATGCCATTGATTCACATAAGTTTTTAACCTTGATGAAGTTTGATTTATCAATTATTTTCTTTTGTTCTTTATGTTTTGGTGTTATATCCAATAATTATTTGCCAAATCCAATTTATAACATTATATGCTATGTTTTAACATTTTTAAAGTTTCAGTTTTATATTTAGGACTTTGATCTATTTAAAGTTAAGTTTTGTATACAGTTGTCCCTCACAATATGAGGGAGATTTGTTGCGGGACTGCCTATATAGAACCAAATCTACACATACGCAAGTACTGCAGTTGGCCCTGTGAAGCCCTCATATATAAAAAGTCAGCCTTTCCCATATGTGGGTTTTGCATACCACAAATACTGTAGTTTCAATCTATGTTTGGTTGAATAAAAGCTGTGCATAAGTGGATCCATACAGTTCAATCTCTTGTTGTTCAAGAGTCAACTGTATTATGTGAGGTAGGAATCCAACTTCATTCTTTTGCATTTGGATATTCAGTTGTGCTGAAACCATTTGTTGAAAAGATTGTCCTTTCCCCATTGAATGTACTTGGCAATCTTGTCAAAAATTGGCCATATCTGTATGTTTATATCTGCACTCTTTTTTTGATTCAATTTGTCTATATATCTATTCTTATGCTAGTATCAAATGGTTTTGATTACTGCAGCTTTATGGTAAGTTTTGAATTGGAGAAATGTTAGCCCTCTGACTTTATTTGTTTTTTTTTTTCAAGATTGGTTTGCTTTTTCAAGGGCCCTAGGAATCCTATATAAATTTGATTACTAGCTTTTTTTTATTTCTACAAAAAAGGCTGTTGAAAGTTTGATAGGGATTTTGTTGAATTTGTTCACTTTTGGAAATATGAACATCTTAACCAAGTTCTTTCTACCTTGACCCAGTATCATTGACCTGCTGTGCCAGGGTTAGGGATTCTGCCCAATGAATGTAGGCTCCTTGGAGTATTGAAGCCCTCAATCTCTCAGCTACACTTAGCAGATTTAACCTCCTTAACTTAGAGTGGGAGGGTATAAAAAAATTTGGTGCCCTATCCCTCCCAGGGAGGTACTGTGAGCCCTTGAATGGGTGCTGTGGGGAGACGGAGCTCTATCTTCTTGACCTCACCTTCCATCCACAAATCTCTGTAAAGCAGATCTAGGGATGGAGATGAAGGAATTGAGTTGTGGCTCAAGTGCCACAGACTCTTACTGTTCTTATGGAGATGTAGTAGATGTTTATGAATAAATGTGTCTTCATTGATATATACCCTTTTGGCAATCTCCAGAGACTGAAATATTTTTTTTTCTAGGCAGAATCTTGCTCTGTTGTCCAGGCTGGAGTGCAATGGCATGATCACAACTCAGTGTAGCCTCAACCTCTTGGGTTCAAGTGATCCTCTCATCTCAGTCCCCTGAGTCACTGGGACTGCAGGTGTGTGCCACCATGCCTGGCTAATTGTTTTTAATTTTCATGTGGGTGTAGAAATGGGATCTCACCATGTTGCCCAGGCTTGTCTCAAACTCCTGGGCTCAAAGGATTCTCTTACCTTCACCTCTGAAAGTGCTGGGATTACAGGCATGAGCAACCACACCTGGCCAATAATTGTTTGTTTTTTTAATTTTCAAGAATATTTTTCACCAGTTATGTTTTACTTTTTTCTCATGCTAGGATTCCGGAAGTAGACATGTCCCCTTATCATGCCTTCAATTTAGTAGTCCTTTAAGGATTAAATCTTTTAAAGATCTTAGCAGTCTCTAAATATTGAGCAGGCTTTGTTGATTTTCCCTATTGCATATACTTTTTCCTATTTTATTCACCTCTAGTCTTACCTTTATTATTTGTTCCCTTTTATTGTTTTTTTCTGTTTGATGTGCTGTTTTTCTATGTTTCTGAGATGGTAATGTAGATAATTGAAGATTAATTATTCTTCTTATCTAATATACACATTTAAAGCTACACAGCTATACATTTCTTTCTAAACACTGCTTTCAGCTGCATACCATAAGCTTTTTGTCATGTTTTTATCCTTCTATTCAAAATGTTTTATAATTTCCATTCTAATTTCTTTTTTGGTGGGTATATAGTAGGTAGATATATTTATGGAGTCCATGTGATGCTTTGATTTAGGCATGTAATGTTAAATAAGCACATTATGGAGAGTGGGGTATTCATCTCCTCAAGCATTTATCCTTTGTATTATAAACAATCCAATTACACTCTTTAAGTTATCTAAAATATACAGCTAAGTATTGTTGACCATAGTCAGCCTATTGTGCTGTCAAATAGTAGGTCTTATACATTTTTGTAACTTTTTTTTGTACTCGTTAACCATCCTGATGGCCCTCTCATCCCCAGCTACCCTTCCCAACCTCTGATAACCATCCTTCTACTCTCTATGTCCATGAGTTAAATTATTTTGATTTTTAGATTCACAAATAAGTGAGAACATGTGGTATTTGTCTCTCTGTGCCTGGCTTATTTTGCTCAATATAAAGATCTCCAGTTTTATCTATATTTCTGCAAATGACTGAATCTCATTCTTTTTTTATGGTTGAATAGTACCCCATTGTGTATATGTGTCACATTTTCTTTATCAATTCATCTGTTAATAGACACTTAGTTTGCTTCAAATTCTTAGATATTGTAAACAGTGCTGCAAGAAACATAGGAGTACAGATATCTCTTCAATATTCTGATTTTCTTTCTTTTGGGCATATACCTAGCAGTGAGATTGCTGGATAATATGGTAGCTCTGTTTTTAGCTATTTGAGAAACCTCCAAACTGTTATCCATAGTGGTTATACTAATTTACATTCCCACCAACAGTGTGTAAGCATTCTCTTTTCTCCACATCCTTGCCAGCTTTTGTTACTGCCTGTGAATATAAGCCATTTTAACTGGAGTGAGATGATACCGTATTTTAGTTTTGATTTGCATTTTCTGATGATTAACAATGTTGGACACCTTTTCACCTTCTCTTCACCATTTGCATGTTTTGCTTTTTTTTGAGAAATGCCTATTTAAATCTTTCACCTATTTTGAATGTATACCTAGACTTTTTTAAAACAGAGTTGTTTGAGCTCCTTATATATTCTGGTTATTAATTCTTTGCCAGATGAAAAGTTGGCAAATATTTTCTCTCATTCTGTGGGTTGTCTGTTTGTTGATTGTATCCTTTGTTGGGCAGAAGCTTTTTAAGTTGATGTGATCCCATTTGTTTATGTTTGCTTTGGTTGCCTTTGCTTGTGATGTATTGCTATATATATATTATATATATATATAAAAAATAATAATTATATATACATATATTTTTTTTTTGGCCCAGACCAACTTTTTGGATATTTTCCCCAATGTTTTCTTGTAGTTGTTTCATAGTTTGAATTCTTAGATTTTCTTCTATTATTCATTTGATTTGGTTTATTTTATATAGTGAGAGATAGGGGTCTGGTTTCATTCTTTTGCCCTTGGATATCCAGTTTTTAAAGCACCATTTATTGAAGAAGTTGTCTTTTCCCCAGTGTATGTTCTTCACACATTTGTTAAACGTTAGTTACCTGTAGGTGTGTAGATTTGTTTCTGAGTCATCTGTTTTTATGCCAGTACCATGATTTTTGGTTACTATAATTCCGTACTATAATTTGAAGTCAGGTAATGTGATTTCTCTAGTTTGTTTCTTTTGCTCGGGATAACTTTACCTATTCTGGGTCTTTCATGATTCCATACAAATTTTAGGATTGTTTGTTTTTATTTCTGTGAAAAATATCATTGATATTTTGATAGGGATTGCACTGAAACCGTAGTTGGCATTGAGTAATATAGACACACTTTACCTAAAACACACACATATATTTAAAATAAAGGGTTGGAAAATGATATTTCATGCCAATGGAAACCATAGAGAGCAGGAGCCGCTATACTTATATAAGATGAAACATATTTCAAGACAAAAACTATAAGAAAAGACAAAGAAGGTTACTCTATAATAATAAAAGGCTCAATCCAGCAAGAGAATATAACAATTTTAAGAATACATGCACCAAACACTGGAACACCCAGATATATAACACAAATATTATTAGAGTTAAAGAGAGAAGTAGACCTTAATACAATAATAACTGGAGACTTCAACACCCAACTTTCAGCACTGAACACATCTTCCAGACAGAAAACCAACAAAGAAACATCAACATATAGAAATTGACTTAAAGTATACCATCAGAGAAAATCACCTTCACTAAAAGAAATACAGGAAGAAAGGAAAGAAGGAAGAGGAGAAGACAAAACAACAACAACAACAACAACAAAATAAGATGTCAGGAGTAAGTTCTTTCTTTTAATAACATTGAGTATAAATAGATTAAGCTCTCTAATCAAAAGGCAGAATGGACAAATGGATTTAAAAAAATGATCTACTAACCACAAGAAACACACTCACACTTTACTTTTTCTTTTTCTTTTTCTTTTTTTTTTTCCCTAGACGAAGTCTCGCTCTTGTCCCCCAGGCTGGAGTGCAGTGGTGTGATCTCGGCTCACTGCAACCTCCGCCTCCTAGGTTCAAGCAATTCTCCTGCCTCAGCCTCCCAAGGAGCTGGGATTACAGGCGCCTGCCATGATGCCTGGCTAATTTTTGTATTTTAATAGAGTCAGGGTTTCACCATGTTGGCCAGGCTGGTCTCTAATTCTTAACCTCAGGAGATCTACCCGCCTTGGCCTCCCAAAGTGCTGGGATTACAGGCGAGAGCCACTGCCCCCAACCCACACTTCACTTATAAAAATAAATAGACTGAAAATAAATGGATAGAAAAAGATATTTTATGCCAATGGAAACCAAGAAAGAGTGAGAGTAGCCAAACTTATATCAGACAAAATAGATTTCAAGACAAAAAGTATAAGAAGAGACAAAGGTTACTATATAATGATAAAGGGATCAATTGAGAGAATATAACTATTTTAAATATACATTCACTCAACACTGGAGCACCCAGATAAATAACACTCATATTATTAGAGCTAAATAGAGAAATAGACCCCAACATAATCATAGCTAGAGACTTCAACACCCACTTACGGCATTAGACAGATTTTCCAGACAGAAAATCAAAAAAAGATCATCAGATATAATCTACCCTATAGGTCAAATGGGTTTAATGGATATTTTTAGAACACTATATCCATTGGCTGCAGAACACACATTGTTTTTCTCAGCATATGGATTATTCTTAAGGATAAAACAAGTCTTAAAACATTCAGAAAAATTGAAATTATATCAAGCTTCTTTTCTGATCATGAGGGAATAAAACTAGAAATTAATAACAAGAAGAATTTTGTAAACTATACAAATACATGGAAATTAAACAATATTCTCCTGAATTACCAGTGCATCAATGAATAAATTAAAAAGAAAATTGAAGAATTTCTTTTTTATTATTAATAAATTATATATAAATGGCCTTTTTTTATTTCAATAATTTTTTGGGGAACAGGAGGTGTTTGGTTACATAAATAAGATCTTTGTTGGTGATTTCTGAGATTTTGGTGCATCCATCACTGGAGCAGTGTACACTGTACCCAATATGTATCTTTAATTCCTTGCCAACCCCCACACTTTGCCCTGAGTCCCCATAGTCCATTGTATTATTCTTATGCATTTGTGTCCTCATAGTTTAGCTCCCACTTATAAGTGAGAACATATGATGTTTGGTTTTTCATTCCTGAGTTACTTTACTTAGAATAATTATCTCCAATTCAATTCAGGTCACTGCAAATGCCATTATTTTGTTCATTTTTATGGCTGAGTACTATTACACGGTGTGTGTGTGTGTTATATATATATATATATATGAATTTCTTTATCCACTCATTGATTGGTGAACATTTTTGCAAATTGTGCTGCTATAAACATGTGTAAATATCTTTTTCATATAATGACTTCTTCTTCCCTGGGTAGATACACAGTAGTGGGATTGATGGATCAAATGGTAGTTCCGCTTTTAGTTCTTTAAGGTATCTTCACACTGTTTTCCATAGTGGTTGTGCTAGTTTACATTCCCACCAGCAGTGTAAAAGTGTTCCCTTTTCACCACATCTATGCCAACATCTATTATTATTTGATTTTTTGATTTTGGCCATTCTTGCAGGCATAAGGTGGTATCTCATTGCGGTTTTGATTCACATTTCCATGATCATTAGTAATGTTGAGAATTTTTTCATATGTTTGCTGACCATTTGTACATTTTCTTTTCAGAGTTGTCTATTCATGCCTTTAGTCTGTCTTTTGATGGGATTGTTTGCTTTTCCTTGCTGATTTGTTTGAATTCCTTGTAGATTCTGAATATTAGTCTTTTGTCAGATGTATAGATAATGAAGATTTTTCTCCCACTCTGTGTGTTGTCTGTTTGCTCTGCTGATTATTTCTTTTGCTTTGTAGAAGCTTTTTGGTTTAATCAAGTCCCATCTATTTATCTTTGTATTTGTTGCATTTGCTTTTGGGTTTTTGGTCATGAAGTCTTCACCTAAGCCAGTGTTTAGAAGGGTTTCTTTTTTTTAACGTTATCTTCTAGAATTTTTATGGTTTCAGGTCTTACATTTAAGGTTTTTTTTAATCCATCTTGAATTGATTTTTGTATAAGGTGAGAGATGAAGATCCAGTTTCATTCTTCTACGCGTAACTTGCCAATTATCCCAGCACCATTTGTTGAATAGTGTGTCCTTTCACCACTTTATGTTTTTGTTTTCTTTGCCAAAGATCAGTTGGCTATAAGTATTTGTGTTTACTTCTGGATTCTCTATTCTGTTTTATTGGCCTATGTGCCTATTTTTATACCAGTGTCATGCTGTTTTGGTGACTATGGCCTTATAATACAGTTTGAAGTCAGGTAATATAATTCCTTTAGATTTGTTTTCTTTTGCTTAGACTTGCTTTGGCTATGTGTGCTTTTTTTGATTCCATATGAATTTTAGAATTTTTTTTAGTTCTTTGAAGAATGATGGTGAACTAACCTCCTTGGTTAGGTGTATTCCTAAGGATTTTATTTTCTTGTAGCTATTGTAAAAGTGGTTGAGTTCTTGATTCGATTTTCAGCTTTGTCGCTATTGGTTTATAACAGAGCTAATGATTTGTGTACAGTAATGTTGTATCCTGAAACTTTGCTGAATTCATTTATCAGTTCTGGGAGTTTTTATGAGAAGTCTTTCGGGTTTTCTAGGTATATGATCTTCTCATAAGCAAACAGCGACAGTTTGACTTCCTTTTTACCAATTTGGATGCCCTTTATTTTTTTCTCTTTTCTGGTTGCTGTGGCTATGACTTCCAGTATTATGTTGAATAGAAGTGGTGAGAGTGGGCATTTTTGTCTTGTTCCAGTTCTCAGAGGGAATGCTTTTGACTTTTCCCCATTCGGTATTATGTTGTATACATTGAGGTATATCCCTTGTATGCAAATTTTGCTGAGGGTTTTAATCATAAAGGAATGCTGGATTTTCTCAAATGCTTTTTTGTGCTTCTCTTGAGAAGATCATCTGATTTTTATTTTTAATTCTGTTTATGCTATGTATCACATTTATCGACTTGTGTATGTTAAACCATTTCTGCATCCCTGGTATGAAACCCATTTGAAAATGGTGGATTACCTTTTTGATATGCTGTTGGATTTGGTTAGCTAGTATTTTCTTTTTTTTTTTTTTTAAATTACAAAAGGAAATTTATTTCAAAAGAATAAGGGGACATTTACATTTAAACAAGGTGATAAACAGGTGTCTTGCAAAAGAAAAAAAATCCATGGCATTAAGTTTTTCATTCAAATTCGGAAGCAAAAATAACCTAAGTTGTGCACTATTGCCTTAGGAAAGGGAAGGGGAAGGGTGAGGGATAAGTGAACAGTCAACTCAGTATCAAACTTGAGAAAAGTAAAGTCACTTCTGCTCAGTTTTGAGTTTACAAATGTGCTTATAAAGAGGAAAAGTGGTAAAATTATACTTAATCTTCAAATTTATTTAGCTGTATTCTCAATACAATTTCTGTACTTGAAATGGCTTTGGGCCACTGGCTGATCTATCTCTGAGGTCCAGATTACCTGGTCAGTTTTCAAATGGCAATTTTATATTCCTTTGTTCAGATTCCAAGGGAGTTTAGGCTCAGCTCATGGTCTTTTGGAATGTTTAGAGATTATTACCACCACTCCATAGCCAAGCTGACCAACTTTTGCTCACTTGTATCATTCTAGCCTTTCAGAAATATTTTCCCCATACACATGTGCAGTAATTCTAATAAAGGAGTTTTGCTTCTTCTGCAGTGTAGAGGTAATGGTAATGAAGACACCTGCATTGGAATCACAAACTATTCCTCAAAAAAATTCATCAGACTACTAGAAATGTCATTCAGGCAGTTGATTTGAATAGCAAACTTGGGGAGGAAAGATTAACTGTGAAACAAAAATATACGAAACATTCAAATGCAGAACAAAGGGTCTATGCTACTAAAAATGCCCATGACATTAAACACTCCAAAAACCCCCCATCTGTTGTTTTAACCTAAAAATTCTATTGGCTAACTTATACAATAATTTTGATTAATAACCTGAGAAGTTAAAATCTTGAAAGTGGCAAAAGCAAACAGAGAGAGCATCCCTTACTTATTGGTACCATGTTATCAAGTCACTTTTTCTGGGTAGCCCTGGTTATTAAATTCCAAATTCTAAATTATAATATCTCTTCCTGTAGAAACCTATATGTACATCAGATTCAGTATTTTGGTTGTATTTCACCAATAGCAACTCCAATTTATCTTTGAAAATGCATCCTTTATTTTTAGTTTTAAATAACAATAATCATGTAAGTGCAACTGACTTAGAATCCCTTCCTACTGGGAGTAAAAACCTAAATAACAAGTTAATAACAGATTCAGCCTCAAAAGGATAATCACTGTGTCAGATTACCCGTTCCTGGAATTTAAAAAGTGATTTATGTTGTGTAGTCAAGTTTCATAGCATGTATATATATATATGTCAGGCCTCTGAGCCCAAGCTAAGCCATCATATCCCCTGTGACTTGCATGTATACATCCAGATGGCCTGAAGTAACTGAAGAATCACAAAAGAAGTGATATTTAAATGGCCTGTTTCTGCCTTAACTGATGACATTCTACCACAAAAGAAGTGAAAATGGCCAGTCCTTGCCTTAACTGATGACATTACCTTGTGAAATTCCTTCTCCTGGCTCATCCTGGCTCAAAAAGCTCCCCTACTGAGCACCTTGTGACCCCCACTCCTGCCTGCCAGAGAACAACCCCCCTTTGACTGTAATTTTCCTTTACCTACCCAAATCTTATAAAACGGCCCCACCCCTATCTCCCTTCACTGACTCTTTTCAGACTCAGCCCGCCTACACCCAGGTGAAATAAACAGCCCTGTTGCTCACACAAAGCCTGTTTGGTGTTCTCTTCACACAGACGTGAGTGAAAATACACACACACACACACACACACACACACACCCATGCTTATGTATGTATGTATATTATACATACACATTTCTATTCAAATAGTAAGATTCCATATTCAAAAGTTTGTATCACAATATATGGAAAGGAATTTAGTAAGCCGTGCAAAGCAACTTACTTTCTCCTAAAAATGTAATGTCATTCCTATATTTTAAGGAAGCTATGTAAGTATTTTGCTTTTATGACACTAGGTAGGAATGCTGCACCACTGCCCAGCAGCTTTATTAAACAATTAAAACAAAATGTTAAGATTGACCATTACTCTTCTCCATATATTGGGCAAAAAACTAAGAGGGTAGAGGAAAATCAGTAACCTTTCAAAACTGATGATCTTTATCAGCAGAACTAGACTGAATTTCATTACATTTTAGAATGAACAGCTCTCAACAACAAATTATCAAGATGTTTAAAAGTAAAAGATTCACAATTTGAAGTCTGAATAACGATATTGCAAAAACAAGACAAGATTGCAGACAAAGCATCCAAAAATATCACTGTGGTTTTACCTTGGACACAACCATGGTCTGTTACAAAAGTAGATCATACATACAAAGGTATAAAGAACATTAAGTTTTTAGCTGAAGGCAGCAGTCTGTTTAAAGGGACATCCCCGGCAATTCAATGATTAGTAGAATTTATGTATATTAAGCCCACGACAATGCTGAAGAATGCTGACGTCTTATTCAGTAGAGTCTTCCCCGACTACGATTTCCTCGTGTGCCCCAACCTCGGCCACCTCTACTTCCCCTGAAGGCTCCTCTCATAATTAAAGTTGCTCAAATTGCTGCTATATTTCCCACTGGGAGGGTTATAAATCTGCCTGGCATCTCTTTTTGGTCCTGCTGAAGATTTCTTGGGTGGTGAACCTGAAGTTGTATCTTCACTGGCTCTCTTTTGCCCAATCTCAACCTTTTGTACAGGTTTCCAGGATAGTGTTACTGTGCTCTTATAAGAAGGAGGAATGTGGAAGAGATCCTTGATTAAAGCATTGATATTGTTTGTTATTTTCAATGCAACGACTTTAATCTTGTTCTCTTCTGTTTTTAAGGCCTCACCCTGGAGAGCTTTTACCCTGGAGAGCTAAGCGAAGTTGTCTGATATAAATTTGCAGGCCCCGTGCAAAGTACTGCAGCCTGATTTTGAAATCTTTGAGCTTTTCTGCATTCAGTTTGGCTGTTAAGAAATCTGGATGTTTTCGGCCCAACTAGTGAAAACTATACAACAAACATTCCACATAACTGAACTGTAGCTTGGGTTCTTCATTACCAGCATTCTCTCCATTTTCTGCTTCTTCTGGAGGGAGCGGCATGTATTCCTATAACTTATCAAATAGTTTTCTTAAATTTGTTTCTAGTTTTTCCATGTCACCACAAAATGAACTCATCTCAGCCAACAATTTCAATACCTCCAACTGTATATCAAGACCTTCCACTGGGGTAGTCAAGGTACTGAGGTTAGGGAGAACCTGCTCACAGAAATATGTCACAAACCTTGTGGAATGGATAATTCTAGAGAAGAGGGGTACTGCTTGCCGAGTGCACTGTAAGAGCCTGTACACACAGTCAAGATCCGAGGGATTGAAGGTCTGTTCTAGGTCGGCCTGTTCAGCCACCAACCCTACAAGTTGCTATCTTCCACTCACTGTAAGCTTTTTAGCCCAGACAGTATCTTCATAATAGAACAAATTCTTCACCAGTCACATCTTCTAGGACATTTTGGATTCAGTTAGTATAAGCTCTTTCACTTCCTTTGTTAAGACTTCATCTGGTAAAGTCTTAAGTTTTGTAGAAAGGAATTTAATTGCTCGTTCTCTAACAATGTCCTCTCCTCGAAGTATTTGGCTGAACAACCCACCTAAAGTCCCTTTTGCAACCATTTTAAATATACTTAACAGGGCGTTGTTCACTAGGTTAAATTCTGCAGAGTTATTTGTCTGCAAAAGTTGCATTAATATATCTGCCACTCGAGGAAGATTTTCTCCAGTGGCAAATTGAGGCAGTTCTTTAATTGCTTGACGTCGAATAGATACATCTTCATCCTCACAGAGGTCTAACAGTGCATTGATAGCAGACTCAACCAATTCTGGAAACTGCTTAAAGAATTTCGGAATAAATTGGGCTACTAATCGTTTTTCCTTAGTACCACCTTTCACACCACCCGGTATCACTTCATAGGCATTTTTATGCTGGACCACTTGCTCCATGGCATCGGCCAGGATGCCATAATTGCGGTAAAGCTCCTCTACGTTCGGCACAGTGAGTGACAAGCCCAGGGCCCGCTTCCGCTATCCTTGTCCTCACCGGCGCCACTGCCGCCTCGGACGGTTAGCTGGTATTTTCTTAAGAATTTTTGCATCCAAATTCATCAGGGATGTTGGTCTGTAGTCTTCTTCTTCTTTTTTCTTCTCTCTTCTTCTTTCTTCTTCCTTCTTCTTCCTCCTCCTCCTTCTTCTTCTCCTTCTTCTTCTCCTTCTCCTTCTTCTTTTTCTTCTTCTTCCTCCTCCTCCTCCTTCTTCTTCTCCTTCTTCTTCTCCTTCTCCTTCTTCTTTTTCTTCTTCTTCCTCCTCCTCCTCCTCTTCCTTCTTGCTTCTTTCTTCTTTCATCTTTCTTCTTTTTCTTTTTTTTTGTTATGTACTTTCTTGGTTTTGGTATTAAGGGGATACCGGATAGAATGATTTAGGGAGAATTGCCTCTTTCTCTATCTTTTGGAATAGTTTCAATAAGATTGGTACCAATTCATTTTTCAAAGTCTGATAAAATTCAACTGTGAATTTGTCTGGTCCTGAATTTTTTTTTATTGGTAATTTTTCAATTACCATTGCAATCTCGCTGCTTGTTATTGATCTGTTCAGTTTCTATTTCTTCCTGGTTTAATCTGGGAGGGTTGCATGTTTCCAGGAATTTATCCACTTTCTCTAGGTTTTCTAGTTTATGCACATAAAGGTGTTCCTAGTCGGCTTGAATGATCTTTTGTATTTCTGTGGTGTCAGTTGTAATGTCTCCCATTTTGTTTCTAATTGAGCTTATTTGGATCTTCTCTCTTCTCTTCTTAGTTAGTCTTGCTAATGGTCTATCGATTTTATCTTTTTGAAAACCAGCTTTTTGTTTAATTTATTTTTTCATTTTTATTTCATTTAGTTCTGCTCTGATATTTCTTATTTATTTTCTTCTCCTGGGTTTGGGTTTAGTTTATTCTTGTTTCTCTGTTTCCTTAAGGTATAACCTTAGATTGTCTATTTGTGCTCTTTCTGGCTTTTTGATGTAGGCATTTAAGGCTATGAACTTACCTCTGAGCTCTACCTTTGCTGTATCCCAGAGGTTTTGATGGGTTGTGTCACTATTATTGTTCAGTTCAAATAATTTTTTAAAATTTCTATCTTGATTTCATTGTTGACCCAACAATCATTGAGGAGCAGGTTATTTAATTTTCATGTATTTGTGTGGCTTTAAAGGTTCATTTTGGAGTTGATTTCCAATTTTATTCCACTGTGACCTGAGAGAGTACTTGATATAATTTCCATTTTCTTGAATTTTTTGAGACTTGTTTTGTGGCCTATCAATCATATGGTCTATCCTGGAAAATGTTCCAGGTGCTGATGAATAGAATGAATATTCTGCAGTTGTTGGGCAAAATGTTCTGTAAATACTTGTAAAGTCCATTTGTTCTAGGGTATAGTTTAAGTCCATTTTTTTTGTTTACTTTTCATCTTCCTGACCTGTCAGTGGAGTATTGATGTCCCCCACTATTATTGTGTTGCTGTTTATTTCATTTCTTAGGTCTAGTAGTAATTGTTTTATAAATTTGGGAGCTCCAATGTTAGCTGCATATATACTTAGGATTGTGATACTTTTCTATTTGACAAATCCTTTTATAATTATTTCACTTTCTTCTTTGTCATTTTTTAACAGCTGTTGCTTTAAAGTTTGTTTCATCTGATATAAGAACAGCTGTTCCTGCTCACTTTTGGTGTCCATTTTCAAGGAATATTTATTTTCCATCCCTTTACCTTAAGTTTGTGTGAGTCCTTATATGTTAAGCAAGTCTCTTGAAAACAGCAGGTACTTGGTTGGTGAATTCTTATCCACTCGGCCACTTTGTATCTTCTGAGTGGAGCATTTAGGCCATTTACCTTTAGTGTTAGTATTGAGATGTGAGGCACTATTTTATTCATTATGCTATTTGTTGCCTGAATACCTTGTGTTATTTTAAAATATATTGTATTTTTGTTTTGTAGGTCCTGTGAGATTTATGCTTTAAGGAGGTTCTATTTTGGTGTATTTTGAGGATTCATTTCAAGATTTAGAGCTGCTTTTAGCAGTTCTTTTAGTACTGGCTTGGTAGTGGAGAATTCTCTCAACATTTGTTTTCTTAAAAAGACTGCATCTTTCCTTCATTTAGAAGCTTAGTTTCACTGGATCTAAAATTCTTGGCTGATAATTGCTTTGTTTAAGGAGGATAAAGATAGGGCCCCAATCTCTTCAAGCTTGTAGGGTTTCTGCTGAGAAATCTGCTGTTAATCTGATAAGTTTTTCTTTATAGGTTACCTGGTGCTTTTGCCTCACAGCTCCTAAGATTCTTTCCTTCATCTTCACTTTAGATAACCTGATGATGATGTGCCTAGATGATGAGCTTTTTGTAGTAAATTTCCCAGGTGTTCTTTGAGCTTCTTGCATTTAAATGCCTAGATCTCTAGCAGGGCTGAGGAAGTTTTCCTCAACTATTTCCCCAAATATGTTTTCCAACATATTAGATTATTGTTTAGATTTATTTATTTAATTATTAGAAAGTAGTTAGATTTGTCTTATTTCTCAACTTTTTGGAAGCTTTGTTTATTTTTCTTGAGTCTTTTTTCTTTGTTTTTGTTGGATTGGGTTAATTTGAAAACCTTATCTTTGAGCTCTGAAGTACTTTCTTCTGCTTATTTGATTCTATTGCTGAGACTTGCTAGTGTATTTTGCATTTCTCTACATGTTTTCTTCACTTCCAGAAGTCGTGATTTTTAATTTATGCTATCTATTTCACTGAAGATTTTTCCCTTCATATGTTGTATCATTTTTTTTCATTATGTTGGACCTCACCTTTTTCTGGTGCCTTCTTGATTAGCTTGATAATTGACCTTCTGAATTCTTTTCCTGGAAATTCAAGAATTCCTTTTTTGTTTGGATCTTTTGCTGGTGAGCTAGTGTCATCTTTTGAGTGTGTTAAAAAAAACTTTGTTTTGTTGTATTACCAGAATTGTTTTTCTGGTTTATTCTCATTTGGGTAGAGTATCTAAGAGGGAAGATTTCGGGCTCAAGGACTGCTATTCAGATTCTTTGTGCCATGGGGTCCTCTTTTGATGTGGTGCTCTCTCTCTTCTCCTAGGGATGTGGCTTCCTGAGAGTCAAACTGCAGTGATTGTTATTTTACTTCCCGATCTAGCCACCCAGCAGAGCTGCCGGGCTCCAGGCTGGGGTACTGGGGAGTGTCTGCACAGAGTCTTGTGATGAACTGGTTTTGTGCTGGCTGGCCTTCAGCCAGGAGGTAGTGCTTTCAAGAGAACATCAGCTGTAATAGTATAGAGAAGATCAGGCGGTGGGCTGAGCCCTACAGCTCCTAAGAGATTAAGTCCTTTGTTTTCAGCTACCAGGGCACAGGGTGGGTAGAGAAAGACCATCAGGTGTGTGCAGCATTACACATGTCTGAACTCAGACTCTCCTTGGGTGGGTCTTGCTCCAGCAATTGTGGGGGATTGGGCTGTGGTTCTCAGGCCAATGGAATTATATTGCCTAGGGAATTATGGCTGCCTCTGCTGTGTCATGCTGGTCACCAGGGTAGTGGGGGAAAGCTGGCAGTTACAGGTCTCACCCAGCTCCCATGCAGTTCAAAAGGCTGGTCTCACTTCTGCCATGCCCCTGCAACAGCACTGAGTTTATTTCCAGGCAGTAGGTGAGCAAGGCTGGGAACTTGCCCCAGGTTACCAGCTTCCCCACTTTGAAAGCAAGCTGGGTTTTCATGTTTCCTGCCTCCCCACCTGCTGTGGCTTCTGTGGTGTGTCTGCATTCCTGATTCACCCCTTCCCCTGGGTTCTGTCCAGGAAAATTAATGTTCAGTCAAAATTTTTACAAAGTTTTGCTGGCAGTTTTCTTTTCCCTGTGGTCTTTTCCTAGTTACCCTGGAAGCCCTCCCCAAGGACCTCTGCAAGTGAAAGTCAGAAATGGCTTCCCTGGGGACCAAGAGAGCTGACAGAGCTCTTCCTGTTGCTTCTTCTACTCCTGTATTTCACTTGGCTCTCTAAATTTGTCTTAACTCCCAGTAAGGTCAAATTCTTCTCTCGTGATCTGGACCTTCAGGTTCCCCAGTAAGAGTGTGTGTTTGAGTGTGGATAATTCCCCTTTTATACTTTCACACTTTGGACACTTACAGTTTTTGGGCTGTCTTTCAGGGCCTACAGTAGCAATCTGCTTCCTTCAAAGGGTCTGTAGATTCTCTTGGCTTTCCTGGCATGTTTCTGCAGTAGTTCTTAGAGCAAAAATTTACAATGTGAGTCTACATGCTGCTCTGTCTGTCCAATTGGAAGCTGCAATTTAGTCCTGCCTCCTATCTGCCATTTTCTCATAAAATCTGAACAATTTCTTGGAATGAATGAGTATAAAAACACAACATACCAAAACCTATGGAAGCAGTGCTTGGTCCCTCCTACAAAACGTGTGAATTATGGGAGCTACAATACAAGATAAGATTTGGGTGGAGTCACAACCAAACCATATCATTCCATCTCTTGCCCCTCCCAATTCTCACGTCCTCACATTTCAAAACCAATCATGCCTTCCAAATGGTCCCCCAAAGTCTTAACTCATTTCAGCATTAACTAAAAAGTCCACAGTCCAAAGGCTCATCTGGGGCAAGGCGAGTCTTTTCTGCCTAGGAGCCTGTAAAATCAAAAGCAAGTTAACTACTACTTAGATACAATGGGGATACAGGCATTAGATAAATACCCCAATTCCAAATAGGAGAAAATGGCCAAAACAAAGGGGCTAGAGGCCCCATGCAAGGCTGAAATCCAGCGGGGCAATCAAATCTTAAAGTTCCTAAATGATCCCCTTTGAATCCATTTCTCACATCACATCTCACATCTCATGGTCCTTTGCAGCTCTGCCTCTATGGCTTTGCAGGGTACAGTCTCCCTCCCAGCTGCATTCATGGGCTGGCATTGAGTGTCTGTGGCTTTTCCAGGTCCACAGTGCAAGCTGTCAGTGGATCTACCATTGTGGAATCTGGAAGAGGGTGGCCCTCTTCTCACAGCTCCACTAGGCAGTGGCCCAGTGCATACTCTATGTGGGAGCTCACACCCTACATTTTCCTTCTGCATTGCCCTAGCAGAGGTTTTCCATGAGGGCTTTGCTCCTGTGGCACACCTCTGCCTGAACATCCAGGCATTTCCATGAATCCTCTGAAATCTAGGCAGAGGTTCCCAAATCTCAGTTTCTGACTTTTGTGCACCTTCACACCCAACACCATATGGAAGCTCTCATGGCTTGGGGCTTGCATCCCCTGAAGCCATGGCCTGAGCTGTACCTTGGTCAGTTTTAGCTATGGCTGAAGCAGTTGAAATACAGGACACCAAGTCCCTATGCTGCATAGGGCAGGGAGGCCCTAGGCCTAGCCCAGAAAACCATTTTTTTCCTCTTAGGCTTCTGGGCCTGTAATGGGAGGGGCTGCCAGGAAGGTCTCTGGCATGCCCTGGAGACATTTTCCCCATTGTCCTGGCAATTATCATTTGGCTCCTTGTTACTTATGCAAATTTCTACAGCCAGCTGGAATTTATCCTCAGAAAATGTGTTTTCCTTTTCTATCACATTGTCAGGCTTCAAATTTTTTGAACTTGGGGGAAAGGGTAGGAGAGGGGTGAAGGATAAAAGACCACAAATTGGATACAGTGCATACTGCTTGGGTGATGGGTGCACCAAAATCTCACAAATCACCACTACAGAACTTACTCATGTTACCAAACACCACCTGTTCCCAAAAACCTATGGAAATAAAAAAATACAATAAAAAAGATATAAACTAAAAAACAATTATGGCCGGAAGTGCTAGTATTTTACATTGCTTGATGGCAGTAGATATGCTTTAGAAACCAGATTAATTACATTATAATGTTAACAAAGGGAAATTAATTTTTCTCAGCAGACATTATTTTTTCTTCCCTTAACTTTCAAGCAAACAAATTAAAATTATTTAAGGGCTACTAGGGCAACATTTATGATGGGTAATTCAAGGCTGACAAGAATTTTGTTAATCTGTGATTTTTAATATAGGTGGCAATGATATAATAATAGCATTAGAGCTAAACTCCCAGGATTCAAATCCCGGTTGTCACTTGTGAGCTGATGGCCCTGGTAAATGGACTTCATATCTCTCTGTCACGGTTTTGTCACTTGTGAATTAAAGATGATGATGGTGATGATAAAAAGTATCATTTATCAAAAGGCTGTTGTGAAAATTAAAGAAATTATTGCATCCAAAAAACAATTCTTAACCTCAGCTGCACATTGCAATCACCTGGTGAGTTTAAACACTACTAATGCTTGGACTGATACCACACATAGATATTCTGATTTAATTGGTTTCCAGTGAGACCAGGTCATCTAGAATTTTATAGTTCCCCAGATGATTCTAATTTGCATCCAAAGTTAAAATCCTGTGATTTAAAGTAATTATAAGAGCACCTGGGAAATATTAAGCACTTGGTAGGTGTCATTATATTAAGGTTCATATGTTAAGATGATAGCTTTCTTAATTCAAAAAACATAATATTGGAAAGCCATGTGTGAATAGCAATTGCTTTTTACATATTTTTGTTAACATAATTTTCTATTCTCAATTGTATAATCAACTTAAGATTTTTTTGTTTCATTTACACAACTTATTTCCACTCTAGACCACTTTCTTTTTTACTCTGGCAGGGAGAGGCAATCTGTAATACAATAACATTGACCTGATGAATGCAGATAAGTGTGCAATGTGTTCCAGATTTATTTCATTAGGCATCTTTTAAAAGTACTAAATTCAAAAGGTTTTTTTTTCTTGTCCCATTTTGATTTATCCAACTAGCCCTAGATGACTGATTTATAGGGGAATCAACCTCCTAGTCCATAGATAGCCCATGCACAAGGTCTTAATAACCTCTCATCTACCACAACATTGAAGTCATTTGATGATTATCTTATTATGTACAATGAGTTCATAGAGAATAAAGGATTTTCAAGTTGTAGTCATATTTTTAAAAACAGCGTGGTCCTTAAGAGAAGATAAAATTGTAAATTATTAAGGAGATAAATCATGACAAAGAAGGAAGAAGTTCTTGCTATGAGTTCATAATGCTCCTCCTGTAGTTGACTGAACTTAGTGTCTGACTCTGTACTAACACATTTTCATCTTATGTGTAGAAAGTATAAAGCCGAAAAACTTTGAAATTATAAAGATTTACTTCATAAAATATAGGTTTATTCCAAACATCTCATACCAAAATTCAGAGCTTACACATTAAAGGCTCAGTTTAGCCACATTCCACGGGCAAAACATTAGCCTTTAGAACATATAAAAAATTTTCTACCATGTTTAGAATTTACAACTATGAGTTTTATTAAAGCTTAACTGAAACTGTACATGCTGGTTGAATGAGATGACCTAAAATTGGCAAATTATTTCTTTCAGGTAGAAGTACTCAATAACCAGACAATTCTTTGTTGTATAAGAGTCTGAAGGTTTTTAAGACTCTTAACATTTAAGACGTCTTAACATTTAAGACGTATAATGTTTGGTTTTTAATTCCTAAGTTACTTGCTTTGAATAATCTCCAATCTCATCCAGGTTGCTGGAAATGCTATTAATTTATTCCTTTTTATGGCTTAGTAGTATTCCATCATATATATATGTATGTGTATATATATGTATACACATATGTATACATATGTGTATACATATATGTGTATATATATGTATACACATATGTATACATATGTGTATACATATATGTGTATATATGTATACATATATGTGTATATATGTATACATATATGTGTGTATATATGTGTGTATATATGTGTGTATATATATGTGTGTATATATAAGACTTAACATTTAAGACGTCTTAACATTTAAGATGTATAATGTTTGGTTTTCAATTCCTAAGTTACTTGTTTTGAATAATCTCCAATCTCATCCAGGTTGCTGGCAATGCTATTAATTTATTCCTTTTTATGGCTGAGTAGTATTCCATCATATATATATGTGTGTATATATGTGTGTATATATGTATATATATGTATATATATGTGTGTATATATGTATATATATGTATATATATGTATATATATGTGTGTATATATGTATATATATGTATATATATGTATATATATGTGTGTATATATGTGTATATATATATAGGACATGACTAGATAATTCTCAAAAGAAGATATACAAATGGCCAATAATAAATGAAAAAATGATCAACATTACTAATGATCAGGGAAATGCAAATCAAAATCACAATGTGATACCACCTAACTCCTGCAAGAATGTCCATAATCAAAAAACAGTAGATGTTGGAATGGATCCAGTGATCATGGAACACTTCTACACTGCTGGTGGGAATGTAAACTACTACAACCACTATGGAAAACAGTGTGGAGATTCCTTAAATAACTAAAAGTAGAACTACCATTTGATCCAGCAATCCCACTATTAGGTATCTACCCAGAGGAAAAGAAGTAATTATATAAAAAAGATACTTACACATGCATGTTTATAGCAGCACAATTCACAATTGCAAAATCATGGAACCAACCCAAACGCCCATCAATCAACGAGTGGATAAAGGATCTGTGATATATATATAGTATAGTACAGTATAGTAGCATTCCATTATATATAAATGTATATATACATACATGTATATATACATATATATGTATTTCATCATATATACATACATGTATATATACACATATATATGATGGAATACTACTATACTATATGATATACATATATACATATATATGTACATGTGTATGCATATATATGTATTCCATCATATATGCATACATGTATATATACATATATACACACGTATATATACATACATTTATATATAAACATATATGACGGAATATATGTATATATACATGCATGTGCATATGTATATATACAGGTACATATGTGTATATGTATATATACAGGTACATATGTGTATATGTATATATACATGTACATGTGTATATACATGGATGTGTATATGTGTATACACATGTGTATATACATGTATGTGTACATGCGTATATACATGTGATTATATGCATATACATATATGTGCATGTATGTATATATGTATGCGCATATATGTATATACGTGTGTGCATATATACATGTGGGTGCATATATGTATATATGCATGTAAGTGTATATGTGTATATATGCATGTATGTGTATGTGTATATATGCATGCATGTACATGTGTATATATACATGCATGTGTATATGTGTATATATACTTGCATGTGTATATGTGTGTATATATACATGTATGTGTATGTGTATATATACATGTATGTGTATATGTGTGTATATATACATGTCTGTGTATATGAAGATTTTTCTCCCTATTTTATGGAGGATTTTTACATCAATATTCATCACAGATATTGACCTGTAGTTTTCTTTTTTTGATGTGTCCTTGTCTGGTTTTGGTATCAGGGTCATACTGGTTGTTTATAATGAGTGTGAAAGTATTTCTTCCTCTATTTTTTGAATATTTTGAATAGGATTGGTATTAGTTCTTATTTAAATGTTTGGTAGAATTCAGCAGTGAATCAATTGGGTCCTGAGATTTTCTTTACTCGGAGATTTTTTATTATGGCTTTGATCTCAATAGTTGTTATTGGTCCATTGCAGTTTTGGATTTCTTCCTGGTTCAATCTTGCTAAGTTATATGTATCTATGAATTTATCTATTTCTTCTATGTTTTTAAATTTATTGGCATATTGTCACTCACAGTAGCCACTAATGATTCTTTAAGTATCTGCGGTATCTGTTGTAGTGTTCCTTTCTTATTTTTGAATTTACTGTTTGAATTTTCTCTCTCTTCTTTAGTCTGGCTAACGGTTTGTAAATTTTCTTTAACTTTTCAAAAAAACATTTTGTTTCACTGATCTTTTATATTGCTTTTTAATTTCAATTTCACTTATTTCTGTTCTAAAGTTTATTACTTATTTTCTTCTATTAATTTTGTGTTTGATTTGCTCTTGCTTTTCTAGTTATTTAAAATGCATTGTTAGTTTATTTGAATTTTTTCTCTTTTTTGATGTGGGCACTTATAGCTGTAAACTTCCCTCTTAGTACTACTTTTTCTGTATTCCATAAGTTTTGGTATGTTATGTTTCCATGATCATTGGTTTCCAGAAATTTTAATTTTACATTTTACTTTCTTCATTGATCCACTGGTCATTCAGGAGCATATTGTTTAATTTTCACATATCTGCATAGTTTCCAAAATTTGTCTCTTTATTAATTTCTAGTTTTATTCCATTGGGATCAGAGAAGATGCTTGATATTATTTCAATTTTTTGAATGTTTTAAGACTTGTTTTGTGACCCAAAATATGCTCTGTTCTTGAGAATAATTCATATAATGATGAGAAGAATGTATGTTTTGCAGCTCTTAGATAAAATGTTCTGTAAATATCTGTTAGATCCATTTGGTCTATGGTGAAGATTAAGTCTGATGTTTCTTTGTTGATTTTCTTTCTGGAAGATCTGTCTAATGCTGACAGTGGGGTGTTGAAGTTTCCAGCTATTATTGTATTGGAGCCTAAGCCTGTCTTTAGCTCTAATAATATTTTCTTTCTATATCTGGGAGCTCCAGTGTTGGGTGCATATATATTTAAAACAGTTATATTCTCTTGCTGAACTGACCCCTCCCATTTATCATTGTATAGTGAACTTCTTTGTCTCTTCTTATAGTTTTTGTGTTCAAATATATTTTGTCTCATATAAGAATAGTGACTCGTTATTTTTTTTTTCTTTGGCATAGAACATCTTTTTACAGCCCTTTATTTACAGTCTATGTGTGTCTTTATAGGTGAAGTGTGTTTCTCTTAGGTAGTAGATCAATGGGTTTTGTTTTTCCATCCATTCAGCCACTCTATGTCTTTTGATTGGGAAGTTCAGTTCATCTACATTTAATGTTATTATTGATAAGTAAGGTCTTACTCTTGCCATTTTTTTATTTGTTTTATAATTTTTTTTGTGGTCTTCTGTTTTCTACTCTCTTTCATTCCAATCTTCTCGTAATGGAGGTAATTTTCTCTGGTGATATGATTTAGTTTCTTTCTTTTATTGTTTTGTGTATCCCTTGTAAATTTTGGCATTTGTCATCAACCTGAGACTTAGCATATATGACCTTATAATCTATTATTTTAAGATGATAATGATGCTATTTGGATGAACAAAGAAGCAAAAAGACAACTAATAGAAACTCTATACCTTAACTTTGTTCCCCCAATTTTTAACTTTTTCTTGTTTTCATTTAAATCTTATTGTACTGTCAATGTCTTGAAAAGTTGTTAAAGTTATTGTTTTTGATTGGTTTATCATTTAGTCTTTCTAGTTAGGATAAGAGTAGTTTACACATCACAGTTACAGTGTTATAATATTTTCTGTGTACTTATTATTCCCACTTTAGTATTTCTTGTAGGATCGGTGTGGTATTGATGAAATTCCTCAGCTTTTGTTTGTCTGGGAAAGTCTTTATTTTACCCTCACGTTTGAAAGAAAATTTTGCTAGATTTACTATTCTAAGCTAAAAGTTTTCTTCAGTACTTTAAATATTTCATACTGCTCTCTCAAGGCCTGTATGTTTTCTGCTGATAAGTCTGATGCCAGATGTATTGGAGCTTCATTGTATGTTATTTGTTTCTATTCTCTTGCTTCCTTCAGAATCTTTTCTGCCTCCTTGACCTTTGCAAATTTAGTTATTAAATGCCTTGAGGTAATCTTCTTTGGGTTAAATCTGCTTGGTGGTTTGTAACTTTGTTGTATTTACATATTAATATCTTTCCCCAGCTTTGAGAAGTTGTCCGTTATTAACTCTTTGAATAAGCTTCCTACCCCTATCTTTTTCTTTACCTTTTCTTTAAGGTCCATAAATCTTAGATGTGTTTTTTTAGGCTATTTTTTAGATCCTGTAAGCATGCTTCATTGATTTTTATTCATTTTTGTTTTGTCCTCTTTTATGGTATATATTCAAATAGCCTGTCTCCAAGTTCACTAATTCTTTCTTCTGCTTGTTAATTTATGTTGTTAAAAGATTTGGATGGATTCTTCAGTGTGCCAACTGTGTTTTTCAGCTCTAGAATTTCTGCCTTATTCTTTTTAATTATTTCAAACTCTTTGTTAAATTTATATAATAGAATACTGAATTCCTTTTCTGTGTTATCTTAAATTTCTTTGAGTTTACTCAAAATAGCTCTTTTTCTCTAGGACTGGTCCCTGGTGTCTTAGGTAGTTTATTTGGAGAGGTCATGTTTTCCTAAATGGTGTTGATGCCAGTAGATATTATGCAATGTCTGAGCATTGAAGGGCTAGGTATTTATTGTAGTCTTTACTGTCAAACCTTGTTTGTAACCATCTTACTTGGGAAAATTTTTCAGATACTCAAAAGGGCTTGGGTGCAGTCACCTAAGCTCTGTTTGCTTTAGGGGATGCCCATAGTCCAGTAATACTGTGGTTCTTGCAGATTATAGAGGTACTGCCTTGACAGTTTTGAACAAGATTTGGGATTGAACACGATTAGGGATTCTTTTTCAGTTTTGAATAAGAATCTATGGATTCCCAGGCAGAGACTCTTTTTCCTTTCCATTTCCTTCTTCCAAACATGCAGAGTCTCTTTCTCTCTGTTCTGAGCCAACAAAATCTGGGAGTGGAGTAATACAAGCACCCCATAGCCACCACCACTATGACTGCACTAGATAAAAACTGAAGCCAGCGGAGGTGGAGCCAAGATGGCCGAATAGGAACAGCTCCAGTCTACAGCTCCCAGGGTGAGTGATGCAGAAGATGGGTGATTTCTGCATTTCCAATTGAGGTACTGGGTTCATCTCACTGGGGAGCGTCAGAAAGTGGGTGCAAGACAGTGGGTGCAGAGCACCGAGCATGAGCTGAAGCAGGGCAAGGAAGCACCTCACCTGGGAAGTGCAAGGGGTCAGGGAATTCCCTTTCCTAGTCAAAGAAAGGGGTGACAGAGAGCACCTGGAAAATTCAGGTCACTCCCACTCTAATACTGTGCTTTTCCAACGGTCTTAGCAAACGGCACACCAGGAGATTATATCCCGTGCATGGCTCGGAGGGTCCTATGCCCATGGAGCCTCGCTCATTGCTAGCACAGCAGTCTGAGATAAAACTGCAAGGTGGCAGTGAGGCTGTGGGAGGGGCGCCCACCATTGCCTAGGCTTGAGTAGGTAAAAAAAGTGACCAGGAAGCTCGAACTAGGTGGAGCCCACCACAGCTCAAGGAGGCCTGCCTGCCTCTGTAGACCCCACCTCTGGGGGCAGGGTACAGCCAAACAAAAGGCAGCAGAATCCTCTGCAGAATTAAATGTCCCTGTCTGACAGCCTTGAAGAGAGCAGTGGTTCTCCCAGCATGCAGCTGGACATCTGAGGACAGACAGACTGCCTCCTCAAGTGGGTCCCTGACCCCTGAGTAGCCTTAGAGGCACCCCACAGTAGGGGCAGACTAACACCTCACACGGCCCGGTACTCCTCTGAGACAAAACTTCCAGAGGAACAATCAGGCAGCAACATTTGCTGTTCAACAACATCTGCTATTCTGCAGCCTCTGCTGCTGATACCCAGGCAAAAAAGATCTGGAGTGGACCTCCAGCAAACTCCAAAAGACCTGCAGTTGAGGGTCCTGACTGTTAGAAGGAAAACTAACAAACAGAAAGGACATCCACACCAAAAACCCATCTGTACGTCACCATCATCAAAGACCAAAGGTAGATAAAACCACAAAGATGGGGAAAAAACAGAGCAGAAAAACTGGAAACTCTAAAAATCAGAGTGCCTCTCCTCCTGCAAAGGAACACAGCTCCTCACCAGCAATGGAACAAAGGTGGATGGAGAATGACTTTGATGAGTTGAGAGAAGACTTCAGACGATCAAACTACTCCGAGCTAAAGGAGGAAGTTTGAACCCATGGCAAAGAAGTTAGAAACTTGAAAAAAAATTAGATGAATGGCTAATTAGAATAACCAATGCAGAGAAGTCCTTAAAGGAGCTGATGGAGCTGAAAAACCAAGGCACAAGAACTACGTGATGAATGCACAAGCCTCAGTAGCCGATTTGATCAACTGGAAGAAAGGGTATCAGTGATGGAAAATCAAATGAATGAAATGAAGTGAGAAGAGAAGTTTAGAGAAAAAAGAATAAAAAGAAATGAACAAAGCCTCCAAGAAATATGGGACTATGTGAAAAGACCAAAGCTACACCTGATTGGTGTACCTGAAATTGATGGGGAGAATGGAACCAAGTTGGAAAACACTCTGCAGGATATTATCCAGGAGAACTTCCCCAATCTAGCAAGGCAGGCCAACATTCAAATTCAGGAAATACAGAAAATGTCACAAAGATACTCCTCAAGAAGTGCAACTCCAAGACACATAATTGTGAGATTCACCAAAGTTGAAATGAAGGAAAAAATGTTAAGGGCAGCCAGAGAGGAAGGTTGGGTTACCCACAAAGGGAAGCTCATCAGACTAACAGCTGATCTCTCGGCAGAAACTCTACAAGCCAGAAGAGACTGGGGGGCAATATTCAACATTCTTAAAGAAAAGAATTTTCAACCCAGAATCTCATATCCAGCCAAACTAAGCCTCATAAGTGAAGGAGAAATAAAATCCTTTACACACAAGCAAATGCTGAGAGATTTTGTCACCACCAGGCCTGCCCTAAAAGAGCTCCTGAAGGAAGCACTAAACATGGAAAGGAAAAACCACTACCAGCCACTGCAAAAACATGCCAAATTGTAAAGACCATCAAGGCTACGAAGAAACTATATCAACTAATGAGCAAAATAACCAGTACCTCATAATGACAGGATCAAATTCACACATAACAATATTAACCTTAAATGTAAATGGGCTAAATGCTCCAATCAAAAGACACAGACTGGAAAATTGGATAAAGAGTCAAGACACATCAGTGTTCTGTATTCAGGAAACACATCTCATGTGCAGAGACACACATAGGCTCAAAATAAAGGGATGGAGGAAGATCTACCAAGCAAATGGAAAAAAAAAAAAGGCAGGGGTTGCAATTCTAGTCTCTGATAAAACAGACTTTAAACCAACAAAGATCAAAAGAGACAAAGAATGCCATTACATAATGGTAAAGGGATCAATTCATCAAGAAGAGCTAACTATACTAAATATATATGCACCCAATACAGGAACACCCAGATTCATAAAGCAAGTAAGTCCTTAGAGACCTACAAAGAGACTTAGACTCCCACACAATAAAAACAGGAGACTTTCACACCCCACTGTCAACATCAGACAGATCAACATGACAGAAAGTTAATAAGGATATCCAGGAATTGAACTCAGCTCTGCACCAAGCGGACCTAATAGACATCTACAGAACTCTCCACCCCAAATCAACAGAATATACATTCTTTTCAGCACCACACCACACCTATTCCAAAATTGACCACATACTTGGAAGTAAAGCACTCCTCAGCAAATGTAAAAGAACAGAAATTATAACAAACTGTCTCTCAGACCACAGTGCAATCAAACTAGAACCCAGGTTTAAGAAACTCACTCAAAACCGCTCAACTACATGGAAACTGAACAACCTGCTCCAGAATGACTACTGGGTACATAAGAAAATGAAGGCAGAAATAAAGATGTTCTTTGAAACCAATGAGAACAAAGTCACAACATACCAGAATCTCTGGGACACATTCAAAGCAGCGTGTAGAGGGAAATTTATAGCACTAAATGCCCACAAGAGAAACCAGGAAAGATCCAAAATTGACACCCTAACATCACAATTAAAAGAACTAGAGAAGCAAGAGCAAACACATTCAAAAGCTAGCAGAAGGCACGAAATAACTAAGATCAGAGCAGAACTGAATGAAATACAGACACAAAAAAACTCTTCAAAAAATCAACGAATCCAGGAGCTGTTTTTTTTGAAAAGATCAACAAAATTGATAGACTGCTAGCAAGACTAATAAAGAAGAAAAGAGAGACGAATCAAATAGATGCAATAAAAAATGATGAAGGGGCTATCACCACCGATCCCACAGAAATACAAACTACCATCAGAGAATACTATAAACACCTCTACGCAAATAAACTAGAAAATCTGGAAGAAATGGATAAATTCCTCGACACATACACCCTCCCAAGTCTAAACCAGGAAGAAGCTGAATCTCTTAAGAGACCAATAACAGGCTCTGAAATTGAGGCAGTAATTCATAGCTTACCAACCAAAAAAACTCCAGGACCAGATGGATTCACAGCCGAATTATACCAGAGGTACAAGGAGGAGCTGGTACCATTCCTTCTGAAACTATTCCAATCAATAGAAAAACAGGGAATCCTCCCTAACTCATTTTATGAGGCCAGCATCATCCTGATACCAAAGACTGGCAGAGACACAACAAAAAAAGAGAATTTTAGACCAATATCCCTGATGAACATCGATGCAAAAATCCTCCATAAAATACTGGCAAACTGAATCCAGCAGCACATCAAAAACCTTATCCAACATGATCAAGTGGGCTTCATCCCTGGGATGCAAGGCTGGTTCAACATATGCAAATCAATAAACATAATCCAGCTTATAAACAGAACCAAAGACAAAAACCACATGATTATCTCGATAGATGCAGAAAAGGCCTTTGACAAAATTCAATAACGCTTCATGCTAAAAACTCTCAATGAATTAGGTATGGATGGGATGTATCTCAAAATAATAAGAGCTATCTGTGACAAACCCACAGCCAATATCATACTGAATGGGCAAAAACTGGAAGCATTCCCTTTGAAAACTGGCACAAGACAGGGATGCCTTCTCTCACCACTCCTATTCAACATAGTGTTGGAAGTTCTGGCCAGGGCAATCAGGCAGGAGAAGGAAATAAAGGGTATTCAATTAGGAAAAGAGGAAGGCAAATTGTCCCTGTTTTCAGATGACATGATTGTATATCTAGAAAACCCCATCGTCTCAGCCCAAAATCTCCTTGAGCTGATAAGCAACTTCAGCAAAGTCTCAGGATACAAAATCAATGTGCAAAAATCATAAGCATTCTTAAGCACAAATAACAGACAAACAGAGAGCCAAATCATGTGTGAACTACCATTCACAATTGCTTCAAAGAGAATAAAATGCCTACGAATTCAACTTACAAGGGATGTGAAGGGCCTCTTCAAGGCGAACTACAAACCACTGCTCAAGGAAATAAAAGAGGATACAAACAAATGGAAGAACATTCCATGCTCATGGGTAGGAAGAATCAATATCGTGAAAATGGTCATACTGTCCAAGGTAACTTATAGATTCAATGCCATCCCCATCAAGTTACCAATGACTTTCTACACAGAATTGGAAAAAAATACTTTAAAGTTCATATGGAAACAAAAAAGAGCCCGCATTGCCAAGTCAATCCTAAGCCAAAAGAACAAAGCTGGAGGCATCACGCTACCTGACTTCAAACTATGCTGCAAGGCTACAGTAACCAAAACAGCATGGTACTGGTACCAAAACTGAGATATAGACCAATGGAACAGAACAGAGCCCTCAGAAATAATGCCACATATCTACAACCATCTGATCTTTGACAAAGCTGAGAAAAACAAGCAATGGGGAAAGGATTCCCTATTTAATAAATGGTGCTGGGAAAACTGGCTAGCCATATGTAGAAAGCTGAAACTGGATCCCTTCCTTATACCTTATACAAAAATTAATTCAAGATGGATTAAGGACTTAAATATTAGACCTAAAACCATGAAAACCCTAGAAGAAAACCTAGGCAATACCATTCAGGACATAGGCATGGGCAAGTACTTCATGACTAAAACACCAAAAGCAATGGCAACAAAAGCCAAAATTGACAAATGGGATCTAATTAAACTAAAGAGCTTCTGCACAGCAAAAGCAACTGCCATCAGATTGAACAGGCAACCTACAGAATGGGAGAAAATTTTTGCAATCTACTCATCTGACAAAGGGCTAATATCCAGAATCTATAATGCACTCAAACAAATTTACAAGAAACAAACAACCCCATCAACAAGTGGGCGAAGGATATGAACAGACACTTCTCAAAAGAAGATATTTATGCAGACAAAAGACACATGAAAAAATGCTCATCATCACTTGCCATCAGAGAAATGCAAAACAAAACCACAATGAGATACCGTCTCACACCAGTTAGAATGGCAATCATTAAAAAATCAGGAAACAACAGATGCTGGAGAGGATGTGGAGAAATAGGAACACTTTTACACTGTTGGTGGGACTGTAAACTAGTTCAACCATTGTGGAAGTTGGTGTGGCGATTCATCAGGGATCTAGAACTAGAAATACCATTTGACCCAGCCATCCCATTACTGGGTATATACCCAAAGGATTATAAATCATGCTGCTATATAGACACATGCACACGTATGTTTATTGCAGCACTATTCACAATAGCAAAGACTTGGAACCAACCCAAATGTCCGTCAATGATAGACTGGATTAAGAAAATGTGGCACATATACACCATGGAATACTATGCAGCCATAAAAAATGATGAGTTCATGTCCTTTGTAGGGACATGGATGACGCTAGAAACCATCATTCTCAGCAAACTATCACAAGAACAAAAAACCAAACACCGCATGTTCTCACTCATAGGTGGGAATTGAACAATGAGAACACATGGACACAGGAAGGGGAACATCACACACAGGGGCCTGTTGTGGGCTGGGGGGAGTGGGGAGGGATAGCATTAGGAGATACATCTAATGTTAAATGACGAGTTAATGGGTGCAGCATACCAACATGGCACATGTATACATATGTAACAAACCTGCACGTTGTGCACATGTATCCTAAATCTTAAAGTATAATAAAATAAATAAGTAAATAAAATGAAAAAAGAAAACAATTCTATTTACAGTAGCATGAAAATATCAAATAGGAATAAACTTATAAGGATGCAAAAGACTTGTACATAAAAACTACAAAATGTTGCCAAAAGCAATTAAAGAAGAGACAAATAAATGGAAAGACATTATGTATTCATAAATTGCAAGATAATATTGTTAAGATGTCCATTCTACCTAAAGTGCTCCACGCACAAGGAAATCTCTATCAAAATAATAATAATTTTTTGCATTAATAGAAAAAAACAATTTTAAAATGTATATGAAATCTCAAAAGTCTCTGAATAGCCAAAACAATCTTTAAATAAAATTGAATGTCTTACACTTCTTGATTTCAAAACTGCCTATTATGCTAGACTAAACAAAATATTGTGGTAATGGCACAAAGGCATAAACATAGACCAATGGAATAGAATACGGGCCACAGAAAGAAATCCTAACATGTATGATCAAATGATTTTTGAAGTTTGCCAAGACCATTCAATAAAAAACACAATCTTTTCAACAAATGGTGGTGAGAAACCTTATATGCACATGCAATAGAAGGAAATTGGACCCTTAACTTACATTATATATGAAAATTAATTCAAAATGGACCACAAATCTAAACATAAGAGCTAAAACTATAAAATTCTTAGACAAAAACATAGGGATATCTTTATGTCATTAGGTTTGGCAAAAATTGTTTTGGATATGACCTCAAAAACACAGGTAAGAGAAAAAAAGTTAATAAATAAGACTTTGTCAAAATTAAAAACTTTTGTGTATCAAAGTACAGTGTCAGCAGTGAAAAGACAACCCATACAGTTGAAGAAAGTATTTGCAAATCATATATGTGATATGCAATTAGTATCAATAATATATTTAAAAATCTTACAACTCAATAACAAAAAATCAAACAATCCAATGTTAAAATGGGTGAAGTACTTGTACAGAAATTCATCTGAAAAAGAAATATAGATGCCAATGAACCTATAAAAAGATGACAAACACAACTAATCATTAGGAAAATAAAAATAAAACCCAAAATATGATTTTAATTCCCACCCATTAGGACAGCTATTAAAAAAAATAACAAATCTAGAAAATAGCAAGTGTTGGTAGGAATGTGGTAAAACAATTAAAAATTAAGTTACCATATGATCCGGTGATTTCACTTCTGGGAATATACCACAAATAATTCAAAGCAGTTACTTGAACAGATATTTGCACACCAATGTTCATGGTAACATCATTCACAATAGCAGAAAATGGAAACATTGTAAATGTCAATTAATGGAAGGATGGATGAACAAATTGTAGTATGTTTATACAATGGAATATTATACAGCCTTGAAAAGAAAGAAAAAAATGCACAAATGTTACAGCATGATGAAACATGAAGATATTATGCTATGTGAAATGAACAAGACACCAAAGGTGTAATCTTACTTATACAAGTTACCTACAATAACGAAATTCGTAGATACACAGAGTAGAATGGTGGTTGCAAGGAGCTGGGGAAAGGGAAAGTGGAGAGTTAATGTTTATTGTGTAGAGGATTTCAGTTTGGAAAGATAAAAAGAATTCTAGAGCTGAATGTTGGTGATGGTTGCACAATAATGTGTGAATGTCCTTAATGCCACCAAATTGTATCCTTAAAATTTTTTAAATAAAAAATTTTATGTTACATGTATTTTACCACAATTAAAAAACAATTGACTTAGTCCACCATATAAAAATAACAAAAAAGTAAAAATTTATTTTCAAAAAGAGTGTAAAAAAAGGCATTTTAAATACACAGTGAACATTCATGAAAAATACTCTAATTTATCTAGGAGAAGAAGGGATTTTCCTTAACATGACAAAAGGCATATACAGAAAAGCAAACAAAACCAGGACCTTATAAATAATATTATGCCTAATCTTGAAAGACTAAATGTTTTCTCCTTAAAATTGGAAACAAGGCAAACATATGTGCTTTTACCACTCCTATTCAATTTTGTACTTTTTTGTCCTAGCCAGTACGATAAGGTGAGAAAATCAAATACACAGCCCAAACTTTTAGAAAGCATACAATTATTATTCACAGAAAACAAGACATATATGTAGAGATTACCATAGCATCACAGAATATGGTTTCTTTTAAACTTACCAGAAATCAGAAGTAAATTTAGCAAAGAAGTAGAATACAAGCTCAGTACACAAAAATCAGTTGTGTTTTTCTATAATACAAAGAAACAATTGAAAAATGAAATTTTGAATAGTCATTTACAGTGGCATAAAAACTATGATATACTTTATAAGATAAATTTTAAAAATGTTCCAGTCCTGTACGCTAAAACAACAAAACATGGTTGAGAAAAATTATTTTTTAAACTTCAAAGAATAGAAAGTATTTATAGATTAAGGGTTCATGTTGTTAAGATGTCAACTCTGGAAATTGATTTTAAATGGGTAAAATTATATGGTATGTGAATTATATCTCAGTAAATCTGTTTAAAAGTAAATCTACAAAAATATTTTAAAAACCCTCTCTTTGCCATGCATTTATAAGCAGGCAAAAAAAAAACACACTGAAAAATCAGTAAAAAAAAAATTGACCAAACACTTCAGGAGATAAATGTCTAATAAGAATAGCAAATAAAGATATGAAAAGATTCTTCACATAATTAGACATTAAAGAAACGGAAACTGAAAGCACAATATGATACTACTTGTATCTATGGGAATGGCTAAAATTAAAAATACTGAAAGTACCAAGTGTTGATATGAATGTGGAAAAACTGTCACTCTTAATATTGATGTGTGTGTAAAACTATACAACCAAAAACATTTGTTAGTTTTCTAAAAATTTTATCTAAAACTTTTTGCTTTTTTGTTGTATATAGTAGGTATGTATTTAGGGGTTAAGTGAGATATATTGATACAAGCATGTGATACATAATAATCACATCAGGGTTCATGGGGGTATACTTTCTATTTTTTTGCTCCCAGTAAACAACCTTACATCTCTCTCATCCCCCACTACACCCCCTTCCCAACCTCTGGAAACCGTTCTTCTATTCTCTATCTCCATGAGTTCAATTATTTTAAATTTTAGCTCTTACAAATAATTGAGTACATATGAAGCCTGTCTTTCTGTTCCTGGCTTATTTCACTTAATATAATGATCTCCAGTTTCATCCCTGCTGTTGCAAATGACAGGATCTCATTCTTTTTTATGGTTAAATAGTCCTTCATCTTCATTGTGTTCAAGTGCCACATTTTCTTTATCCATTCATCTGTTGATGGACACTTAGGTGGCTTCCAAACCTTGGCTATTGTGAACAGTGCTGCAACAAACATGGGAATGCAGATATCTCTTCTATATACTGATTTCCTTTCTTTGGATATATACCCAAGCAGTAAGATTGATGAATTCTATGGTAACTCTATTTTTTAGTTTTTTTTTTGAGAGACCTCCAAACTGTTCTCCATAGTTGTTGTACTAATTTACATTTCCACAAAGAGTGTAGGAGAATTCCCTTTCCTTCACATCCTTGCCAGCATTTGTTATTGCCTATCTTTTGGATAAAAGCTATTTTAACTGGGGTAAGAGGAAATCTCATTGTAGTTTTGATTTTCATTTCTTTAATGATCAATGATGTTGAGAACCTTTTCATGCACCTGTTTTAAATTTCTTTGTCTTTCTTTGAGAAATGTCTATTCTGATATTTTGCCCAATTTTTGATCAGATTATTATATTTTTTCTTATAAAGTTGTTTGAGGTTCTTATGTATTCTGGTTATTAATCCCTTGTCAGATGGGTAGTTTGAAAATATTTTCTCCCATTATGTGGGTTGTCTCTTCATTTTGTTGCTTGTTTCCTTTGCTGTGCAGAAGCTTTTTTAACTTGAAGTGACCTGGTTGCCCATTTTTGCTTTGGCTGCCAGTGCTTGTAGGATATTAATCAAGAAATATTTGCTCAGTTCAAAGTCCTGGACTGTTTTCTGAATGTTTTCTTTTAGTAGTTTTGTAGTTTTAAATCTCAGATTGGTGTATTTCACCTATTAAACAATTTAATTATTAGAAAAATGTTTAATTTTTGTGAGTACATAGTAGGTGTATATATTTATGGGGTACATTAAATGTTTTGATACAGGCAGAAAATGTACAATAATTACATAATGTAAAATGGGGTATCCATCCCAACATATATTTATCATTTGTGTTACAAACAATCCAATTGTACTCTTTTAGTTATTTTAACATGTACAATTAAATTACTATTTACTATAGCCACCCTGTTGTGCTATCAATTAGATCTTATTTATTATTTTATATTTTTTGTAACTGTTAACCAACCCCAGCTCACTTCCACTTTCCCAATACCCTTCCCAGCTTCTGGTAACCATCCTTTCACTATCCCTGTGAGTTCAATTGTTATGAATTTTATATCTCACAAATAAGTGAGAACATGTAATGTTTGTCTTTCTGTGTCTGGCTTATTTCAACTAGCATAATAACCTCCAGTTCTATCCAGGTTTTTGCAAATGACAGAATCTTATTTTTTTCTGGCTGAATAGTCCGCCATTGTGTATCTGTACCACATTTTTTTAATCCATTCATCTGTCGATGGACACTTAGGTTGCTTCCAAATCTTGGCTATTGTGAACAGTGCTGCAACAAACATGGGAGTGCAGATAATCTCTTCCATATACTGATTTCTTTTCTCTTGAATAGAAACATGTCAGTAGGATTGATAGATCTTACGGTAGCTCTATTTTTAGTTCTTTGAGGAATCTCCAAACTCTTTTTCATAGTGGTTGTACTAACTTACATTCCCACCAACAGTGTACGAAGGTTCCCTTTTCTCCACATTGTCATCAGCATTTGTTATTGCCTTTTGGTAAAACCCATTTTAACTGAGGTGAGATGATATCTCATGGTAGTTTTGATTTGTATTTCTCTGATGATCAACGATGTCAAGCACCTTTTCATATGCCTATTTGCCATTTGTATGTCTTCTTTTGAGAAATGTCTATTCAGATCTTTTGCCAATTTTTGAATCAAATTGTTAATTTTTTTTCTACAGAGTAGTTTGAACTTCTCATATAATCTGTTTATTAATATATTTTCAGATGGGTAGGATGGGTAGCTTGCAATATTTTTTTCTCATTCTATGTGTTGTCCCTTTACTTTGTTGATCATTTCCCTTGCTATACAGAGGCTTTTAAATGTGAGTTGGTCCCATTTGTTCATTTTTGCTTTGGTTACCTGGGTTTGTGGGATATTACTCAAGAAATTTTGCCCAGACCGATGTCTTGGAGAGTTTCTCCAATATTTCCTTATTGTTGTTTTATAGTTTGAGGTCTTCAATTTTAAGTATTTAATCAATTTTGATTTTATTTTTGTATATGGCTAGAGGTACTGTTCTAGTTCTATTCTTCTGTATATGGATATCCAGTTTTCCCAACACCATTTATTGAAAAGACTATATTTCCAATGTATGTTCTTGGTAACTTTGTAGAAGATGAGTTCACTGCACATGTATCCATTTGTTTCTGGGTTGTCTATTCTGTTTCATTGATCTATGTGTCTGTTTTTATGCTAGTACTGTTGTGTTTTGGTTACTATAGCTCTGTAGTATAATTTGAAGTCAGGTAATTTGATTCTTCTAGTTTTATTCTTTTTACTCAGGATAGTTTTGGCTATTATGGGTCTTTTGTGGTTCCATATAAAGTTTATTATTGTTTTTGTTATTTTTTTGAAGAATTCCATTGGTATTTCAATAAGGATTGCATTAAATCGGTAGATTGCTTTGGGTATTATGAACATTTTAACAACACTAATTCTTCCAATCCATGAACATGGAATATATTTTCATTTTTTTTGGTGTCCTCTTCAATGTTCTGCATCAATATTTTATTGTTTTAATTGTAGATATCTTTTACTTTCTTAATTTTGAGTTATTTATGTGTGGCTATTGTAAATAGAATTACTATCTTGTTTATTTTTAAGATTGTTCACTGTTGGGATATACAAATAGTACTAAATTTTGTAAAATAGTATTGTATTCAGAAACTTTACTGAATATGTTTATTAGTTCTAGTAGTTTTTTGTAGAGTCCTTAGAATTTTCCAAATATAAGATCATGTTATCAACAAACAAGGATAATTTGACTTCTTCCTTTCCAATTTGGATGTCTATATTTTCTTCTCTTGTCTAATTGCTCTAGCTAGGACTTCCAGTACTATGTTAAATAACAGTGGTGACAGTAGGCAGCTTTGCTGCATTCCAGATCTTAGAGGAAAGTTTGTTAGTTTTTCCCCATTCAGTATGATACTAGTTGTTGGTCTGTTATACATGGCTTTTATTATGTTGAGGAATGTTTTTTCTATACTCAGTTTTTTAAGGGTTTTTATCATGAAGCAATGTTTAATTTTATAAAATGCTTTTCCAGTGTTACTTGAGATGATCATATGGATTCTGTCCTCTATTCTGTTTATATGATGTATCACCTTAATTGATTTAAATATGTTAAACATTCCTTGCATCCTTGGGATAAATCTCACTTGATCATGATAAATGATCTTATTTTTTAATTTTGTTTGCTAGTATTTTATTCAGATTTTTTTCATCAAAATTCATCAGGAATATTGACCTGTAGTTTTCACTTTTTGATGTGTCTTTGTCTGGCTTTGATATCAGGGTCATACCGGCTTCATAGAGTGAGTCTGGAAGTATTTCCTTCTCTATTTTTCAGAATACTTTGAGTAGGATTGTATTAATTCTTTTTCATGTGTTTAGTAGAATTCAGCAGTGAAGCCATCTGCTCTCGGGCTTTTCTTTGCTGGGATACATTTTATTATGGTTTCTATTTCATTACTTGTTATTGGTCTGTTCCTGTTTTGGATTTCTTCATGATTTAATATTTGTAAGTTATATGTGTCTAGGAATTTATTCATTTCTTCCAGATTTTTTAACTTATTGGCATATAGTTGCCCATAGTAGCCACTAATGGGCCTTTGAATTTGTGTGGAATCATCTGTAATGTCTTATTTTTAATCTCTTATTTATTTGAATCTACTTTCTTTTTATCTTAGTTATTCTGGCTAAAGGATTTCCCAGTTTGTTTAACTTTTCAAGAAATCAACTGAAGTAGTCATATTGGGGGTAAATCTGTTTCGTGTTGTATAATCGTCGTGAACTTGAATATTGATATTTTCCCCTAGATTTGGGAAGTTCTCTGATATTATCTCTTTGAACAACATTTCTACCTCGATGTCTTTCTCTACCTGATATTTAATTCCAGTAACTCTTGGATTTACCTTTTTGAGGCTGTTTCATAGACATGCTTCTTTGTTTTTTATTCTTTTTTCTTTTGTTTCTTCTGACTGTGTATTTTCAAATAACCTGTCTTCAAGCTCACAAATTCTGCCTTCTTGATAAATTCACTATTGGAAAACTCTGAAGCATTATTCATATGTTAATTTCATTTTTCTACTCCAGAATTTCTGCTTTATTTTTTTAAATTATCTTTGTTAAATTTATCTAATACATTTCTATTTTTTATGTTTAATTTTTTTTAAGTTTTCTCAAAACAGCTATTTTCAATTCCTTGTTTGAAAATTCTCATATCTCTGTTTCTCCATTATTAGTCTCTGTTGTTTTATTTAGTTTGTTTGGTTAGGTCATGTTTTCCTGGATGGTCTTTATGCTTGTGAATATTCATCAGTGTCTGGGCATCGAAGAGTTAGTTTTTTATTGTGGTCTTCACAGTCGTTTTTTTTTTTTTTTTTTTTTTTTAGTGTCCTCAGGAAGACTTTTCAGGTATTCAGAATGACTTGGGTGTTGTTGTCTAAGCCATATCTGCATTGGGGGACCCCTAAAGCCTAGTAATGCTGCGGTTTTTGCAGACTCATAGAGATACTGACATTTTGGTCTTGAATAAGATGCAAAAGAGTTATTTCAATTACCAGTCAGAGGCTCTTGTTACTTTCCCTTACTTTCTCCCAAACAAGCAGTCTCTCTATCTTTGCTGAGCTCTCTAGAGCTGTGGGTGATAGGACATAAGCAACCCTATGGGCATCACCACTGGGGCTGTGCTGGATCAGACCTGAAACCAACACAGCACCGGGTATTGCTCAAGGCCTAGTGTAACCACTACCTGGCTACCACCAATGTTTGCTCAAGGCTACAGGGCTCTGCAGTCAGTAGGTAGAAAAGCCAGCCAGGCTTGTGTCCTTCCCATCAAGGTGGCAAGTTCCTCCAGGCCCTGCACAATTCCAGAGATGCTATCCAGAAGGTAGGAACTACAATCAAATACCTTAGAAATCTACCTGGTGCTCTATTCTATTGTGGCTAATCCTATGCTTGAACCAGGAGACAAAGTTTTTCCCATTCTTCTCTCCCCTTTCTATAGGCAAAGGAGCCTCTCCCTATTGGCACCACCACCATAGAACCATGGAGGGTACTTTCAGACTACTGTCAGTGTTCATTTAAAGCCAAGGGCTTTTCAGTCAGCTTGTGGTGAATGCTGCCAGGCCCGGGACAGTTAAGAGCAGTGGGCTCCCCCTTGGCCCAGGGCAGGTACTTAAATGCTGTCCAAGAGCCAAGGCCTGGAGTTGAGGATACCAAGAGCCCACTTGGTGCTCTTCCCTACTGTTCCCTAGCTGCTTAGTGAAGCCAGCAGGTCTCAGAATTTCACCCAAGTTCTATGACTTACTACCTGGTTATTGATGCTTGATATTTAGAGTCAAGTAGCTCTTTAGCCAAAAAGTAATGGATCCTGCCAGGACTGAGTCTTTTTCTTCAAGGCAGTAAGTTCCCTTCTGGCCCAGGTTGTATCTAGATACATCATCTGTGAGGTAGGGCCTGGAAAGGGGGCCTCATGTGTCTGCCCAGTGGCTTATCCTACTGTGGCTGAGCTGGTATCCAAGATGCAAGACAAAGTCCTCTGTACTCTTCACTGTCTTCTCTTTCAGCAGAAGGAAGGTGTCACTTTTGGTGCTGTGCCCTAGAACTACTCTGCCTGGAGTTGGGTGAAGGGTAACAAACATTTCCTTAGTCTCCCTGGCTGGTGTCCTGGTGCTCTACATTCACTACCTCTAATCTCAACACAGGACTATGACTTGCCTAGGATTTGCAGTCCTTGTTGCCTAGAATGCCTTTCAAGTTTATTTAGGAAGCCAGAGCATTTTAGCCCATAGTGGCACAGCTTGCTAAAACTCAACTTTCGACCATTGAGCTGGGCTAGTTCCCTTTGGCCAGGGCTGATCTAAATGCTGTCTTTGTAGGTAGGCGTTGGCTGAGTTTACTTCAGATCTAGTTTTTTGCTGTGACTGGAAACACTGAGTTTGATGAAGATTCCTATAAATACTCTCTCCCACTCTCAAGCACACACATTTTCTACACCATGTGGCCATTGCCAAAGGTATGGGGAAAAAGTAGTGTCAGCAGTTCAATACTGTCTTTTCTACCCTCTTCAGTACCTCTTTCAGTGATATGAATTTAAAACCAGGTACTGTGCTTGCTCACCTGATTTTTGCCTCTTAGAAAGGTGGATTTTTGTGTGTAGATAGTTGTTAAATTAGCACTTCTGAAGTGGGGAAGATTACTTAAGGCTTCTATTGGCTGTGTTCCTCTGCCCTCCCTTCAGTTTTTTAGTTTTCTAAAAAATAAATTTAATCATATACTTGTTCTATGGCCCAATAATTTCACTTCTAATTATTTACCCAGCAGAAATGAAAAGACACATCCAGAAAAAAGTTTGGACATGAGTGTTTTTGATAGTCAACAACTAGAAACAACAGAATTGTTTTTCAAAAAGTGAATGAATAAACAAATAATGGTACATATGTACAATGGAATGTAGCTCAGAAAGAAAAAAGAATTTAAGTACTGACTGATGCAACAACAAGAATAATTCTGAAAAAATATTATGGCTAGTTAAGATTACAGTGACAAAGCAAGTCAATATGTGTGATTCTACTTATCTAAAATTCTAAATTAGTCAAACCTTGTCTATAGTGCCAGAAAGACATAATGGTTGCCTGGAATTAACAGTGGTGAGTAGTGAGTTGATTGCAAAGTGGCAGGAGGAAACTTGGGTGATAGAAATATTCCATATCTTGATAAAGATAGTGAGTATAGGGTACATATATTTGTCAGAAATAATCACAGTATACACTCAAGAAGGATACACTTTATTTTATGTAAATTATATCTCAAAAAGTAGGTAAAAAAGAAGAAATATGAAGCTCATATGTGTTAGACAAGTCACCTTTGTAATAGAGGAAATGGTCAGATTCTTTTCTGTATGTGTCTCTTACATTTTTATTAATGAGATACATGTTAAGTGATGCAAAGTTACATATGATTTTGGAAATTTTTAAAAAAGGTTAGAGCTAAAACAAGTGCACAATAAGTGTTTTTTAAATAAATGACTTCTGAGAGATGGGGGCATCAGTGAAAGAAAAAGAATCTGTGCCATGGAAGGTGTAATGAAAAAAAGAATCAAGAATTACATCTTAGGAATTTCTTGTTCTTAGAAGGTTAGAAAAAAAAAAGCATACCTAGAAGAAAAAAAAAAAAAGAAACAACACAAGATGGAGAGATACTATAATAATAGAGTGGTATTGAATATCCAAAATTTCAAGGGGTTGTTCAGAGAACACTAGAGAAGTAATTGCTCTGTGGCTAGAGAAGAATCTTTAGGTTTAACAATCAGTTACTTGTTTTTATTTTTGAAACTTTTAAGACTGTAGTTTTATTTCAAAGATAAAAGCTATCTTATTTTCACTACTTTCTACTTCAAAGTAGCTCTCTCAATGTTTGTACAATGTATAAAAACAATCTGTAAAATTATTAAACTTCTGGATTCTCATATAACAATAATTCTTCAATTGTAGTCTGTAATGGAGGATGATTACTCAGGGTCCCGTGATTTAAAAATTTCTGGTTATAGATTATACAGCTTACATGGAGTTGTAGTTATGGATAATATTAACCATTACCCTGTCAACTAGAGTAGAGGCCCCAACCAACCCTTCAGTATTCTCTTTGTAAAGCAATGACAGAGTCACAGAAAGAGAGAATTCGAGTTGTCAGATAGTTTCTGCATCACAACCAGTTTAAATTCCTGTCATCATTTTCATGCTTATTTCTAAAAGCAAGAGTTTGCTGTATTAACTTGACTTTTAGAACTTGTCCAGGGATTCTTTGAAATAGGCAATATTTTACAAGAGAATTATTTTCTCCTCTGGACAAAGGCTGCACTTTCAAAGCTTACACAAATTCACATTTTTCCTACTTTCCAAGAGCAAAGTCTACAATTCCAAATAAAACTATAAAATCTAGGTCTATAAATACCTCTTTTGCCACAAAGGAAGCTGATGCTGGAGGGAAGGCAGATGTTCTCTAACACACAGTTTGTAAGTTATAACCTTTGTTCTAGGCATTAGATCTGGTTTGTATTGGCTTTCTTGATAGCCTGAGTCATTAGGATAAATGCCTTGTCCATTCTCAGGTTTCTTCCATAAATGTTTGTATTCTGACTGGTGATTTTTTACATTGCTTAAGGACCAAGAACCATAATATTGACTGCAAATAAAATAGCATACACTCATCTCAGATAGAAGAAGTGGTTCAATGGACCAATGGACATTTTGGACTTCTCTATTAGTGTAAGTCTGGGCCATGGACTGGCCAGAAGGGACTAGACTTCAGGGTTTAGCTAAGCAGAAGAGATATCTGAAATATTCCCTGGCTGGGTAGACTGCAAAAGCTCAAATACAGAGAAAGAGATAGGGGAAGAAATGATGGTGGGGGGAGTGAGACTGAGTGGAATCAAAAGACTAGCTAAGGTAGGACAGAATATATAGTGTCCAGAAGGACATGTTAATTTTAATAGCTACTTCTTGAATACCTTCAGTGTTGCAGGAACATTGGCCTTAAGAATTCAGTACCATTATCCTCATTGAATTGAGGAAACTGAAATATACAAGCTTAGATACCTTATCCAGGATGATACAGCTAATAAATTGTAGAACTAAAATCTTAACTTCATCTTTCTTCCTTTAAAGCCATTATATTCACCCCCCTCCCCCGATAATAATCAGGATTTGTAAATTTTGATCCCATCAAACTATTTGTTCTCTGTCCTACTTTATATTACTTTCTGGGTGTAAGTGGTCCTAGGTAAGCTGGTGTTGATTGACTATGAAGCAGGCCAATGGTCTCCAGGAAAATCCTAACCCAGATGAAGCAGGGATAGACATTTTGGGATTACCTTATGGTAAAGCTCACTTTGCTTTTATTAGGAATGTACAGATACATTCCTGTCAGTAGACAGTTTCAATGTTTACCACCATTAATATCAAAATCTTAGATTTCTATTCATGTTTTGTTGAATATTGCAAAGGCTGAAGTGTTTAACTTCAATGAGTTGTTCCTTTTCAGTGTTCTAAAAACATGCAGACATATTAGTTTAGAAAACTAATGTCCACAGTACTAATAGAATCTTGAAGCTAAAAGAGACTTCAAAAGATGAAAGATGATCCAGTTTAAGTCTAGTAACCTATCCTTAAGGTATATTAATTTTTAATGGGGGTTGAATACTGCTCCTATTCTTCGTGTAAAGCTATTTATATTGAAATGATTCTTATTTTTTTAGGAATGTTCAAACTTGACAGATCTAAGAGATTGCTGAGTGAAATTATTTCATGTTATAGTTGAGGAAATGGAAGCCCAGTGACATGGTTTGGCTGTGTCCCCCCCCCCCCCAAATCTCAACTTGGATTGTATCTCTGAGAATTCCCAAGTGTTGTTAGAGGGACCCAGTGGGAGGTAATTGAATCATTGAGGCTCTTCTTTCTGTGCTATTCTTGGGATAGTGAATAAATCTCATTAGATCTGATGGGTTTATCTGGGGTTTCTCCTTTTGTTTCTTCCTCACTGTCACTTGCCACTGCCATGTAAAAGTGCCTTTCACCCACTGCCATGATTGTGAGACCTCCCCAGCCATGTGGAACTGAAAGTCAAATTAAACCTCCTTTTCTTCCCAGTCTCAGGTATGTCTTTATAAGCAGTGTGAAAAAGAACTAATACAGTAAATTGGAACCAGTAGAGTGGGGCATTGCTGAAAAGATGCCCAAAAATGTTGAAGCGATTTGGTAACAGGCAGAGGCTGGAACAGTTTGGAGGACTCAGAAGAAGACAGAAAAATGTGGGAAAGTTTGGAACTTCCTAGAGACTTGTTGAATAGCTTTGTCCAAAATGTTGATAGCGATATGGACAACAAACTCCAGGTTGAGGTGATCCCAGATGAAAATTAGGAACTTGTTGGGAATGGAAGTAAAGGTGACTCTTGCTATGTTTTAACAAAGCAACTTGCAGCATTTTGCCCCTGCCCTAGAGATTTGTGGAACTTTGAACTTGAGTGAGATAATTTAGGGTATCTCTTGGAAGAAATTTTTCTTTTTTCTTTTTTTTTCTTTGAGATGGAGTCTCACTCTGTTGCCCAGACTGGAGTGCAGTGGCGAGACCTTGGCTCACTGCAACCTCTCCCTCCCAGGCTCTAGCAGTTCTCCCTGCCTCAGCCTCCTGAGTAGCTGGGATTACAGGCACCCACCTCCACACCCCACTAATTTTAGTATTTTCAGTAGAGATGAGGTTTTGCCATGTTGGCCAGGCTGGTCTCGAACTCCTGACCTCAGGTGATCTGCCCACCTTGGCCTCCCAAAGTGCTGGGATTACAGGCATGAGCCACCATGCTCAGCCAGCAGAAGAAATTTCTAAACAGCAAAACATTCAAGACATGACTTGAGTGCTGTTAAAGGCATTCAGTTTTATAAGGGAAGCAAAGCATAAAAATTTGGAAAATTTGCAGGCTGTCTATGTAATGGAAAAGAAAAACCCATTTTCTGGGGAGAAATTCAAGCTGGCTGTAGAAACTTGCATAAGTAGCAAGGAGTCTAATTTTTAATCCCCAAGACCATGGGGAAAATGCCTCCAGGCCATGTCAGAGACCTTCACAGCAGTGCCCTCCCCCCCCCACCTCACCATCACAGGCCCAGAGGCCAAGGAGGAAAAAGTAGTTTCATGGGCTGAGCCCAGGGACCCCATGCTGTGTACAGTCTAGAGACTTGGTGCCCTGTGTCCAGCCGCTCCAGAGGGCCAAGGTACAGCTCAGGCTGTTGCTTCAGAGGGTGGAAGCCCCAAGCCTTGGCAGCTTCCACATGGTGTTGAGCCTGCAGGTGTGCAGAAGTCAAGAATTGAGGTTTGGGAACCTCTGTCTAGATTTCAGAAGATGTATGGAAATGACTGGATGCCCAGGCAAAAGTTTGCTGAAGGGGCGGGCCCTTCCTGGAGAACCTCTGCTAGGACAGTGTGGAAGGAAAATGTGGAGTCAGAGCCCCCACACAGAGTCCCTATTGGGGCACTGCCTAGTGGAGCTGTGAGAAGAGAGGCTCTGTCCTCCAGACCCCACAATGGTAGATCCACTGGCAGCTTGTGTCACGCACCTGGAAAAGCCACAGGCAGCTGGGAGGGAGGCTGTACCCTGCAACGCCACAGGGGTGGAGCTGCCCAAAACCATGGAAACCCACCTCTTGCATCAGCGTGACCTGGATGTGAGACATGGGGTCAAAAGATATCATTTTGGAGCTTTACGATTTAACTGCCCCACTGGATTTCAGACTTGCATGGGGCCTGTGGCCCCTTTGTTTTGGCCAATATCTCCCATTTGGAATGGTTGTATTTACCCAATGCCTGTACCCTCATTGTATCTAGGAAGTAACTAACTTGCATTTTATTTTACAGGCTCATATACAGAAGGGACTTTTCTTGTCTCAGATGAGACAATGGACTGTGGACTTTTGAGGTAATGCTGAAATGAGTTAAGACTTTGGGAGATTGTTGGGAAGGCATGATTGGTTTTGAAATGTGAGGACTTGAGATTTGAGAGGGGCCGGGGCAGAATGATATGGTTTGGCTGTGTCCCCATCCAAACCTCAACTTAGGTTTTATCTCCCAGAATTCCCAAGGGTTGTGGGAGGGACCCAGTGGGAGGTATTTGAATCATGGGGGCTGATCTTTCCTGTGCAATTCTTGTGATAGTGAATAAGTCTCAATAGATCTGGTAGGTTTATCAGGGGTTTCCGCTTTTGCTTCTTCCTCATTGTCTCTTGCCACTGCCAAGTAAGAAGTGCCTTTCACCCTCTACCATGATTGTGAGACCTCTCCAGCCATGTGGAATTGAAAGTCAAATTAAACCTCCTTTTCTTCCCAGTGTTGGGTGTGTCTTTATCACCAGTGTGAAAATGGACTAATACACCCAGGGAAATGAAATAACTTGTGTAAGGTCTTACCTACTGTTGAATTATGCTACAGGAGTTTTCCTTTTGGGTATAATACGGGCAGTTTAGGTTAAAATTATATCAAGAAAATTTCAACTCTAGCTCTTAAAATCTGAAAGTGTTCCCTTTCTGCTTAAGAGGAGGATGGGGTTACAGCAAAGAAGGATGTGTGTGTGTGTGTGTGTGTGTGCCTGTGCATACACATACACCTGCACACTTGCATATGTGTTGGAGATTGCAAAACTCTGACTGCTACTGGCTTTGTTTTAAAAAATGCTGCAGACTTGAGCATTTGACTTAGATTTGAAATAACTTTCTGCCAAGGACTCTACAGATTTTTGGCCAGTGGCAAATGCAAGATGCAATCATTCTTGTTTTGGAGCCACCAACGATGTGTTGCAGTCAGTTACTAACCTACAATTCAGGGGGTAGGAGGCTGGAATTCTCTCACAGTGACATATTCTGGATTTGCCTAGAAGAAAATATACACTTCCAAATATCTTCCACGTCTGAATCCCACACTGAGACTTGGCAGTCTGACTGCCTTAAAAATGTTGCAGTACTGTTAGATAACCTGCCAGGATATTTTGAAATGGTACATAGTTTGGAATATTCCACATATGGGTGAGTATATAAAGCCTTAAATGCTGTGTGTTTTGTCCTGAATCTGGCAGAGAGGTGTGTATATTCTAAATATCCAATCAGAAATTGTAGTAACATAGTACATATTTAGCATATTTATTCATTTTTAATTTTCTGGGAAAGTACTATTTAAAACGTACACTGTTTAATGTTATAGCCAAGTTGCTTGGAAAATCTCATATAGATAGAACTCTCTAACTAGAATATATTTTCAGTATGTGAATCTCGTTACATAATTGCAATTATATTGTCCATTGTGTATTGCTTTGGTTTACCGGTAGCGAAAACCTGGAGCACTGTGGTGAGAAGGATTCTGAAATTTCATCAGTGCTCTCAGTGGAAAAGGGTATCCTGACTGATTAGTGATGTCTGGTGTTAATGTGAAAAGAAAGAGCAGTGAAAAAATGCCATGTTTTAAACATGCTTGAGAAGTTTTTAATGGTTTTGGTTTTTTGAGTAGATAATATATTAACATAGCAAACCATGAAAATGATACAGAAGAATATAAAATAAAAATTATTTTCCCTTTTATTTTTCTTTCTCTATCCCCAAGTGGCACTCCTTAGAGGCAACTATTGTTGTAAGTTTCTGTCAGAGATATTCTGTGCTTTCAAGGACATTTGTGTATAAATACTTACATTTTATACTAATTGTAGCATAATACATGTATTTTCTGTACCACATATTTTTAATGGCAAATTTTGTTGTATATATTTTACAATTTTTAAAAATTAATTCTATACCCAAACCATTAAATTGTGCATTTAAAGTGGGTTAATTGTATGTTATGTGAATTATTGATATAGTTAAATTAATAGCTAGCATATTTGTTACTCTTCTTTATTAGTTGCCCTTGTTCTTTGTTTCTATTTGTGTCTTCTACTCTTTTTCTGCCTTTGTGGTTTTAACTGAACAATTTATGTAATTCCATTTTTTCACCTTTCTTAGCATGTCAATTACACGCTTTTTTTTTCTTTTGTCTGGTTTTAGTGATGCCCCAAAGTTTTATATATACATACATTTCCACCTATTCCAAGTCCACTTTCAAATAACATTATAAGACTCTTTGGGTTGTATACTTGTACAGTAACAAAAAAATGTTGTTGTAATAACAAAATGTTACTAATTCCTCCCTCTTATCCCTTGTATCAATGCTGTAATTTATTTCAGTTAAGTATATGCAATTAGTTTCTATTATTTTGAAATTGTGATTTGTTAACTCAATTAAGAAGGATAAAAATTAAACTTTTTATTTTACCTTCATTTATTTCTTCTCAAATGCTCTTTTTTTTCTTTATGTAGGTCTGAGTTTCTGACCTCCATCATTTTTCTTCTAAAGAACTTCTTTTAACATTTCTCAAAAAGCAGGTCTACTGGCAACAAATTTCCTCAATTTTTGCTTGAGAAAGTCTTTATTTCTCCTTTATTTTTGAAAGATAATTTTGAAGGGCTCAAAATTTTGGGTGGTGAGGTATTTTTTCCTCTCACCACTTCAAATATTTTATTCTATTCTTGTGTTGCTAGCATGGTTTCTGAGGAGAATGTAATTCTTAGCTTTGTTCTTCTATAATTAACGTGTTTTTTTTTCTCTTGCTTCTTTCAAGAATGTTGTATTTGACTTTCTGAAGCTTGAACATGATATGCATAGGTGTGGTAGTATTTTTAGTATTTATCCTGCTTCTTATTTTCTGAGTTTCCTGGATCTGTGGTTTGGTGTCTGACATTAATTTGGGGTAAATTCCCAGTCCTTATTGCTTCAAATACTTTTTCTGTTCATTTCTCTTTCTTCTTCTTGTAGAATTCTGTTCTGTTTTTTTTTTTTTTTCCAGTCTGTTTTGTCTTGCTTTAAAGTTTTGGGAGTTTCTATCATCATATCCTCAAACTCGGAGATTCTTTCCTCAGTGATGTCCAGTCTACTAATGAGCCCATCAAAAGGATTGGTCATATGGTATTTTTGATCTTTAGCATTTCTTTTGTTATTCTTTCTTAAAAATTTCATCTCTCTGCTTATATTACCCATATGTCCTTGTGTGTTGTTACATTTTGTATTAAAACCCTTAGCATATTAATGATAGTTGTTTAAATTCCTGATCTGATCATTCCAACATCATTGTCATATCTGAGTCTGGTTGTGATATGTGCTCTGTCTCTTCAACCTGTATATTTTTCCTTTCAGTGTGCTTGTAATTTTTTTGTAGAAATGGGGTCACCTTGTGTTGCCTGTGCTGGTCGCAAACTCCTGAGCTCAAGTGATCCTCCCACCTTGGCCTCCCAAAGTGCTGGGATTACAGGCATGAGCCACCATTCCCAGACAGTATGGCCCTGTATTTTGTTTTTGTTGTTGTTGTTGTTGAGTTGGACATGATGTAGTGAGTAAAAGGAATTGTGGCAATAGACCTTATTAATGAGGTGGTAAGGTGTTGGAGGAGGGGAAGTTTTCTATAGTCCTATGATTAGGTCTCAGTCTTTCAGTGAACCTATGTCCCTGGGCTGTGAATTTTACAAGTGCTTCTCAGTTTTATCTCCCTTCTCTTTAAGTAGGGCTGGATGGTTACAGGGGGATAGAGTTGGATAATTCCTTTCCCTTAGGGTTAGTTAAGCACTGAGGCTCTGGTAAAACAGTTTCCCTTGAGGGCCAGCTTTATTAAGAACAGAATGTTCTTATGTGTTTCAAAATTCTTATATTTGCCCTCCCCATGCCAGAAGCATGAGGGGATTTTTTCCCCAATATTTACTGAGAGAACCTTGCAGGGCTCCTACAGGTAAAAATGACAAAAGTGTGGGGTGGCTCATGATTGAGCCTCCCTGAAGGTTTTACCTCTCAGAATTGTCTACTCTGAGCTTCCAGTAATTTAACAAGTACAGTTCTGATTTTCCTATCCTACTACTGGTTTCCATGGAAATTTCTGCTTGCAGGTTTCTACTCCAGTAAGTTATGATTTTCTTTATCTGCCTGTCTGTCTCCAATTTTGGGGGTAGTGGTTTGCCCTATGACCTTACTTCTCTAATGGATCTAAGAAAAGTTGCTGATTTTTTCATTTTTAAAAAGCTTTCTACTTGTTGTTAGGATGGGGTGATGACTTCCAAGCTCCTTACATGCTGGACTGGAAACCAAAAATGTCTGCATTGTGTATTTTTCAGTTAATGGTTTATCTTGGAGATGGTTTCATATCAGAACATACAGCCCAACTTTGTTCATTTTAACAGGTCCATAGAAATCCATTATGTAGATATTTTAACACTCCTCTATGGAGAAGTATTATACTTAGATTATTTAAAATTTTTGTTATAAGCAATGTTGTAACGAATATCCTTCTTACATATTTATTTGCACTTATATGCAAATACATCTGTAGGATACATTGTTAGATCAAAGGATGTAGATGTCATTGCTAAATCTTCGTCAATAGAAATTATACCAATCTACACTCTACACCAACATCTACATCAACAATGTATGCAAGTGCTGATTTCCATATATTCTCACCAATGTAGCATATTATCAAACATTAAAAAATTTATTGATGTAATAGTTGAAAAATAATATCTCATTGTAGTTTTGATTTGTGATTCTCTAGTAGTGAGTGAATTTGGTCATTTTTATTCATTTAATTGCCATTTTTCTCTTTTCTATTAACTCTGTTTATGTCTTTCCCCCATGTTTCTGTTGTTTTATCTTTTTCCTAATAATTTATAGGATCTCTGTACATATTAAGGCAATTAGTTCTTTGTCATATGTATTCATATGCATATATTCATTTTTTCCAATCGGTTACTTTCTTTTGACTTTTAAATGATATTTTATAGTCACGTAGAGTTTTTAAAACATTTAGGTGATTAAATTTATGTCTTTGGATTGTAAATTCTGAGGTTTGCATTATGCTTATGAAGGCTTTTCCTTACTGTTTTTATATTTTTGCTTTTTATGTTTAAATTTTAGATTCATCTAGAATTTTCTTTGGACTAAATTGTAAATTGAAGGTCCAACTTGATTTAGTATTACTTATTTTTTGGTGTGTCCCCAGTAGGCCCAATTTTGAGTTATGGCATTTTAACTGAAAGCTTAAACATTTTCTTATTTCTTACATTACTTTTCAAGAATCACATTTTATTGTATCAATATTGTTAACAGTAAAATCGTATTGAAAAACTGTTAGTAGTTTTCAATTTTTGTTATTGTGTTTTATACTATAATGGCCTTTTTCATCTATGTTTTCTTATTTCTGTTGAATTATTTCTCTGGGATACATTATTAAGGAGTGAAATAATTGAGTTTTTTAAGTATTATCACATTGCTTTCCAAAAGTGTAGCAGTTGGTAATCCCATCATTGATAAATAAAATCCCATCAGTTGGTGGTATAATTTTTCACTATTATATTAAGCTTAAAAATTAAAAATCAAAGTTGTTTTCACTGGTATTTATTTCATTGTTAGAGAATATGAACCTTTTTTCTATGTTAAATTTACTCTTTTCACTTAGTGTAAAGACCCTGGGCTTTGGGGCCAAAGATAACTGGTTTAAATTCCCGCTTTGCCACTTCTTAGCTGTACTACCTATTTATCTCAGCTGAAATGTGTGTATAATAATACCTGCTCTATAAGGTTGTTTTGATAATCATAAATGTGTCATGCAAAAATTCTAACTTGGGGACTGATATAACGAATAATGTCTATTATTATTATTTATCTTCTTGTGAATTATCATATACTTTGTAAAAAATTCATTGTGCAAAAATACATAAGAGGCCAGAAGAAAACTAAGATTGGGTACAGGAGATTAACCATGACATTTTGACTAAATCACTTAACTGTTTTGAGTCCTAATTTCCATGTGAAAATCAAGATAATTTCTGTCTTGCTGGCTTTGTTTTTGTGAATATTGAACAAGATTTTAAATGTGAAAGAACTTGAAAATATTAATGTAAAATATTTCTAGTATTACTGTTTGATGAAGTAAAGTGTATGCTCAAAATTCATATAACAAGACATTCATCCAAGTCTGCTATTCCTTATGTTAATATTCTGAATTCTGAAGTGATATCAGTGTGGACTGCAGTTCCCTTTGAGAACTCTCTATGTCAGCAATAATTGCCAAGGGAAGGGGGAAGCAGGCTTGTACATTTGTGATAAATTATCCCTATGAAAAGAACACATGTATGAAAAAGTTTAGGACACTTATAAGAAATTAATGTTTGCATTTTTTATGAAGAATAACTCATAGTAGGTTAAGGTAGTCTCAAGGAAAATCCCCAATCTCTGGACCTTTGAAATTCAGTATTATTGAAACCATTGATACTTAAAACAATGGAATGGAAGGAGCATGTTAGTGAATCATTATCATAGCAATATATATACCCAGAAAGGAAACCGGATCTAGTTAAATTGAGCCAAGACAGTGGAGAATAGAGATCAAGAATGTTATTTCCCAAGGCAAGCAGATCTGAATTCCAATCCTGTCTCTGTCACTTATCAACTGAGTGACATTAGTCAAATTTTCCCAGATTTCTGTAATGTGAGACTCATAAAAATTTCTACCTCAAAGTGTTGTTATAAGGGTTATATTATACACAGTGATGCTTGCAAAGTGCTTATATAGTACAATTCCTAACACATAGGAAGCACCTAAGAAATGGCAGCTATTATTAATACAGTTATTATTAGTAATAGTATTAATATCTCAAGAAACAATTGAAATATTAGCAATCATATACACATATGTATATGTGTATGTATGTGTGTGTGAATAGAAATAATTATGATCATTACCTTTTTTATTGAGTTATATTGCCCTGAGACATATTCCTTAAAAAGAATCTCATAAACACAAAGTTTCTATGAACTTTAGCTGGTAGAATTGGATTGACCTAGAGAGGAAAAAATAATAAATAAACTTTTACTCTCGAATTTCACAGAGATAATTTCACACAGGTAGAAAACATAAAGCTCAGAAATTCAGGAGGAATTGAAGGTAGTTACAAAAGGACATCTTGTTAGAAATATGATAAGCTTGAGGTGATTCACAACAATTATGAGTGAATTAGAGAAAGCCTGTTAAAGAGATTAGCCTTAAAGAAGTATCAATAGAAAATGTAAATCAGAAGTTATTTCTGGACAATTTTTTTGCAAAATAAATTTATATGAAAACTAAAATCAATTTATTTCTACAGATTCACGCTGTTTTGTATAGATTACAGCATAAGGAGAAAATGACAAACATTTTATTGGAAGTGACAGTAAGTAGAGTATTAAACTAACGAGTCTTTCCTTCAAACCAAACAATACATTCTGTACATGCCGTGACCATAGTTATTTTTTCAAAGTCTTCTTTTCTGACACATTTTGAGTCATATTAGAGGTTGATGAGAAGCATAGAGTGTGAACTTTTACAATATTCATCCTAATTTGTCGGCATAACTCTAATTTCTTTCATACCCACCCATCCTGTCCATTGTGGACTGATTATTTCTTTTAAGATAAAACCTAATTGTGTGAATTTTCTGGCTAAAACTTTTCCATTGTCAGTAGATTAAATCTATGCTCCATAGTAGGATTATAAAGGGCCTTTATAATAATGCTTCAATGTATATATTTCCAGTCTTACTGTTCTGCAATTCTGCTTTCTTTTTCCTCTCACCACCACTTCCAAAAGGCATCTGGTTCTTAATTTAGTGTGCATCAGAATCAATTCAGAAACTCATTAAAACTACAGGTTTTGTATTATAGATCAAATGAACCAAATGGATATTTGCAGAACATTTCATCCAATGGCTGCAGAATAAATATTCTTTTCCTCAGCATATGGGTCATTCTCAAGAACAGACCACACAATAGGTCACAAAATATGTTTAAAACATTCAAAAAATTAAAATAATGTCAAGAATCTATTCTGATCACAATAGAATAAAACTAGAAATCAACAACAAGAGGAATTTTAGAAACTATATCAATACATGGAAATTAAACGTGCTCCTGAATGATCAGTGGGTCAATGAAGAAATTAAGAAGAAAACTTAAAAATTTCTTAAAACAAATAAAAAATGAAAACACAACAAACATATGAGATACAGCCAAAGCAGTACTAAGAGGGACATTTACAGCTATAAGTGCCTACATAAAAAAAAGAAGAAAAGAAACCTCCAAATAAACAACAAAATGATGAAACAGCAAACAAAACCCAAAATTAGTAAAATAAAAGAAATAATAAGGATCAGAGCACAAATAAATGAAATAAAAAACACAAAACATAAATAAAAAATAGTTTATTTTTTGAAAAGTTAAACAAAATTGACAAACCTTTAGCTGGACTAAGAAAAAAGAGAAGATCTAATAAATGAAGTTGGAGATGAAAAATGAGACATTACTAGCAAACCGAATTCAACAATACGTAAAACAGATCGTTCAATGAGATTTATCCCTGGGATGCAAGGATCATTCAACATACACAAATCAATCAATTTGATACAGAATGAAGGACAAAAACAACACGATCATTTCAATATGTTGAAAAAGCATTTGAAAAATTCCAACATCGTTTCACAATAAGAAAGCCTTCAAAAACTGGAGATAGGGGAAACAACTCAGCATGATAAAAACCATGTATGACAGACCAACAGCTAGTACCACACTTAATGGGGAAAAACTGAAAGCCCTTCCTTTTAGATCTTTTTAAATTTAAATTTAATTTAATTTAATTTAACATTATTTTTTGAGACCGAGTCTCACTCTCTTGCCCAGGCTGGAGTGCAGTGGTGTGATCTCGGCTCACTGTAACCTCTGCCTCCCATGTTCTAAGTGATTCTCCTGCCTCAGCCTCTTGAGTAGCTGGGACTACAGGCGCAGGCCACCACACCTGGCTAACTTTGTATTTTTAGTAGAGACAGGGTTTCACCATGTTGGCCAGGCTGGTCTCAAACTCCTGACCTCAGGCGATCTACCTGCCTCGGCCTCCCAAAGTGCTGTGATCACAGGCGAGAGCCACCTTGGCTGGCCTTCCTTTTAGATGTAAAACACATCAAGGATGCCCACTTTCACCACAGTTATTCAAGATAGTTCTGGAAATCCTAGCTAGAGCAATCAGACAAAGAGAAAGAAATAAAGGGCATACAAATTGGAATAGACGAAGTCAAATTATCCTTCCTTGAATGTACTATTGTCTTATATTTTAACAAATCTAAAGACTCCTCAAAAACTATTAGAATTAATAAACAAATTCAGTAAATTTGCAGGATAGAAATCAATATACAAAAATTAGTAGCATTCCTATATGACAACAGTGAAGAATATGAAAAAGAAATTTTAAAAAATCACATTTAGAATAGCCACAGGTAAAATTAAACAGCTCGGAATTAAGTTAATAAAAGAAGTGAAAGACCTCTATAATGAAAACTATGAAACATTGATAAAAGAAATTGAAGAGGTCACCAGAAAATGGAAAGATATTCTATGTACATGGACTGGAAGAATCGATATTAAAATGTCCATACTGTTCTAAAGAATCTACAGATTCAATGCAATCCTTATCAAAATACCCATGACATTCTTCACAGCAATAAGAAAAACAATATTAAAATTTATATGGAACCACAAAAGATCCAGAATAATCGAAGCTATCCTAAGCAAAAAAGAACAAAACTGGAGGATTCACATTACCTGACTTCAAGTTATTCAACAGAGCTATAGTAACCAAAATGGCATGATACTGGCATAAAAACAGACACATAAACTAATGGAACAGAATAGAGAACATGGAAACAAATCCACGCAACTATAGTAAACTCATTTTTGACAAAGATGACAAGAACATACACTGGGGGAAAGACAGTCTCTTCAATAAATGGTGCTGTGAAAACTGGATATCCATATGTAGAAGAATGAATCTATACTCATATCTCCAGCCACATGCAAAATCAAATCAAAATGGATTAAACACTTAAATCTAAGATCTCATACCATGAAACTACTACAAGAAAACATTGAGGAAAATCTCCAGGACATTGTTCTAGGCACAAATTTCTTGAGCAATACCCCACAAGCACAGGCAACCAAAGCAAAAATAGACTAATATTACATCAAATTTAAAAGCTTCTGCATAGCAAAGAAAAAAATTCAACAGTGAAGCGACAACCCACAGAATGGGAGAGAATATTTTCAAACTACGTATCTGACAAGGGATTAATAACCAGAATATATAAGGAGATCAAACAACTCTACAGGGAAAAAAACCTAATAATTCGATCCAAAGATAGACAAAAGATTTCAATAGATATTTCTCAAAAGAAAGCATACAAATGGCAAATAGGCATATGGAAAGATGCTCAGCATTATTAATCATTATAGAAATGAAAATCAAAACTACAATGAGATATCACCTAACCCCAGTAAAAATGGCTTTTAATCCAAAAGACAGGCAATAACAAATCTGGGGAGGATGTGGAGAAAAGGGAACACTGTCCACTGTTGGTGGGAATATAAATTAGACAATCACTATGAAAAACAGTTTGGAGTTTTGTCAAAAAACTAAAAATAGAGCTACCGTATGATCCAGCAATCCCACTGCTGGGTATATACCCAAAAGAAAGGAAATCAGTATATCAAAGAGATACCTGCACTCCCATGTTTATTGCAGCAATGTTCACAATGGACAAGATTTAGAAGCAACCTAAGTGTTCATCAACAGATGAATGAATAAAGAAAATGTGGTACAGATACACAATGGAGGACTATTCAGCCATAAAGAATGAGATCCTGTCATTTGCAACAATACGGATGGAACCGGAAGTCCTTATGATAAATGAAATAAGCCAGGCATAGGAAGACAAACATTGCATCTTCTCACTTCTTTGTGTGATCTAAAAATCAAAACAATTAAACTCACAGAGAGAGAATAGAAGGATGGTTACCAGAGGCTTGGCAGGGTAATGGTGGATGGGGGGAATATGAGGATGGTTCATGGGTACAAAAGACGAGTTAGAAAAAAATGAATAAAACCTAGTATTTGATAGCACAATCTAGTGATTGTATTCAATAATAATTTAATTGTACATTTTATTAAAACTAAGAGTATAATTCAATTATAATATGGGGCATAGGTGTTTGAGGGGATGAATACTTCATTTTACATCATGTTATTATTACTCCTTGCATGCCTGTTTTGAAATGTCTCAGGTACCCCATTAATATATACACTACTGTGTACCCACAAAAATTAAAATTAAAAATGAAAATAAACTTGCAGCTGCTTGGGACTTATCTTTTGAAGTCTGGCAGGAGCTTCCAGGAATTGGAGGTCTTATGAACTAAGGTGATTCTATGACAGTTGATAAGCAGTTCTCCATTTGAGAAACAGTTGTCCAAGCCCTGTCCAACAAAATGCCTTCTCATTTCCTTAAAAGTTCCAATCAGTTTGTACCTCCTCACCTTTGCATTCTTCTGCTTAAATTTCTTTCTTATTCTTCAGCCTGTTAAACCTTGTATTAATCCTTATGACCTGGCTCAAAATTACTTCCCCTCTGAAACCTCTTCCTAAAAAGAGTCAGTGTTCCTTCCCCATTTTGCATGCATGTCCAGCATTGATATTTATATTCATCTCCCTCAATAGAGTTAGACTTTCTTCTATGAGCTGAAACCTTCCTGGTCATTGTTGTGTCACACTTCAGAGTTTGGCCATTGCCTAACACATAAAAATAGATGCCCAAGAAATGCTTTTTTAGTGAATGAATAGATGAGTTGGTGGAGGTTCTAAACTTCCATACCCAACATCAGATGAAATGAAAATTGTAGCTTAGAAATAATTTGATTACATCAGATGTAGTGGCTCACACCTGTAATCCTAACACTTTGAGAGGCCAAGGTGGGAAGATTGCTTGAGGCCAGGAGTTCAACATCAGCCTGGGCAACATAGCCAGACTGTGTCTCTGCAAAAAAATTTCAAAAAAAATTTATTTTATTGTATTCCAGCTTGCGGAACAGACATCAGACAATTTACCTTACTATGGACAATTAGACATTTTGACAAATAGTTATAAGGTTTTAACTCTAGTAACAGTAGTTGAATAATTAAAATCCACTTTTAATATTTTATTTGGTATGAAATATTCTAAAATTCAAACACTACAAATAGAACTCTTGCTCCACAGCTGATAAATTTATTAAGCCAAAGAGAGCCTCAGTTTCATTTCATTACTGACTTGAAATAGACTTTGAAATGTTAATATATCAAAGTCCAATGATGACAAACGTTTGCCATAACAGGTGGCATTATTTTCAAACTACGAACAATAATAACAATGAAAACAAATAGAAACAATCTTTAGCACCATACTAGTTTAAAAATCCCTATTTAAGTTAAATTTTTGAAAGCAAAAGTTGTTAAAAATTTAAGTGTAACTAATATGAGAATATTCTGTCTGGTCCTTTGTTTCAATGTAATAAAAAGCACTTCCATAATTGAAGGACAAATTTGTTTTAAGTGACAGTCATTCATTCAACACATATTTACTGAGCTCCTATTTTGTGTCAGATTTGGTCCTAGGACCTAAGAATACCTCAATGAACCAAAGAGGCAAAATTGCTGTTAATAAAGATTAGTTTCTTAAATGAGGGGAAAGTCAGTAAAAAAACCATGATTATGTGTGTGTGTGTGTGTGTGTGTGTGTGTGTGTACTATGTTAGGTGGTGATAAGGGCTATGGTGAAAAAGCAGAATATGGGTGGTATTTTAGTTAGGGGTGAGAAATCCTCTTTAATAAGATGATGTTTGAGCAGAGATGTAAAAGAAGTGAGGGAGTTGGCCATGTGGCCATTTGAGAAAAGAATATTCCACATAGTGGGGATAGCATTTTTGAAGGCCTTGAGGGCAGAGTGTGCTTAAGGAACAGGAGGCATACCAAGGATGCCAGTGTGATTTAAGTGAAGTAAACCAGAAGAAAGACGTGGGAGATGGGGGTCTCAGAAGTAGTGGTGATGTCGTTGTGAGTGTGGGTCAGCTAGGAGTCATATGGGAAGAGAGTCAACAAATCATGTAAGGCCTTGTAAGCTATATTAAGAGAAGTAGCCACTGGGGGCTTTTGAACGGGGGGGAACGACATGATCTGACTTTTAGTTATTTATAGATTGTCTATAGAGTCTGTGTCTTTCATTCCAAATTCTTAGTTTTTACAAGGCCACATTTCAGTTCATTTCTTTGTTTAGAAGCCAAAAACTTGATCAGAAAAACTTAGGGAGTTTTGGATAATTATTAACAATGATGATTATATTTAATAATAATAGTTTGTATTATTAACTTTAAACATCTCCATAATAAGAAAAACAACCACAGCAACAATGCGCACAATTGCTAGCCCTTACTTGGTGTCTGTTCTGTGCACTCTACATACATGTATTCTCATGCAATTTTCACAACTACCTGTAAGGAGGTATAGTTCCTATTTTACATTTGCAGAAATGTGAACATGAACCACTTGTCCAGAGAAAATATTTTATTTATCCTGACAGTACATTATGCAAAACTGCATTTATCTTGTTTTAGTATAAAGTGACAACACAGAATAATATAGTGTGTGACTGATTTATTTGGATTACTTTGATTTGAGTTGTTTATAATGATAGTGATTCCATTAAAATCACAAATATTAACTGACTATACTATATTCCAGGCCCATTGCTGAATGCTTTACATGCATTATCTCATTTAATCCTTACAATAACCCAGACAAAGAAACTGAAGCTCAGAGATGAGAAGTACCTTATCCAAGGTCACACGGCCTAGTAAACAAGGATCAAACCTTGGCCTCTCTCCAGGCTTGTGTTTTTAATCACTGTTTTTAATCACTGCTATATGATTAAATGTGGGTGAAAATAGATTGATGCACTCAAAATTTTTTAAAGTGTAGCTGGTGGAACATTTTAAAAGCCACTTTATTCATCTTATTTATCATCTGAGAATGTAGAGTCATAAGTAGTTGGATCCCTAAGTCCATTTGGATTGATAATATACTCTAAGATTCTATAAATCTGTAGCACAATTGCACTGTTTCTTCTAGGTCAGCCTCTGTGACAATTAGCCATATTATTACCTTGATCTGTCCACATGTCCCATATGTTGTTTGTCTAATCATTTGAACTGTTTGATCCTTGAGACCAGTGATGACCATGGCATGCCTATCACTTTGGATATGTAACATGTGGAAAAATACATTTGTCATTTCAGTATGTTCAACCCAAGTTACAAAAACAGCAACAAGGACAAAAATGCAAGGATGGATTGCTGAAAGAGAAATAAGGAGGAGGGGTGAGAGAAGTGAAATGAGAAGAGAGGTGTGGAGAAGGGTGGTGGGTGGGGGAGAGGGAAAAGGAGGGGGAGGGAGGGAGAAAGAGATGGGGCAGTGGGGGGAGAGAGAGAGAGAGAGAGAGAGAGAGGGAAACTTCCAGTGACAAAATGGAAATATTTTACCAGCACCAGTCTGTCAGTAGTTAACCAGTCTACTGTGGATTCTGAAAGATTCATTTGTCTCCTTATTATATATACCCTCCTAAGGCTTTCTTATATTCACAAAGCCAAAAAGAGAAAGCAATTGTTATGAAACATTTATTATTTAAGATAAATAGGACTGTAAGCTACTGGAGACCAGAGGGCAAGCTTAATTTATCTTGTATTCCCAAGACCTGGTTCAAGGCTTGGTACATGGTGGTCCTTGAGGGAATGGTTACTGAAAGAATGAATGCTTGAAAGAAGCTTGAACTATAAAGATGGTGTGAATAATATCAACAAAATCTTGCATGAGCATGCTGACAGCTTACATTAAAAAATGTTGAAACCAACTTTTTCAGTCTTGATCACATTTGTACCAATTGGTTGCTGAAGGGGGTACTTATTTTAACACTTCATTCCCTCATTCTCCAAGTGCTTCCTTCTCAAAGTTCCATAGTCCTCTTCCCCAGAAAGAGGAGGACCATTTTCCTCTCCAGCTTCCATGTTTCAAACTCCAAGCAAGCTCAGAACACCCATAATTAACTTACTGGCCCAAATCAACTAATTATTCCAGAAGATTTACTTTTTTACAACTGAAGCAATGAACTTGGATCTTCCTTGCCTGTCTCCTCTACTCTCCTTCCTGCCTCAGGTTTGCTGTCTTACACAGCGGGAAGGCCTTATTAGCTAGCTGGATACCTAAGGGAGTTTACATTTCCCTTTTACTCTTGTTTTCACCCTAGTTCTTACATAGAAGTGCCTAGAACTTCTCAAAGTATTTGAAAAATTTCAAGGGCAAACCCAGAAATTTTTAGAAATTCACAATCTTACAGAAAAAATAAATTTATTTTGAAATTGTAAGTCAAGTTATGTATGCATTGTTCCCTTATTTTATATATTAATACCACTTTTAGATTTTTATGAAGAGCTGTCCGAGTTCTTTGAAGAGAATTTTACAGCCAATTAAATTATGTAAACAAAACTGCTTCAATTAAAGCTCTTTTCATCTTATTAAATTCATCTTAGCTATGGACATTTACCTTTGAGTTAAGAGTCAGTAAATAAATACATTCCTTTTATAACAGCATTTTACTTGTGAGATTTGCTCTAAGTGTATTATATTTATGGAGTGCTCTCATTTGCTGAGCTATCCTACTGATATGGTTTAGATCTGTGGCCACACTCAAATCTCATGTTAAATGGTAATCACCAATGTTAGGGGTGTGGCTTGGTGGGAGGTGATTGGATCATGAGGGTGAATCCTTCAGGAATGGTTTAGCACCATCCATTACTTGGTACTGTATAGTGGGTGAGTTCTCATGAGATCTGTTTGTTTAAAAGTGTGTGGCACCTCCCCCCTCTCTTTCTCCTGCTCTGGCCATGTGAAGACGCCTGCTCTGGCTCTGCCTTCCGCCATGAGCAAAAGCTCCCTAAGGCCTCCCCAGCTATACTTCCTGTAAAGCATGCGGAACCATGAATCAATTAAACCTCCCCAGCCTCAAGCATTTCTTTATAGCAATGTGAGAATGGACTAATATTTTAAAACATTTTTCTGATTTACTTTTATCTGGAGATCCCCAGAATACATAGATGTCCCCTTTTTATCAGGAAAATTAATTAATGTGCCTCATATTTATCAGAATGGTGTAGAAGAAATAATGCCTGAGGTTTGAACCTCAGTTCTCTAATTTACTAGCTGTTTGAGGTTGGGCAAGTTATTTAACCTCTTTGTGCTTCAATCTCCTCATTTCTCTCTATTTATAAGGTATGGATGATAAATGTCTTTCAGAATTATTGCAAAGTATACATAAAATATGTGTCAAGTGCCCAGCACAGTACTTGGTGCCCTCTCCTGTATCCTATTCACATTCTTTAATGTCTGCACCTCCCTAACAACCCTGGGGGACTTCATATCTAGGGAAATGAAAAGTGGCTTCTCCTCACAAAAAGTCTGGAGACCTTCAGATGGAATCAACCCCATAGGCTATTTATACGACATTTACTTTTCTGCATTAACTCCAGAGAAACCTTCTGACTATGAGTTTAGTACAAATAACCAAATGAAAATTTATACAGTTAGAGCAGAAATAGATTTATGCTAACAGTACTGTTCATTGAATGAAAGTGTTACATTTACTGCAATCTGTGGGGCTACAGATACATGCCACTGAAAATAACTAAAGCACAATGAAAATAGCAATGCCACACTATTCTTAAAGTTCATTCATTTATGTATTGATTTGTTATCTGTTTCTCTAGACAATGTCCTTTGGAATTTCTAGGCTATAGCTGGTATTTTAATCTTAAAATAAAAGGAGAATAGAGACAGGAAAAGGGCAAACGGAGAGTGACTGCTAACAGGCATCAGGTTTCCTTTAGAAGTGATAAAAGTTTTTGGCTGGCAGGAAAGATGGCCGACTAGGAACAGCTCTGGTCTACAGCTCCCAGCGTGAGTGATGCAGAAGATGGGTGATTTCTGCATTTCCATCTGAGGTACAGGGTTCATCTCACTAGGGAGTGCCAGACAGTGGGCGCAGGACAGTGGGTGCAGCGCACCATGCACGAGCCGAAGCAGGGCAAGGCATTGCCTCACTCAGGAAGTGCAAGGGGTCAGGGAGTTCCCTTTCCTAGTCAAAGAAAGGGATGACAGACGGCACCTGGAAAATCGGGTCACTCCCACACTAATACTGCGCTTCTCTGATGGGCTTAAAAAACCGCGCACCAGGAGATTATATCCCACACCTGGCTCAGAGGGTCCTATGCCCACAGAGTCTTGCTGAGTGCTAGCACAGCAGTCTGAGATCAAACTGCAAGATGGCAGCGAGGCTGGGGGAGGGGTGCCCGCCATTGCCCAGGCTTGCTTAGGTAAACAAAGCAGCTGGGAAGCTCAAACTGGGTGGAGCCCATCACAGCTCAAGGAGGCCTGCCTACCTCTGTAGGCTCCACCTCTGGGGGCAGGGCACAGACAAACAAAATGACAGCAGTAAGCTCTGCAGACTTAAATGTCCCTGTCTGGCAGCTTTGAAGAGAGCAGTGGTTCTCCCAGCACGCAGCTGGAGATCTGAGAATGGGCAGACTGCCTCCTCAAATGGGTCCCTGACCCCTGACCCCTGAGCAGCCTAACTGGGAGGCACCCCCCTGTAGGGGCAGATAGACCCCTTACACGGCCGGGTACTCCTCTGAGACAAAACTTCCAGAGGAATGATCAGACAGCAGCATTGGCGGTTCACGAAAATCCGCTGTTCTGCAGCCACCGCTGCTGATACCCAAGCAAACAGGGTCTGGAGTGGACCTCTAGCAAACTCCAACAGACCTGCAGCTGAGGGTCCTGTCTGTTAGAAGGAAAACTAACAAACAGAAAGGACATCCACACCAAAAACCCAGCTGTACATCACCATCATCAAAGACTAAAAGTAGATAAAACCACAAAGATGGGGAAAAAACAGAGCAGAAAAACTGGAAACTCTAAAAATCAGAGTGCCTCTCCTCCTCCAAAGAAACACAGTTCCTCACCAGCAATGGAACAAAGCTGGACAGAGAATGACTTTGACGAGTTGAGAGAAGAAGGCTTCAGACGATCAAACAACTCTGAGCTACAGGAGGAAATTCAAACCAAAGGCAAAGAAGTTAAAAACTTTGAAAAAAATTTAGACGAATGTGTAACTAGAATAACCAATACAGAGAAGTGCTTAAAGGAGCTGATGGAGCTGAAAGCCAAGGCTCAAGAACTACGTGAAGAATGCAGAAGCCTCAGGAGCCGATGCGATCAACTGGAAGAAAGGGTATCAGTGATGGAAGATGAAATGAATGAAATGAAGCGAGAAGGGAAGTTTAGAGAAAAAAGAATAAAAAGAAACGAACAAAGCCTCCAAGAAATATGGGACTATGTGAAAAGACTAAACCTACATCTGATTGGTGTACCTGAAAGTGACGAGGAGAATGGAACCAAGTTGGAAAACACTCTGCAGGATATTATCCAGGAGAACTTCCCCAATCTAGCAAGGGAGGCCAACATTCAGTTTCAGGAAATACAGAGAACGCCACAAAGATACTCCCCGAGAAGAGCAACTCCAAGACAAATAATTGTCAGATTCACCAAAGTTGAAATGAAGGAAAAAATGTTAAGGGCAGCCAGAGAGAAAGGTCAGGTTACCCACAAAGGGAAGCCCATCAGACTAACAGCTGATCTCTTGGCAGAAACTCTACAAGCCAGAAGAGAGTGGAAGCCAATATTCAACATTCTTAAAGAAAAGAATTTTCAACCCAGAATTTCATATCCAGCCAAACTAAGCTTCATAAGTGAAGGAGAAATAAAATACTTTACACACAAGCAAATGCTGAGAGATTTTGTCACTACCAGGCCTGCCCTAAAAGAGCTCCTGAAGGAAGCACTAAACATGGAAAGGAACAACCAGTACCAGCCACTGCAAAATCATGCCAAATTGTAAAGACCATCGAGGCTAGGAAGAAACTGCATCAACTAACGAGCAAAATAACCAGCGAACATCATAATGACAGGATCAAATTCACACATAACAATATTAACTTTAAATGTAAATGGACTAAATGCTCCAATCAAAAGACACAGACTGGCAAATTGGATAAAGAGTCAAGACCCATCAGTGTGCTGTATTCAGGAAACCCATCTCATGTGCAGAGACACACATAGGCTCAAAATAAAAGGATGGAGGAAGATCTACCGAGCAAATGGAAAACAAAAAAAGGCAGGGGTTGCAATCCTAGTCTCTGATAAAACAGACTTTAAACCAACAAAGATCAAAAGAGACAAAGAAGGCCATTACATAATGGTAAAGGGATCAATTCAACAAGAAGAGCTAACTATCCTAAATATATATGGACCCAATACAGGAGCACCCATATTCATAAAGCAAGTCCTGAGTGACCTACAAAGAGACTTAGACTCCCACACAATAATAATGGGAGACTTTAACACCCCACTGTCAACATTAGACAGATCAACGAGACAAAAAGTTAACAAGGATACCCAGGAATTGAACTCAGTTCTGCACCAAGTGGACCTAATAGACATCTACAGAACTCTCCACCCCAAATCAACAGAATATACATTTTTTTCAGCACCAAACCACACCTATTCCAAAATTGACCACATAGTTGGGAGTAAAGCTCTCCTCAGCAAATGTAAAAGAACAGAAATTATAACAAACTGTCTCTCAGACCACAGTGCAATCAAACTAGAACTCAGGATTAAGAAACTCACTCAAAACTGCTCAACTACATGGAAACTGAATAACCTGCTCCTGAATGACTGCTGGGTACATAACAAAATGAAGGCAGAAATAAAAATGTTCTTTGAAACCAACGAGAACAAAGACACAACATACCACAATCTCTGGGACACATTCAAAGCAGTATGTAGAGGGAAATTTATAGCACTAAATGTCCACAAGAGAAAGCAGGAAAGATCCAAAATTGACACCCTAACATCACAATTAAAAGAACTAGAGAAGCAAGAGCAAACACATTCAAAAGCTAGCAGAAGGCAAGAAATAACTAAAATGAGAGCAGAACTGAAGGAAATAGAGACACAAAAAAACCCTTCAAAAATTTAATGAATCCAGGAGCTGGTTTTTTGAAAGGATCAACAAAATTGATAGACTGCTAGCAAGACTAATAAAGAAGAAAAGAGAGAAGAATCAAATAGACGCAATAAAAAATGATAAAGGGGATATCACCACCAATCCCACAGAAATACAAACTACCATCAGAGAATACTACAAACACCTCTACGCAAATAAACTAGAAAATCTAGAAGAAATGGATAAATTCCTTGACATGTACACCCTCCCAAGACTAAACCAGGAAGAAGTTGAATCTCTGAATAGACCAATAACAGGCTCTGAAATTGTGGCAATAATCAATAGCTTACCAACCAAAAAGAGTCCAGGACCAGATGGATTCACAGCCGAATTCTACCAGAGGTACAAGGAGGAACTGGTACCATTCCTTCTGAAATTATTCCAATCAATAGAAAAACAGGGAATCCTCCCTAACTCATTTTATGAGGCCAGCATCATCCTGATACCAAAGCCGGGCAGAGACACAACCAAAAAGGAGAATTTTAGACCAATATCCTTGATGAATATTGATGCAAAAATCCTCAAGAAAATACTGGCAAACTGAATCCAGCAGCACACCAAAGAGCTTATCCACCATGATCAAGTGGGCTTCATCCCTGGGATGCAAGGCTGGTTCAATATATGCAAATCAATAAATGTAATCCAGCATATAAACAGAACCAAAGACAAAAACCACATGATTATCTCAATAGATGCAGAAAAGGCCTTTGACAAAATTCAACAACCCTTCATGCTAAAAACTCTCAATAAATTATGTATCAATGGGATGTATCTCAAAATAATAAGAACTATCTATGACAAACCCATAGCCAATATCATACTGAATGGGCAAAAACTGGAAGCATTCCCTTTGAAAACTGGCACAAGACAGGGATGCCTTCTCTCACCACTCCTATTCAACATAATGTTGGAAGTTCTGGCCAGGGCAATTAGGCAGGAGAAGGAAATAAAGGGTATTCAATTAGGAAAAGAGGAAGTCAAATTGTCCCTGCTTGCAGATGACATGATTGTATATCTAGAAAACCCCATTGTCTCAGCCCAAAATCTCCTTAAGCTGATAAGCAACTTCAGCAAAGTCTCAGGATACAAAATCAATGTACAAAAATCGCAAGCATTCTTATACACCAATAACAGACAAACAGAGAGCCAAATCACGAGTGAACTCCCATTTGCAATTGCTTCAAAGAGAATAAAATACCTAGGAATCCAACTTACAAGGGACGTGAAGGACCTCTTCAAGGAGAACTACTAACCACTGCTCAATAAAATAAAAGAGGATACAAACAAATGGAAGAACATTCCATGCTCACAGGTAGGAAGAATCAATATCGTGAAAATGGCCACATTGCCCAAGGTAATTTATAGATTCAATGCCATCCCCATCAAGCTACCAATGACTTTCTTCACAGAATTGGAAAAACTACTTTAAAGTTCATATGGAACCAAAAAAGAGCCCGCATTGCCAAGTCAATCCTAAGCCAAAAGAACAAAGCTGGAGGCATCATGCTACCTGACTTCAAACTATACTACAAGGCTACAGTAACCAAAACAGCATGGTACTGGTACCAAAACAGAGTTATAGATCAGTGGAACAGAACACAGCCCTCAGAAATAACGCCGCATATCTACAACTATCTGATCTTTGACAAACCTGAGAAAAACAAGCAATGGGGAAAGGATTCCCTATTTAATAAATGGTGCTAGGAAAACTGGCTAGCCATATGTAGAAAGCTGAAACTGGATCCCTTCCTTACACCTTATACAAAAATTAATTCAAGATGGATTAAAGACTTAAACGTTAGACCTAAAACCATAAAAACCCTAGAAGAAAACCTAGGCATTACCATTCAGGACATAGGCATGGGCAAGGACTTCATGTCTAAAACACCAAAAGCAATGGCAACAAAAGCCAAAATTGACAAATGGGATCTAATTAAACTAAAGAGCTTCTGCACAGCAAAAGAAACTACCATCAGAGTGAACAGGCAACCTACAAAATGGGAGAAAATTTTCACAACCTACTCATCTGACAAAGAGCTAATATCCAGAATCTACAATGAACTCAAACAAATTTACAAGAAAAAAACAAACAACCCCATCAAAAAGTGGGCAAACGATATGAGCAGACACTTCTCAAAAGAAGACATTTATGCAGCCAAAAGACACATGAAAAAATGCTCATCATCACTGGCCATCAGAGAAATGCAAATCAAAACCACAATGAGATACCATCTCACACCAGTTAGAATGGCAATCATTAAAAAGTCAGGAAACAACAGGTGCTGGAGAGGATGTGGAGAAATAGGAACACTTTTACACTGTTGGTGGGACTGTAAACTAATTCAAGCCTTGTGGAAGTCAGTGTGGCAATTCCTCAGGGATCTAGAACTAGAAATATCATTTAACCCAGCCATCCCATTACTGGGTATATACCCAAAGGATTATAAATCATGCTGCTATAAAGACACATGCACACGTATGTTTATTGCGGCACTATTCACAATAGCAAAGACTTGGAACCAACCCAAATGTCCAACAATGATAGACTGGATTAAGAAAATGTGGCACATATACACCATGGAATACTATGCAGCCATAAAAAATGATGAGTTCATGTCCTTTGTAGGGACATGGATGTAATTGGAAATCATCATTCTCAGTAAACTATCGCAAGGACAAAAAACCAAACACTGCACGTTCTCACTCATAGGTGGGAATTGAACAATGAGAACACATGGACACAGGAAGGGGAACATCACACTCTGGGGACTGTTGTGGGGTGGGGGGATGGGGGAGGGATAGCATTAGGAGATATACCTAATGCTAAATGACGAGTTAATGGGTTCAGCACACCAGCATGGCACATGTATACATATGTAACTAACCTGCACATTGTGCACATGTACCCTAAAACTTAAAGTATAATAATAATAATAATAATAATAAAAAGAAGTGATAAAAATGTTTTGGAATTATATAGTGGTGATAGCTGCACAACTTCATGAATATACTAAATATATTTTTAAAACGGTGCATTTCATATGTAAATTATATCTCAGTTTAAAAAAACAATTAAAAGAAGAATAATTTCAGTTGTGTGATCAGTATAAAATATAACCAATAAAAAATAGGAGTGTTACTGCTGAAACAACATGCAATAAATTAATTGTAAAGAAAGCTGTCAACTTCTAGATACCCAAGTATGAGCTAGTTTCTTTGTGGGTGTATTGCAAATTATTTACCGTAAAAATTCTGCTTTCCCGTTGTACATTTTACAAATCCTTATTGAAAACCACGAATTCAAATATCTGTAGGGTAAATATCTAAAAGCTCAAGCACTCTCATAATTCCTAGTGATAAACTTCCTGTTTTCATTTCCTTGGAGTAAAAACCTCAAGATCCACCCAGAACACCACCCCAAACTTCCTGTCATCTTGTTCTATCTTCTTTTTTTTTCAAATTTTATTATTATTATACTTTAAGTTTCAGGATACATGTGCACAACGTTGTTTTGCAGCTCAAAAGCAAAAATATCCAAAATTGTACAACTCTTTTTTGTTTTTGTATCCTTTTAGGAGCTTGAAAAGTGGTTGGGGTAAATGACTCCCTTAAACAAAGCTAAATAACCATTTGCTCTGAATTGATGGTCAGTTTTGGAGAGATGATTATTTTGCCTCTTTCCCTGTCTCTTTGGTGAGGGATTGTTCTCTCTAATCTCCAGCTTTGAGAATTTGTCCAATCAATCAAAGCAGATCTTGAATTACTTCTAGGCCACCTGGACAGGGACTTAATTATAGCTTCATCAATAATAGTAATATTTCAAATAATGTATCAACAGAATGGGGTGACTACCAGAAAAACAGGGTTCAGAGAGGCAAAACTGTTGAGAGAATGACTTGGAGGGCTCATCAATCTGGCAACCCGAGTGATAATCCCTGACAGAAATTTCCCGAAACTAAAGCAAAATAGGTTCCCAGTTACCAGCTTTCCTGATCTGATTGCAAAGTTACCAAGCCAGATTTACCTTGTTTCCTAATATTGGGATGGAGATGAAGAGGGTGCTTCAGATAAGGAACGCAATCTTTGTGGTCACTGGAAAGTAGTATATCTCTATTGCAAAGTAATAAATTAACAATCAAAGTACTATATCAGTTTTGAGATAATTTGATTGACATGAGCCATCACTGAGAGCCTGGGTATTCTGAGAAAGTTCAATATCTAGACCTAAAGCTCAAGGACCAAACTCTAGCTTAACAATTTGTTGATCCACTGCCCTATGAGAGTTCTAACCTGACAACATCTCCCCAAAACATCCCCCCAAAACATCCCCATCGCCTAAGAGTGGTGTTTAAATATTTCCAAGACAGCTTGTTGGTTTGGCCAATTTAGTCAATTGGCAATTTTGGATAATTTAGTCAAGCTATTTAATTTAGTCATATCAGTGGGAGAAATGTCAAATCATTTAGCTGATATTTGGAATGTAAACAAAAATATAGATAATTTTCATTTAAAATTTTTTTCCACCAGTTGGGTTATATAGCATTTGAGGATAGAACTAGGGTGCCTTTTGCAAGATTCTAGTCTGAACATGGTGCTCAGGCCTGAAGCTGTCTTTGGGGCAAAGGGAAATTAGAACTCTCCCTTCTCCTTATGTTCTTGGGACCAGATTCAGCTGGAAGCAGCTGGTCTCAAGAATGTACTGAGTCTGACATCCATTCATCTCACTACATCAGTTTCACCTTAACTTACTTAATAGTCCTCTGTGTCACTTTTCATGTGATGCGTAGACAAAGAGGTAGTTTGATGAAAATAATCACTCATGTTGGGCATTTCACTGAATTTTAAGCTGGTTTCTACAAAATGGCCAATCTGATTGTTATTTCTGAATAAAAGACCTTATTTTTTTTTCCATTTGCTTTAATTGTGACATTTCACAGACAGGCACAAAAATAATATGCAAAGATTCATCAATAATGGGCAATCTTCTTAACTACCCTCCTTTTAGAGACCCCCAGGTTAGGAAAAGTCCAGTGACAATTAAAGCAAGGCTACTCTATGGGTAAGTGAATTAAAGAAAAGTTGGTATAAAGTATGTACGTGGGTACATGGGTATGAATGGTGTGTGTGTGTGTGTGTGTGTGTGTGTTGAAGTTGAGAGAAGTGGCAATGATATTGGCACTCAGTGTGGTGGCTGGGGTTGGGGAAAGTTAAAATGACTCTGAGAGACCTAGATTAAAAAGGAAGACCCATATATATTAAAATCATTCCGTAATCTGTACCTCTAATCTTTACCTCTATAACCAGGGCACTATGTCTAGAATTTTTACGCATTTTTGCATTTATGTATTTCTTTTCTCCTTTGAAGTTTCATCTGTGTGTGTGGGTGGAGGTGAGGCGGCAAATAAAATTTGTTCTGAACTCTGTAACCTTCTAGCAGAGGAAGAATTTCTCTCAAGAACATTTACTTTTTTAGCTTAGTCCTTTAAAATTTACTGTTAAGTAATCTCACAATAAACAACAGGTATTCATTAGAAAAAAATTAATTTAATGTGATTTACTATTTAATTCTGCTAGCTCAGCTACACTTGTCCTGCAGAGCTGCATAATTTATTCAAATGGCCTGAAACTTTTTAAGTAAGTCTACCAGCAGAAAAATTATTCCCTACTCCCAGGAGAATGAACTTTTTGTGTTGTACTGCTTCCCAGGACTGACACTTATTTGACTCTCAAGTGTATTTACATTGTTGGCTTAACTGGGAGTTCTTTGCTGAATCAATAATATACAGTATTTCTTCAAGTGGTGTCAATATTATTGCTATTCTTTTTATAAACTTTTTGTTAATTCTCTGCAGTTACAAAATTTTTCTTTGACTTGTGAAAAAAATTACTCCTAAGATTATGAAGACGCAGAGTAAATGGCCCTTTAATCTTCTGGGAAATATGTACCTCTTTAAACTTTATTTATGTCAGAACTTACTGTAATGAAGGACAAAAGCTCTAGACAAGGTCCCCTGTTCCTTGTGGGTGTTCAAGGCTAGGTCTTCCGGAGACAAGCCTGTAGTTTGTTCTCATAATTTTATAGCTCACCTCCTGGCTGTTTCTTTGCAAGGGGCCTAAGAGGGTACAAGAAAAAGAGCAGGGTGAGAATCTGACCCATTGTGACCACTCGGGAGGCCCTGGCCTGGAAACTTCCCCTTTATGTGGCAAAAACAAACATTTGAAATGGAGGGAGAAACCAGGTTTAAACAATGAGTGAAAACAGTTTCCATCTCAGCTTTCCTGCTGATAAACATATGTGCCCCCTCATTTGTTTCTGAAACATAAGTTTTCCATCATTTTAACAGAGCCTCAGCCTCAACTGAATCTGTCCAGAGCATAGGAAACAAATATTTTGAGATTTAGTAAAATGGTGCATACATATATTAGGGGCATTTTGACAATGTTCAAACTGTTTACCAAACAAACTTTATGATGGCCTATGCAAACCTTTGAATCCTACTGTATTTTTCACATAACGATGACTTCTCACTGATCTCATCTGCCTGTGTGCTACAGTATTGACTTTAATATTAATGGAGAAACAGACAGATATCAAAAGCCATGTGATTTGTCTCATGCCATTTGCAATTTTGTCTTCTGTCATCAACACTGACTTCTCCTTCCTTGTTCTGCTGAACTCCATACTTAGGTGCCCAGCTACTTCCTCAGAGCCTGCCCTCATTCTTTACCTGTGGCCTGCAGCATGGACAGGTGCATTCTTGCTGCTTATCTGAAAAATATGATCCACAGAAATAACTTGAATCTTTTTGCCCATTTAAAATGTGCTCTAGGTTCTCTGGTTCTCTGTACTAACTATAGAAAGCCATCTAGTCACAAGTTTCTCCTTCCTGTGGTCTCCATTTGGGCAATACAATTAAGAAAAATACGTTTCCCCACATAACAATTCTTCCAATTCTTTTCCCCTTCTTTGATGCTTTTATGATAGATTATGAATGGTCATCAGTGATTTTCTGTAAATGCCACGTTTCCTTTTTGCCAAGACAAAGAGTGAGACTAAGGGACCATCTAGTGCTTCCTCTTGTGGTATAGAGGCTAAACAGCGTGAGTTCTGATATTAGTTTCCTTTGATTTAAATGCAAGTGTCTTCATTTAATAGCTGTATGATCTCAGAAAAGTTATTAAACTCTATGAGTCCTAGTTTCCTGATTTGTAAAGTGGGGGCTAATATGAATAGCTTGTAATAGCACCTACCATATGCTAGGCATGATTTTAGGCACTTTAAACATATTAGCTCATTTAATTTTCCATTAGCTTATTTAAAATTCCTACTCTACGATGTAGGTAATTTATATCATTCTCCTTTCTCAGATGAGAAACTGAGACATGAAGAAGTAAAGTAACTTGGCCAAGGTCAGAATTAGTAAGTGGTAGAGCTGGGTTTGTAAAGCCAGGTAGTTGGATCCCAGAGGCTATTTACTAACCAGTGTGCTATATTGCCTCTCTATTAAATTATTGATGATAAATAACTCATCACAGTGTTCGGCACATAACATTTATTGTCAGCTAGTATTATCACTACCATCACCTGTTCTTATCTTTCTTCATTTTGTCACTCTTGCTTCTGCTGGATTGGTTGTGTAGTTTATTGCCCCCACTGCCACAAGAGACAGCAGCAACAGTGATCTAGGTTGAAATAGCTAGCGAATCCCTCTTCACTTTATGTGCTTTGTATTTAAACCACAAATATGACAGAGACCTATGAAAGGAGACTAAACCTCTTTTTGGTCGTGTAAAAATTATATTCCTGCAATCTCCAACCCTCCAGCAACAAGCCAACAAAAACTGCGCAAAGCAAGGGAGAAATTTTAGAAGTGGTAGACTTCAAGTAAAATTCCTACCATTCTTTAATAAACAGGGGTAAAAATTTCAGAAAGTAATGAAGGTTGTGAAAGCTGATGAACAAAGACTTTGCTACTATAATAAATTTCCTAGTCTCTACTCACTAATTTCTATTAGAATGCCAATATCAGGAAAAAAGGAAGAGAAAATTCTGTAAATAATTACTATATTTTTCTCCTACCAAGTAAGCCACTGACTTCAAAATTCTCTAGCACATTTGTGGAAACTTCATTTTTTTTGTTTGAGATTTATTTGAATGAGCTGTTATGATTGGAGACAGTGAGAATTTCAGATTAATGTTTTGCAGACAAAAAAAAACCTCTCTGGAAAGCTGGCAAGGGTTCATAAGTCAGCCCTAGAATTATGTAGGTTGAAGGCTCCCAGTGGACAGACCAAACATATAAGAAGGAAACCAGAGATCTGGTGCTATTACGTCCCAGCGTCTGAGAGAACGAGTAAGCACAGAATTCAAAGCATTCTGCAGCCTGAATTTTGAAGGTAAGTATGAACAATTTATATATAATTTACTTGGAAAGTAGAACATACATTAAATGAAAATATTTTTTATGGATGAACTTCTGTTTTTCCTGTGTTTTAACACTGTATTTTGCAAAACTCCTGAATTATTTAGCTGCTGTTTCTCTTACAGGAGTGTGTTTAGGCACTAAGCAAGCTGATTTATGATAACTGCTTTAAACTTCAACAACCAGTAAGTCTTCAAGTGGAATTTATTATTGATTCTTTTATGTTAATTTGTTAGGTCAAAAGAAAAATCTTTAGAGCAAAATAAAAGTTTTGCTCTTTATTAGGAGGTTCTTTAGATATTACACTTTTAATTGGGTAGCTTATTTGCATGTATTTTGAAACTATCTAAAGTAAATAGTGTTTCCTTTGTATGCTTATCTTTAGCTAATGTGTTTTTTTTTTTGGTTTTAAAATAATGCTTCTAGTGAAAAAAATCACAAAAACCTCAACACTGTAACGTTTGAGAGCAACGGCTATTCAGTTCGGTTAAACCGAAAAGAGAGAAAAAGAAAAATGATAAGACTATATCATGATTAATCATTGATGTTCATTTCTCATTTCACTGAGCAATCTAAACTACTTCTACTTGAACCTAACATAGGTTTGGCTGTTTTTTTCTTTATCTGATTTAATTGAAAATGGATTGTTTAGATATTAAATAGACCAAAATTAGATATCTATATCTAAAACTAATATTCTCTATTAAAAGGAGAAGACTTAGAAATATAAATATATTTCATAACTTCTTCTTAACTATATTATTATTGTGAAAACAATAGAAAAGTAAAACTAAAGGAATTATTTTTAATTATTAAAGACAAACCATGATTCCCCATCACAATATGTTCCTTTGGCATATTCTCTTTTAGTTTTTTATATACTTATTTTTTCCATTGCTTATGTTACTTATATTTTCCACAGCTGTAGTGATTTGTATGTAATTAGTTACTTAAATAGAGCATTTCTCTATGCAATAGCAAGCAGCAGTGTGGTTTCTAGAAAGTATACAAACAGAGATATATGCTCAAGTGTTTTTTGAAAGATTAACTTTTCTTACCTCTGGGTTTCTTATTTGTTTCACACATTTCCTGCCCTGACTAATCTTTTGAAATATTAATTTTCTTTAAATCTTTCAAAAACATCATAGAAAAGATGGGCAAAAGGTAGTTTTATTCAGAACTTTGAATCTCTGAAATGTCTTTTTTCTACTATCAGGAAAATTATTTCTCCTTTTTCAAGAGGTAAAATGAATTCTTGTTTTACAAGCCATGGCTCTGTTTCTTAATGTTTTCTATAATCACTCACTTTTTTTTTGCTTTTGACAAACATTCAAAATGCTAATGATTCAAGGATGTCCTCAGCTCTGTATGTGTTCTAAGAGTTCTATGTTTTTTCTCCACAGAAGGCATAAGAACTAGGAGCTGCTGACATTTCAATATGAAGGGCAACTCCACCCTTGCCACTACTAGCAAAAACATTACCAGCGGTCTTCACTTCGGGCTTGTGAACATCTCTGGCAACAATGAGTCTACCTTGAACTGTTCACAGAAACCATCAGATAAGCATTTAGATGCAATTCCTATTCTTTACTACATTATATTTGTAATTGGATTTCTGGTCAATATTGTCGTGGTTACACTGTTTTGTTGTCAAAAGGGTCCTAAAAAGGTTTCTAGCATATACATCTTCAACCTCGCTGTGGCTGATTTACTCCTTTTGGCTACTCTTCCTCTATGGGCAACCTATTATTCTTATAGATATGACTGGCTCTTTGGACCTGTGATGTGCAAAGTTTTTGGTTCTTTTCTTACCCTGAACATGTTTGCAAGCATTTTTTTTATCACCTGCATGAGTGTTGATAGGTACCAATCTGTCATCTACCCCTTTCTGTCTCAAAGAAGAAATCCCTGGCAAGCATCTTATATAGTTCCCCTTGTTTGGTGTATGGCCTGTTTGTCCTCATTGCCAACATTTTATTTTCGAGACGTCAGAACCATTGAATACTTAGGAGTGAATGCTTGCATTATGGCTTTCCCACCTGAGAAATATGCCCAATGGTCAGCTGGGATTGCCTTAATGAAAAATATCCTTGGTTTTATTATCCCTTTAATATTCATAGCAACATGCTATTTTGGAATTAGAAAACACTTACTGAAGACGAATAGCTATGGGAAGAACAGGATAACCCGTGACCAAGTCCTGAAGATGGCAGCTGCTGTTGTTCTGGCCTTCATCATTTGCTGGCTTCCCTTCCATGTTCTGACCTTCCTGGATGCTCTGGCCTGGATGGGTGTCATTAATAGCTGCGAAGTTATAGCAGTCATTGACCTGGCACTTCCTTTTGCCATCCTCTTGGGATTCACCAACAGCTGCGTTAATCCGTTTCTGTATTGTTTTGTTGGAAACCGGTTCCAACAGAAGCTCCGCAGTGTGTTTAGGGTTCCAATTACTTGGCTCCAAGGGAAAAGAGAGAGTATGTCTTGCCGGAAAAGCAGTTCTCTTAGAGAAATGGAGACCTTTGTGTCTTAAACGTGAGAGCAAAATGCATGTAATCAACATGGCTACTTGCTTTGAGGCTCACCAGAATTATTTTTAAGTGGTTTTAATAAAATAATAAAATTTCCCCTAATCTTTTCTGAATCTTCTGAAACCAAATGTAACTATGTTTTATCGTCCAGTGACTTTCAGGAATTGCCCATTGTTTTTCTGATATGTTTGTACAAGATTGTCATTAGTGAGACATATTTACAACCTAGAAGTAACTGGTGATATATCTCAAATTGTAATTAATAATAGATTGTGAATAATGATTTGGGGATTCAGATTTCTCTTTGAAACATGCTTGTGTTTCTTAGTGGGGTTTTATATCCATTTTTATCAGGATTTCCTCTTGAACCAGAACCAGTCTTTCAACTCATTGCATCATTTACAAGACAACATTGTAAGAGAGATGAGCACTTCTAAGTTGAGTATATTATAATAGATTAGTACTGGATTATTCAGGCTTTAGGCATATGCTTCTTTAAAAAAGCTATAAATTATATTCCTCTTGCATTTCACTTGAGTGGAGGTTTATAGTTAATCTATAACTACATATTGAATAGGGCTAGGAATATAGATTAAATCATACTCCTATGCTTTAGCTTATTTTTACAGTTATAGAAAGCAAGATGTACTATAACATAGAATTGCAATCTATAATATTTGTGTGTTCACTAAACTCTGAATAAGCACTTTTTAAAAAACTTTCTACTCATTTTAATGATTGTTTAAAGGTTTCTATTTTCTCTGATACTTTTTTGAAATCAGTAAACACTGTGTATTGTTGTAAAATGTAAAGGTCACTTTTCACATCCTTGACTTTTTAGATGTGCTGCTTTGATATATAGGACATTGATTTGATTTTTATTATTAATGCTTTGGTTCTGGGTTGTTTCCTAAAATATCTGGGTGGCTTAAAAAAAACTCTTTAACTTGTAATAAACCCTTAACTGGCATAGGAAATGGTATCCAGAATGGAATTTTGCTACATGGGGTCTGGGTGGGGGCAAAGAGACCCAGTCAATTACATGTTTGGTACCAAGAAAGGAACCTGTCAGGGCAGTACAATGTGACTTTGAAAATATATACCGTGGGGGTAGTTTTACCCTATATCTATAAACACTGTTTGTTCCAGAATCTGTATGATTCTATGGAGCTATTTTAAACCAATTGCAGGTCTAGATACCTCCTTCTCAGCACTATTAAAGCTCCTAAGTTAGAGGAGTGCCTAAAACTGAGTTACCTAAAGTTTACTTACATTAAAGTATGAATATTAATTTTAGAAATTTGAGACTTTATTCTGTACCAGCCCTGTATAATAACAGGTTATCTAGGACCTTCCTCTGAGGTAGGTCTAAATACTGATCTCTGAGGCGGAACTAACGTTTTGGGGACTCAGCATCTCTGCCAGGTTCCAGGATTATAGACAGAAGAGTCCTGTCATACCACTTTCTGGAAAAGTCCTAATTTCATGTAATCCTTTTATTTTCAATAAAAACAAATAGCTAAATGTATAACCAACTATGATGTTATGTTTTCAATAATTTTGTAAAACAGCTCATATAAATAAAATTTTTAATTGGAAGAACATTCGTGCTTTTAAAAATTTTTTTTAACTACTTCTAAGTATATATTCTACTTCTAAGTATTCTTACCTTCTCTTGTATCTGTATCCTCCATTTTATCTCCACTGATACTACTTAGTTTCAGCTCCGATTATTACTCACCTGGCCTCTTGCTATACTGTTCAAGTCTTCCTCTCTTGAGTATTGAGCCATAATTTCCCATTAGCTATGAAAGCAAAATCCAACTTTCTTCGAGTCTGCAAGACCTTGGGAGATGTGACTCTTCCTAGTCTTTCTGGACTTTTTCTCTCTGTCACACCTCTTCAAACCCTGTGTTTAAGCATCAAAAAATGACTTAATGCTTTTTAAAGCCTAATGCCCTTTCGTGCCTCTCTGCTGTTGTTCACACAGCTCCATCTTACTAAACACCCCTCCAATCATTCTCACCTCCTCAGGGCCTCACATTCAAGTGATGAAAATCTGCTCAACTTTCGACATTCAGCTCATGCTATTTCCTCTACCATAATAATAATTATTATACTAATTATAATACTACACCCCTAGAATTTCCTTTAATGAACAGAATTGCTTCTCTAGTTTTTGGGATGTTAAGCCTGATGTCTGCTTTTATAGAAGCCCAATGTTGAACCCTGAGTAGTAGCCTCCAAGTGGTTTTTCTTGGGACTAAGAAGAAATGCCAGTTGAGAGGATGGTACAAGAATGTGTGAACTCTTGCTTTAGGAATGTATGTACAAAAGTGTACTTGTCCGCTTTTCTCTTTGAAAATGCAAATTTCAGGTAAGCTTCTCAGATAACAAATGAAAATGTTTTTATTCTCATTCGGCCACTTTTCAAGGTATTATGTAATATCCTTTCTTTTTCATGACCCCACCTTTTCTCAAGTCACCCAACACAATGCCTGGGAAGTACATAACATAACAACAGGTATTATTAGATGAGCATTATGTGCTAAGCAATATTAAATATGCATTGTTCCATTTTATTCTAAAAATTACTCAATGATTATTATTTTACAAATAAGGAAACTGAGGCACAGATGATTCCTGACTAATCTTTAAATTTGGCTCTGACAGATGAATCAGGTAGTATCAATTATGTGATTTAGTACTTCAAATATAAATCCTAGGCCACCAAGCAGGTATTTCAGACAGTCTTACACACTCCTTCAACCTTCACCTTAAAGTTAGTACTTCAGTATCCATAACCTTGGTAATACAAGTGCTTCTGTAGGAAAAGATAGGAGGCAGACTGATGAGGCTTTCTCCCTTTTTCTTCACTGCCCTTTCTTTGTACTCCATACTGTATGGAACTACATAAAGTCACCACTATCCCCTGCTGCCCCCTCTACCCTGTACACAAAGCAAGACAGATATCTTAAATGTTTCCTTTAAGGAACAAACATGTTGATATGAACTTTAGCTCTTTGAAATGAGATTATATAGGGTTACCAGAGAAACTCATCTCTTGCATCTTGCAGAAGTAATGTGTATTTTTATTATGGAAAAGTAAATATTAATTATTTCCACATTTTATAGCCCTAAATCAGACCTACTAAATAGATTATTTTGCAAAATATCCTTTCTTCTGATTCTTTGAGGCATGCATCAAAATCAGAAGAAAATCTGAAAGTAAGCAAATTCTGTTTTGACTTTTTTTCTCTTTTGTTCCCCCACAGGAATCTGAGGATGGGAAACTGTCTGGTGTCCTCACATATCAACAAGAGAAAACTCCAAACTTGACAAGATGAGTTAACACATGAGATGTCTCAAGCAAGAAAGGGTTGAGGGTTGACGCAATAAGGATAATAGAACACTTATTTTGTTAATTCTCACATAAACTATAACAGCAGTGATAATTTATACAAAATAACAGAAATTCATAAATTATCACTAAAAATAATTATTTCACCTGCAGAAGACCAGTGGCCCAGAGATTAGTTAGCTCACTCCATACACACACCTACAAAGGGTTAGCACCCTCAAAAATAAATTCTTTCTTTTTGAACATTTTTTGGAATAAGATAATTCTTTCTAAATTTAAAAATAACTGATATATATTTCTTATTATAGAATCAATACTTATTCTTGAAAAATTTAACTATAGGGACAAAAATTAGCTACAGAGACGATCACCACTAATAGCATGGGGTAAAATTATTATATATACATACACACACCCACACAGAGTACATATAAATGGATAGATACAATTTATTTTTATCTCTATATCTTTATTCCTATTTCTTTCTCTTTTTTGTTTATTATCTATCAGATATGTTCCTTATCACTGTGTTGTACATTTATTTAAATATTTAAAATATTTTGACCCTAAACTCCCATCTGGTGTACTAGACATTTTTCTTTCTTTACTCATTTGGTCCTCCTTTCCTATGATAAGCCCCAAATCCCGAGAGCTTTAAGCAGTCCAAGAGATCACACCTGGTTATAATTTTCCAGTGAAAGAAAGTACTGGAAATTCTGATAAGTCTGCTAGCCCATTCTCTGCAACTGTTGTTGCTACATTATTTATCAGTTGGTCTGCATAAGAACAGATGTCTGAGTAGTCTCATGCAGACTTCTGTCCACTTAAGTAGTTTTGAAGTGATGTATGCACAAGCCACCTGATAACGATATAAGAGGGGAAAAAAGGAGGGCTCTTCCCTTTCTCCAGTGCTACACTCACCTATATCTGATGTGTGTCAAAGTAGACCTGGGCTCAAACACGTATTTCTGTTTTGCCACCTCCATGGAGCCAGGAGCGATCAGCAGAAACCCAGCTAGCGGAACATGCCATACAAGGAACCAGTCTTTTCTTTCCTCAAGTAAACATCTCCTGTGCAGCTGGAGTCACATTTCAAAATTTTCCTCAATAAAAAGGAGTATCCCTGATTGGGAGAGGAAGTGGGTAGTTGAGCTGTTGTTGCTTCTCCATGACATCAGTAGAGGCCATGTTAGTGCATAAGATATACTGAAATAACTTTGAACTTCTTTTTAAAAAGGAGTCTAATTCTTAATTCCTTTCCTCTCCAAAAGGAAACCTAAGTTCAACACACCAGTGTGTACAGAACACAGTTGGCACAAACCCATTTGCCTGAAAAATTGGAACCATCAAACTGTTGCCAAGCCCTGATATTTCCAGCTATAGCCTTCCTTCACCTATTTACATTCATATAACAAAAATGTACATGGAAGTGATTACAAAAAATTACAAAAAATCTTCTACTCCAACTATTTGTGATGTCCTAACAGCTTGAAACATTTGTGAATAACAGATTTGAAATGACACTTTTTCTATCTCCTAGAAAAAAGCAAAAGTATGCCTCATTGTATATGCTGTTATCTATTCTTATGGACTGAATTGCAACCTTCCCTCACACCAAAAATTCATATATTGAATTCCCAACCCCCAATGTAATGATATTTGGAATCTTTTTGGAGGTAATTAAGGTTAAAGGAAGTCATAAAGGTGAAGTCTTAATTTGATAGGACAGTAGTCTTGTAAGAAAAAAAGATACCTCTGTCTCTCTCTTCACACACTCACAATAAGAAAAGGCTATGTGAGTATATAGCAAGAAGGAAGCCATCTGGAAGACAGAAAGAGAACCCTCCAACATGCTGGCATACTAATTTTAAACTTTCAGCCTCCAAAACTGTGAGAAAATACATTCTGTTGTTTAAGTGACTCAGTCTATGGTATTTTGTTATAGCACCCTGATATGGTTTGGCTCTGTGTCCCCACCCAAATCTCATCTTGAATTGTACTCCCATAATTCCCTTGTGTTGTGGAAGGGACCAGGTGGGAGATAATTGAATTAGGGGGGCGGTTTTCCTCATACTGTTCTTGATATCTGATGGTTTGACAAGGATTTCCTCTTTTGCTTGGCTCTCATTCTCTCTTGCCGCCATCATGTAAGAAGTGCATTTCACTTTCTGCCATGATTGTGAGGCCTCCCCAGTCACATGCAACTGTAAGTCCATTAAACCTATGTTTCTTCTTAGCTTGGGTATGTCTTTATCAGCAGCATGAAAATGGACTAATACAGTAAATTGGTACCAGTAGAGTAGGGCACTGCTGAAAAAAATACCCAAAAGTGGAAGTGACTTCAAAACTGGGTAACAGGCAGAGGTTGGAAGAGTTTGCAGGGCTCAGAAAAAGGCAGGAAAATGTGGGAAAGTTGGAACTTCCTAGAGACTTGTTGAATGGCTTTGACAAAAATGCTGATAGTGATATGAACAATAAGGTCCAGGCTAAGGTGGTCTCAGATGGAAATGAAGAACTTGTTGGGAACTGGAGCAAAGGTGACTCTTGTTGTGTTTTAGCAAAGAGGCTGGCAGAATTTTGCCTCTGCCCTAGAGATTTGTGAAACTTTGAACTTGAGAGAGATGATTTAGGTTATCTGGCAGAAAAAATTTCTAAGCAGCAAAGCATTCAAGAGGTGATGTGGGTGCTGTTAAAGACATTTGGTTTTATAAGGGAAGCAGAACATAAAAGTTCTGAAAATTTGCAGCCTGACAATGTGATAAAAATAAAATCCCATTTTCTGAGGAGAAACTCAAGCCTGCTGCAGAAATCTGCATAAGTAACAAGGGGCTGAATATTAATCCCCAAGGCAATGGAAAAAATGTCTCCAGGGCATGTCAGAGGTCTTCATGGCAGCACTCCCATCACAGGCCCGGAGGCCTAGGATGGAAAAATGGTTAAGAGGGCTAGGCCTTGGGTCCCTGTGCTGAGTGCAGTCTAGGGACTTTGTGCCCTGCATCCCAGCCTCTCCAGTCATGACTAAAAGGGGCCAAGGTACAGCTCAGACCATGGCTTCAGAAGGTGCAATCCCCAAGCCTTAGCAGCTTCCACATGGTATCAAGCCTGTGAGTGCACATAAGTCAAGAACCGGGGTTTTGTAACCTCCGCCTAGATTTCAAAAGATGTATTGAAGCACCTGGATGCCCAGGAAGAAGTTTGCTGTAGGGGTGGGTCCTTCACGGACAACCTCCACTAGGGCAGTGTGGAAGGGAAATGTGGGGTCAGAGCCCCCACAGAGAGCACCTACTAGGGCACTGCCTACTGGAGCTGTGAGAAGAGGGCCACCGTCCTCCAGACCCCAGAATGATAAGTCCACTGACAGCTTGAACCATGCTCCTAGAAAAGCCACAGACATTCAATGACAGCCCATGAAGGCAGCTGGGAGGGAGACTGTACCCTGCAAAGCCACAGTGGGGAGCTTCACAAGACCATGGGAACCCACCCCTTGCATCAGCGTGACCTGGATGTGAGACATGGGGTCAAAGGAGATCATTTTGGAGCTTTACGATTTGACTGCTCCACTGGATTTTGGACTTGCATAGGGATGGTAGCCCCTTTGTTTTGGCCAATTTCTCCCATTTGTAATGACCGTCTTTACCTATTCCTGTACCCCCATTGTATCTAGGAAGTAAATAACTTGCTTTTGATTTTACAGGCTCATAGGTGGAAGGAACTTGCCTTGTCTCTGATAAGACTTTGGATTGTGGACTTTTGAATTAATGCTGAAATGAGTTAAGACTTCAGGGGAATGTTGGCAAGGCATGATTGGTTTTGAAATGTGAGGACATGAGATTTGACAGGGGCCAGGGGCAGAATGATATGGTTTGGCTCTGTGTTCCCACCCAAATCTCATTTTGAATTGTACTTTCATAATTCCCACGTGTTGTGGGAGGGATCTGGTGGGAGATAATTGAATCATGGAGGCAGTTTTCCCCACACTGTTCTCATGGTAGTGAATAAGGCTCACGAGATCTGATGGTTTAATTAGAGGTTTCCCCTTTTGCTTGGCTCTCATTCTCTCTTGCCACTGCCATGTAAGAAGTGCCTTTCACCTTCCACCATGATTGTGAGGCCTCCCCAGTCATGTGCAACTATAAGTCCATTAAACCTATCTTCCCTGTCTTTATTGTTATAATATTATAATAATGTCTTTATTAGCAGAGTGAAAATGGACTAGTACATAGCCCAAGCATATTAAGAAACATTTTGATACCGAGTGTGGTACTAGAAAACATAATTTTAAGGGTGAGTTTTCTGGATTGGTTCTGGAGTTTCTGAAGTTGGTTCTCTAATCTGATTACATTTAAAGGTGTTAATGATTATTTCCAGTGGTAAAGAGAGCACTGATAATGCACGATGGGAACTACCAATGGAGACATACAGAATATCACCAATAAAGTGGGTTATTTTTTCTGAGATAGCTGCCTAGGAGTACTTCACACATGCCTCATCCACTTGAAGGAATCAGCATAGTGTGTAGGAAGTCACATTTTGAGTGAATTTTTCAAGAGAGCACATGAGAGTTCAATGGAAATGCAAGGAGAAACTCAAAAATGAGGAGAGGTGAAGGAGGATAGTCAGCTTGTGTAGCTGAGACCAGCCAGAATGTGGAAGTAAATCCCCAGTATAGAAGAGAGTAAGTAAATGTCTTTCTGTGGTCTACCTTATCACAGGGGAAATCATATAATCTAGTCCTTGGGAGTGCACCTTGATCCTCCCAAGCCCTGAATCTGAATTGGAGAATGGCCAGGAGGCTATGAGAAGGAACTGCTCCAGGGAGGTTACACATTCCGTGTCCCATATTCTCCTTAAGTGGCTACAATAAAATGTTACTATCAATCCTAGTTTTTAACAATCTGGGCATGCTCCAGGGAAGAGGGGCCCCAGTCCTGAACATTAAGGAAACTTGGGCCCCTGCAACCAGGACTGAAAAGCCAGCTTAGAGAGGGCTTCAGCTGCCAGTGCTGGAGCCAGACAACACCCCTGGGTCCTGAGCAGGACAAGAGTTGCTGCAAAGGCTAGGTTCTGAGCTGGATGGCTGCTTCTATGGCCCAGGGCTGAGTTATAAGCTAGGTGTGAACTACCTACATTGACTGAACTACAGTGTGGGCTATGAGAGCCAGGACAGGGCAGGGAGCCCCACCTGGACTGGGGTGTGGAGGAGATATGGGTTCTACACTCACTGGCCAAGGCTTCAACTGCAAGGACCAGTGGCTCAACCTGCCTCCCACAACTTTGACAGGGTTAGGGTTACCCCTAACCCAAGCATTTCACTAGGGATCTGAGGACTTTCCTACCATCTCCGTCATAGCTGGAGTATGCAATCACCATTTGTTGGGGCTTGGGAAGCTGAGCACAGGTTTTCCTGGTCCAGCTCCAGCCGGCTTTTCCCCATCTACTGAGACAGGATGCAAAATCCAGGCTTCTGGAGGTTCCACACTCCAGCCCACTGCCTGGGGCACCTAAGCACTTTATCCAGGTCAGAGGTTGAGTATAAATATATTGCTGCTACCACCTCAGCTGGCCTGTACCTGCAAGCACCATCTACTGGCTTAGAGGCTGGCCCACACAGCCCATTGCAAACACTCCCAACACAAAAGCACAGCAGTTGAGAACTGGGAAAGCATCGCACTACAACTGCTACTGCCATTAACCACATTGTCCTGGATGCCCAAGAGCTTAAGAGCCCACTTACCTACCTGGTACACTGCTACTACAACTGACATCTGAGAAAGCCACCCAAAGGAACAAGAATTTCCCTGTCTGGAACCAACAGAATTGTCACTATATTCTGTACCAGATCCCAAGGATACACATGCTTAGCTTACTATTACTACCACTGAAACTTGCAAAAGAACCCATCAAGCATTCCATTCCCCAGCACAAATTCATCAGTTTCTATCAATAACCTCACAATGCCACACAGAGGAATAGACAGATACTACTAAGGCTGTTTATAGCCAATGAAATCATACACAGTCTTCACCATTACATGGACCCAGAAGCAAAGCCAAATGGCCCTACCCTACCAACATCATAGCCACATCATCAAGAAAAAGTTTCCCTCAAACAAAAGAAAATAAGAAGAAGTTACTGTTGTTTCATATGTGCAGAAATCAATGTAAAGACACAGGAAACAAAAAAGCAAAGTAATATGACACCTTCAGAAGAAAACAATAATTCTCCAGTAATAGATCCTTACCAAAAAGAAATCATCAAAATTTCAGGTATAAAATTCAAACTATTAATTTTAAAGAAGCTCAATGAGATGCAAGAGAAACCTGAAAACCAATAAAAATAAAGCAGAAAATAAAGTCAGGACATTAATGAGAAATTTACCAAGATATATATATATTTTTAAATGTCAGTCAGAAATTCTCGAAGTAAAAAATTTATTGAAGGAATTACAAAATACTTTTGAAAACCTGAATAGACTAGATCAAGAAGAAGAGAGAATCTCAGAATTTGAAGATGGGTCTTTTAAAATAATCTGATCAGACAAATTATAGAAAAAAAGATTTTAAAAGAATGAACAAAGTTCAAGACATATGGGACTGCATAACATGACCAAACAAGAATATTGGTATTCATGGTAGGGAATAAAGATAAAAAATTTTAGTAAACCTATTTAACAAAATAATTGATAAAACTTTCTAAGTCTAGCAAGAGATTCAGATATCCAGTAATAGAAGTGATCCCCAGATAAAGACATTGCAAAAAGTACTTCACCATGGCATATTATTTTCAGACTGTCTAAAGTCAAAGTAAAAGAAAGAGTTCTAAAATCAGCAAGAGAAAAGCCTCTAGTCACCTGTAAAGGAAACATCATCACACAAAGACTAACAGTGAACTTCTCAAACCTTACAGGCCAGAAGAGAATAGAATGACATATTCAAAGTGCTGGAAGAAAAAACTGCTAGACAAGAATTATGGATCCAGCAAAATTAAGCTTCATAAATCAATGAGAAATGACATTTTTCCAGACAAGTAAATGCTGAGGGACTTTATCACCACAAGACTCATTCTACAAGAAATGCTCAAAGGAGTCTTAAACTTGGAGATGAAGATGTAATATTCATCATCATGAAAACACATTAAACTATAAAATGCATAGTAAAGAATCACAGAAAGGAGAAGGAGAAAGGAATCAAGTGGCAACAGTGCAGGATTTAATCAAACCACAAAGACTAATAGATAAAGAGAGAAACAAATAATTTATAAAACAACTAGAAAAGAATTAACAATATGAGAGAAGCAAAATCTCACATATCAATAATAACCTTAAACCTAAATGGATTAAAATCTCCACTTACAAATTTACAAGAAAAAAACAAACAACCCCATCAAAAAGTGGGTGAAGGATATGAACAGACACTTCTCAAAAAGAAGACGTTTATGCAGCCAACAGACACATGAAAAAATGCTCATCATCACTGGGCATCAGAGAAATGCAAATCAAATGAGATATCATCTCACACCAGTTAGAATGGTGATCATTAAAATGTCAGGAAACAACAGGTGCTGGAGAGGATGTGGAGAAGTAGGAACACTTTTACACTGTTGGTAGGAGTGTAAACTAGTTCAACCATTGTGGAAGACAGTATGGCGATTCCTCAAGGATCTAGAACTAGAAATACCATTTGACCCAGCCATCCCATTACTGGGTATATACCCAAAGGATTATAAATCATACTGCTATAAAGACACATGCACACATATGTTTATTGCAGCACTATTCACAATAGCAAAGACTTGGAACCAACCCAAATGTCCATCAATGATAGACTGGATTAAGAAAATGTGGCACATATACACCATGGAATACTATGCAGCCATAAAAAATAATGAGTTCATGTCTTTTGTAGGGACATGGATGAAGCTGGAAACCTTCATTCTGAGCAAACTACCGCAAGGACAGAAAACAAAACACCACATGTTCTCACTCATAGGTGGGAATTGAACAATGAGAACACATGGATACAGGAAGGGGAACATCACACACTGGGGCCTGTTGTGGGGTTGGGGGAGGGGGAGGGATAGCATTAGGAGATATACCTAATGTAAATGACGAGTTAATGGGTGCAGCACACCAACATGGCACATGTATACATATGTAACAAAGCAGCACGTTGTGCACATGTACCCTAGAACTTAAAGTATATATAAAAAGAAAGATATAGATTTGTGTTACTGATTTTTAAAAGATCCAACTATATGCTGCTTGCAGAAACTCATATTACCTCTAAAGGCAAATGGAGACTTAAAATGAAGGGTGAAAAAAGATATTCACATAAACAGAAACCAAAATTAAGCAGGAGTAGCTAAACTTATATAAGATAAAAGAGACTTTAAATAAATAAATAAAACAGAAAAAAAGACAAAGAAAGGCATTATATAATGATAAAGGGATTGATTCTTCATTGGGATAGAATAATTATAAATATATATGCACCTAAGAACAGAGTATCCAGATTCATAAAACAAGTATTACTGGACCTAAAGAGATAGACAGACAGTGATATAATAATAGTGGGGGATCTAAACACTCCACTCACATTACCAGACAGATCATTGTGACAGAAAATCAATAAAGCAACTTTGGACTTTAGCTGGACTTTAGACCAAATAAACCTAACACATATTTACAAAACATTATTACTAACAAATGCAGAATATACATTCTTTACATCAGCTCATGAAACATTCTTTAGGATAGACAATATGTTAGGCAATAAAACCAGCCAACAAATTTTATAAAATCAAAATCATATCAAGTATCTTCTCAGATCACAGTGGAATAAAACTAGAAATCAACATTTAGAGAAATTTAAAAAACTATAAAAATACATGGATATCAAACAAACCTGCTCCTGAGCAATCATTGAGTCAACAAGAAAATCAAGAAAGAAATTTACAAAATTTTAATGAAACAAATAAAAATACAAACAATATACCAAAACTTGTGAGATACAGCAAAAGCAGTGGTAAAAGGCACTTTTATAGCATTAAATTCAACATCAAAAGAGTAGAAAGATTACAAATTAACCTAATGTCACACCTCAAGGAACTAGTAAAACAACAACAAACAAATCCCAAAGTTAGCAGAAGAAAGGATATAACAAAGGCCAGAACAGATCTAAATAAAACTGAGACCAAAAATTTACAAAGGATCAATAATACAAAAAGTTGCTCCTTTAAAAAGGCAAAGAATTGATAAACCAATAGCTCAACTAACCAAGAAAAGAAAAAATCTAAACAAACAAAATCAGAAATGAAAAAGGAGACATTATGACTGATGCCACAGAAATACCAAAGGCCAGCAAAGACTATACTGCACGACTATACATTGAAGCTAGAAGACCTAGAGAAAATGAATAAATTGCTGGAAACAAAACCTCCCAAAACTGAACCAGAAAGAGGTAGAAAACTTGAACATGCTGATAATAAATAGCAAGAATGAATCAGTAAGAAAAATATTGTTCAATAAAGAAAAGCCCAGGATCAGATATATTCACAGCTGAATTCTAACAAACATATAAAGAAGAGCTAATATCAATCTTCCTGAAACTGTTTCAAAAAATTAAGAAGGAGGGAAATTTCTCTAACTGATTCTATGAGGCTGGTATTAGTATGATACCAATATCAGACGAGAAGAAAACAATAAAAGAAAACTACAGAGCAATCTTCTTGACGAAAAAAGACCCAAAAATTTTTTCCAGAACTTTTTCTTTCTTCTTCTTATTATTTCAATAGTGTTGGGGAAACAGGTAATGTTTGGTTACATAAATAAGTTATTTACTGGTGATTCCTAAAATTTTGGTGCACCCATCACCCGAGCAGTGTACACTGTACCCAGTGTGTAGACTTTTATTCCTCATACCCCAACCTATCCCTCCCCTTGAGTCCCCAGAGTCCATTATATCATTCTTATGTTTTTGTATCCTCATAGCTTAGCTCCCACTTATAAATGAGAACATATAATGTTTGGTTTTCCATTCCTGAGTTACTTCACTTAGAATAGTGGTCTCCAACTCCATTCAGGTTGCTGCAAATGCCATTATTTCATTTCTTTTTATAGCTGAGTAGTATTTCATGGTGTGTGTTTGTGTGTGTGTGTGTGTGTGTGTGTGTGTATTTTACACATTTTATTTATCCACTCATTGGTTGATGGGCAATTAGGCTGGTTCCATACTTTCACAATTGTGAATTATGATGCTATAAACATGCTTTTGTAAGTGTCTATTTCATATAATGACTTTTTTCCCCCTCTGGGTAAATACCCAGTAGTCGGATTGTTGGATCAAATGGAAGTTCTATTTTTAGTTTTTTAAGGAGTCTCCATACTGTTTTCCATAGGGGTTGTACTAGTTTACATTCCCACTATCAGTGTAAAAGTGTTCCCTTTTCATCACATCCACACCAACATATATATATATATAAAATATGTATATAATATATATATTATATATAATATATATATTATATATATAATGGTCCATTTTTGTGTAGTAAGGTGGTATTGCATTGTGGTTTTGTCTTGCATGTCCCTGATAATTAGTGATGTTGAGCATTCTTTTTTTTTTTTTTTTTTTTTTTTGAGACGGAGTCTCGCTCTGTCGCCCAGGCCGGACTGCGGACTGCAGTGGCGCAATCTCGGCTCACTGCAAGCTCCGCTTCCCGGGTTCACGCCATTCTCCTGCCTCAGCCTCCCCAGTAGCTGGGACTACAGGCGCCCGCCACCGCGCCCGGCTAATTTTTTGTATTTTTAGTAGAGACGGGGTTTCACCTTGTTAGCCAGGATGGTCTCGATCTCCTGACCTCATGATCCACCCGCCTCGGCCTCCCAAAGTGCTGGGATTACAGGCGTGAGCCACCGCGCCCGGCCAGATGTTGAGCATTCTTTAAGATGTTTGTTGGCCATGTGTATATCTTCTTTTGAGAATTGTCTATTCATGTCCTTAGTCCACTTTTTGATGATATTATTTGTGTTTTTCTTTCTAATTTGTTTCAGTTTCTTGTAGATTATGGATATTAGTCCTTTGTCAGATGCACAGTTTGAGAATATTTTCTCCCACTCTATGGGTTTTCTGTTTACTCTGTTGATTATTTCTTTTGCTGTGCAGAAGATTTTTAGTTTAATTAAGTCCCATCTATTTATTTTTGTTTTTGTTGCATTTGCTTTTGGGTTCTTGGTCGTAAACTCTATGCCTCAGCCAATGTCTAGAAGAGTTTTTCTGATGTTATCTTCTAGCATTTCTATGGTTTCCAGTCTTAGATTTAAATCTTTGATCCATTGTGAGTTGATTTCTGTATAAGGTGAGAGATGAGAATTCAGTTTCATTCTTCGACATGTGGCTTGCCAATTATCCCAGCACCATTTGTTGAATAGGGTATCTGTTCCCCATTTTATGTTTTTGTCTGCCTTTTCAAAGATCCATTGGCTGTAAGTATTTGGCTTTATTTTTTGGTTCTCTATACTGCTCCATTGATCCATGTGCCTATTTTTATAAAAGTACCATGCTGTTTTGGTAACTATGCCCTTGTAGTATTTTTTAAATTCGAGTAATGAGATGCCTTCCAATTTGTTCTTTTTGCTTAGTCTTGTTTTGGCTATGCAGCTCTTTTTTGGCTCCATATAAACTTTAAGATTTTTTTTCTAGTTCTATGAGGAATAATGATGGTATTTTAATGGAAATTGCTTGAATTTATAGATTGCTTTTGGCAGTATGGTCATTTTCACAATATTGATTCTACCCATCCATGAGCATGAGATGTGTTTCCATTTGTTTGTGTCATTTATGATTTCTTGCAGTAGTGTTTTGTAGGTTTCCTTATAGAGATCTTTTACCTCCTTTGTTAGGTGTTTTACTAAGTATTTTATTTTTTTGCAACTTTTGTAAAAGGGGTTCAGTTTTTGATTTGATGCTCAGCTTGGTCGCTGCTGGTGTATAGCACTGCTACTGATTTATATACATTGATTTTGTGTCCTGAAACTTTACTGAATTCGTTTGTCAATTCTAGGAGCCTTGTGGATGAATCTTTATGGTTTTTTAGGTATATGATCATATTATAAGCAAACAGTGACTATTTGACTTCCTCTTTACTGATTTGGATGCCCTCTATTTCTTTCTCTTGTCTAATTGCTTCGGCTAAGGACTTCTAGTACTATGCTGAATAGAAGTGGTAAAAATGGGTATCCTTGTCTTGTTCCAGTTCTCAGAGGGAATGCTTTTAACTTTTCCCCATTCAGTGTAATGTTGGCTATTGGTTTGCCATAGATGGGTTTTATTACTTTAAGATATGTTCCTTCTACGCTGATTTTGCAGAGGAGTTTAATCATAAAGCAATGATGTATTTTGTCAAATGTTTTTCTGCATCTATTGAGATGATCATAGGATTTTTGTTTTTATTTCTGTTTATGTGGTGTATCACATTTAATAACTTGTGTATGGTGTATGTTAAACCATCCCTGCATCTGTGAGATGAAACCCACTTGATTATTGTGTATTATCTTTTTGATATGTTGTTGGATTTATTTAGCTAGTATTTTGTTGGTGATTTTTGCACCTGTGTTCACTAGGTATATTGGTCTGTGGTTTTCTTTTTTTGTTATGTCCTTTTCTGATTTGGATATTAGGGTGATACTGGCTTTATAGAATGATTTAGGGAAAATTTCCTCTTTCTCCAGCTAATGGAACAGTTTCAGTAAGATTGGCACCAATTCTTCTTTGAATGTCTGATAGAATTCAGCTGTGAATCCATCTGGTTCTGGACTTTTACGTTGACAATTTTTTTATTACTGTTTCAATCTTGCTACTTGTTATTAATCTGCTCAGAGTTTCTGTTTATTCCTCGTTTAATCTAGGAGGATTATATATTTCCAGGAATTCATCCATCTCCTCTATATTTTTTCGTTTGTGCACATAGGGGTGTTCATAGTAGCTTTGAATGATCGTTTTGTATTTCTGTGGTATTAGTTGTAATATCTCCCATTTTGTTTCTAATTGAGCTTATTCAGATCTTCTCTCTTTACTTGATTAATCTCGCAAATGGTCTATCAACTTTATCTTTTCAAAGAACTTGCTTTTTAAAAATTATACTTTTAGTTCTGAGATACATGTGTAGAACGTGCAGGTTTGTTACATAGGTATACATGTACCATGGTTGTTTGTTGCACCCATCAACCTGTCATCTACATTAGGTATTTCTCCTAATGCTATCCCTCCCCTAGCTCCCCACCCCCCGACAGGCCCAGTTTCCAGCTTCATCTATGCCCCTGCAAAAGACATGAACTTATCCTTTTTTATGGCTGCATAGTATTCCATGGTATATATTTGCCATATTTTCCTTATCCAGTCTATCACTGATGGACATTTGAGTTGGTTGCAAGTCCTTGTTATTTTGAATAGTGCTGCAATAAACTTACATGTGCATGTGTCTTTACAGTAGAATGATTTATAATCCTTTGGGTATTTGCCCAGTAATGGGATTGCTGGGTCAAATGGTATTTCTGGTTCTAGATCCTTGAGGAATTGCCACACTGTCTTCCACAATGGTTGAACTAATTTACACTTCCACCAATGGTGTAAAACCATTCCTGTTTCTCCACATCCTCTCCAGCATCTGTTGTTTCCTGACTTTTTAATGATTGCCATTCTAACCGGCATGATATGTCATCTCATTGTGGTTTTGATTTGCATTTCTCTAATGACCAGTGATAATGAGCTTTAATGGCCAGTGATAATGAGCTTTTTTCTCTTATGTCTGTTGGCCACATAAATGTCTTCTTTTGAGAGGTATCTTTTCATATTTTTCACCCACTTTTTGATGGGGTTGTATTTTTTTTTGTAAATTTGTTTAAATTCTTTGTAGATTCTGGGTATTAGTCATTTGTGAGATGGGTAGATTGCAAATATTTTCTCCCATTCTGTAGGTTGCCTATTTACTCTGATGATAGTTTATTTTGCTGTGCAGAAGCTCTTTAGTTTAATTAGATCCCATTTGTCAATTTTTACTTCTGTTGCCATTGCTTTTGGTGTTTTAGTCATGAAGTCTTTGCCCATGCCTACAAGCTACCTGACTTCAAACTATACTACAAGCTTATAGTAACCAAAACAGCATGGTACTGGTAGCAAAACAGATATATAGACCAATGGAACAGAACAGATACCTCAGAAATAACACCACACATCTACACCCATCTGATCTTTGACAAACCTGCCAAAAACAAGCAACAGGGAAAGGATTCCCTATTTAATAAATGGTGTTGGAAAAACTGGCTAGCCATATGCAGAAAACTGAAACTGGATCCCTTCCTTACACCTTATACAAAAATTAACTCAAGATGGATTAAAGACTTAAATGTAAGACCTAAAACCATAAAAACCCTAGAAGAAATCCTAGGCAATGCCATTCAGGACATAGGCATGGGCAAAGACTTCATGATGAAGAAACAGCTTTTTATTTCATTTATGTTTTGTATTTTTTTATTTCAATTTCTTTTAGTTCTGATCTGATCTTTGTTATGTATTTTCTTCTGCTGTGTTTGGATTTTTTTTCTTGTTTCCCTAGTTCCTTGATGTGTGAGTTTAGATTGCTTTTTTATCTTTTAGACTTTTTGATGTAGACATTTAATGCTATGAACTTTCCTCTTAGTACCACTTTTGCTATATCTCAGAGGTTTTGATAGGTTGTATCACTATTATTGTTCAGTTCAAAGAACTTTTAAATTTCCATCTTGATTTCATTGTTGATGCAACAATCATTCAGGAGTAGATTACTTAATTACCAGGTATTTGCATAGTTTTGAAGATTTTTTTGGAGTTAATTTCCAATTTTATTTCACTCTGGTCTGAGAGAGTATTTGATACAATTTTAATTTTCTTAAATTTACTGAATCTTCTTTTGTGGCCTATCATAGGGTCTATCTTGAAGATTCTTCTATGTGCTGATGAAAAGAATGTATATTCTGCAGTTTTTGGGTAGAATGTTCTGTAAATATCTGTTACGTTTGTTTTTTCTAAGGTAAAGTTTAAGCCTATTGTTTCTTTCTTGACATTCTGTCTTGATGACCTGTCTATTGCTGTCAGTGGAGTATTGAATTCCTCCATTATTATTTTGTTGCTATCTCATTTCTTATGTCTAGTAATAATTGTTTTATAAGTTTGGGAGCTCTAGTGTTAGGTGCATGTATATTTGGGATTGTGATATTTTCCTGTTGGGCTTGTCCTTTTATTATTATATAATGTCTCTCTTTGTCTTTTTTTAACATTTTTGCTTTAAAGTTTGTTTTGTCTGATATACGAAGAGCCATTCCTGCTAACTTTTGGTTTTCCTTTGCATAAGATATCTTTTATTTACCCCTTCACCTTAAGTTTATGTGTATCTTTATGTGTTAGGCAAGTCTCTTGAGGACAGCAGATAATTTGTTGGTGGATTTTTTTTTCCATTTTGCCATGCTGTGTCTTTTAAGTTAATCACTTAGGTCATTTACTTGGTTGGTCCAAAATTAATTGCAGTTACTTTTGCAGCAACCTAATACATTCAGCATTAGGATTGAGACGTGAGGTACTATCCCATTCATTGTGCTAGTCGTTGCCTGAATACCTTGCTTTATTTTCATTGTGTTATTGTTTTATAGGCCCTGTGAGATTTATGCTTGAAGTAAGTTCCATTTTGATGTATTTTGAGCTTTTGCTTCAAGATTTAGAACTCCTTTGTCATTTCTTGTAGTGCTGGCTTGATAGTGGTGAATTCTCTCAGCATTTGTCTGTCTGAAAACAACGTTATCTCTTTTTCATTTATGAAGCTTAGTTTCACTGGGTCCAAAATTTTTGTGTAATAATTATTTTGTATAAGGAGGCTAAAGATAGAACCCTAATCCTTTCTGACTTTTAGGGTTTCTGCCAAGAAATCTATAGTTAATCTCATAGGTTTTCTTTTATAGGTTACCTAATGCTTTAGCCTCACAGATCTTAAGATTTTTTCCTTCATCTTGACTTTAGATAACCTGATGACTTTGTGCTTAGGTGATAATCTCTTTGTAATAAATTTCCTAGGGTTTTTTTTTTGAGCTTCTTTAATTTGGATGTCTAGATCTCTAGCAAGGCCAGGGAAATTTTCCTCAATTATTCCTTAAAATAAGTTTCTAGACTTCTAGATTTCTCTTCTTCCTTGGGAGCACAAATTATTTTTATGTTTGGCCATTTTACCTAATTCTAAATTTCTTGGAGGCTTTGTTCATTTCTTTTATTCTTTATTTTTTGTCTTTGTCAGATTGGATTAATTCAAAAGTCTTAAGAAACAAAGTTTTAACAAAATCCTAGCAAACTGACTCCAACACCGCATTTAAAAGATTATACACCATAATCAAGGGTGTTCTATATTAGGGATGCAAGGATGTTTCAACATACACAAAAAAATACATGTGACACATCACATCAACACAATGAAGGATAAAAATGATATAATTATCTCAGTTGGTTAATAAAAGGCATTTGATATAATTCAGCATCCCTTCATAATGAAAAGTCTCAAACAAACTAAGTATAGAAGAAACATATCTCAAAATAATAAAGGTCATATACTACTAACCCAGAGTCAACATCATACTAAATAGGGAAAAGTTGAAAGCATTTTCCCTGACAACTGGAACAGGACAAGAATGCTCACTTTCACCACTACTATTCAACATAATACTGGAAGTCCTAGCCAGAACAAAAAGGGAAGAGAGGGAAAAAAAGGCATCCTAATTGGAAATCAGGAAGTGAAATCAACCCTGTTCCCTGATGATATGATCTTATAACTACAAAAACTTAAAGACTACATCAAAAACTTCTTAGATTTTATAAATGAATTCAGTAAAGTTGCAAAATAAAATATCAATGTACAAAAATGGGTAATGTGTTTATACACCAATAATGATCTAGCTCAGAACAAAAGAAAGAAGGCAAGCCCATTCACAATAGCTACAAATATATGAAATACCTAGGAATACATGTAACTAAGGAAGTAAAATATCTCTAGAAGGAGAACTACAAAACCCTGATAAAATCAATTGTAGATGACACAAACAGATAGAAAAATATCCCATGCTCATGGAATAAAAGAATTAACATTGTTAAAATAACCATATTGCCCAAAGCCATCTAAAGATTCAATGCAATCTCTATCAAAATATCAGTATCATTTTTACAGAGTTAGAAAAAAATGTACAAAATTATATATGAAACAAAACAAAACAAAACAAAAAACCTGTATGGCCAAAGCAATCTTAAGCAAAAAGAACAGAGCTGAAGCATAATATTACCTGATTTCAAATTATACTACAAAACTTCAAATTATCCTACAAGACTATAGTAACCAAAACATACCATACTACAAGACTTCAAATTATTCTACAAGACTGGAGTAACCAAAACAGCATTGGTACTGGTATAAAAATAGGTTCATAGGCAAATAGAACAAAATAGATAATCCAGGAGTAAGGCCACACACCTACAACCCTCTGATCTTTGACAAAGTTGACAATAATAAGTAATGGAGAAAGGAATCTCTATTCAATAAATGGTGCTGGGATAAGTGGCTCACTATGTGCAAAAGAATAAAACTGGATCCCTGTCTTTCACCATAGATAATATCAACTCAAAATAGATAAAGAAATTTTTAAGACTTGAAACTGTTAGTGTATACTGCAATAAAATCTATGGAAAATGTTATTGGATATTTGCCTAGGCAAAGAATTAATGACTAAGACCTCAAAAGCAAGAGCAACGAAGTAAAAATAGACAAATGTGACTTAATTAAACAAAAAGCTTATACACAGCAACAAAATTAACCAACAGAGTGAAAAGAAAACCTACAGAATGGGAGAAACTATTTACAAAATATGCATCCAACAAAGGTCTAATATCTAGAATATACAAGGAACACAAACAACTCAACAATCACAAAACTTCAAATAGTCTCTTTAAAAAAGTGAGCTAAAGAGAGAAATAGACTTTTTTTTTTTTGCAAAGAAAGACATACAAATGGCCAATGAGTATATGAAAAAATGTTCAACATTACTCATCATTAGTAATCCAAATTAAAGGTGCAATGAGATCTCATATTACCCCAGCCAGAATGGCTACTATGAAAAAGTAAAAAAAAAAATACAGATATTGGTGAGGATGCAGAGATAAGGAACTCATACACTGTTCATGGGAATGTAAATTAGTACAACCTCAAGGAAAACAGTAAGCAGATTTTTCAAAGTGCTAAAATATAACTTCCATTTGATCTAACAGTCCACTACTATGTATCCATCCAAAGGAAAAAAGAGTCATTATATCAGAAAGACACCAGCACTCATGTGTTTATTGCAGACCATTCACAGTAACAAAAATATGGAATCAACCTGTGTCTATCAATGGATAATATAATAAAGAAAATGTGGTGTATATACACAATGAAATATATAGCCATAAAAAGAATAAAATAATGTTTTTTGCAGCAACATTGATGGAACCAAAAGCCATGTTCTTAAGTAAAACTAGTCAGACATAGAAAGATAAATATCACATGTTCTCACTCATAATTGGGAGATAGGTAACGTATACACATGCATTAGACAATGGAGTCTTGGAAGGGTGAGCAAGTAGGAGAGGTGTGGATGATGAGAAATTACTTAATGGGCACAATATACATTATTTGGGTGATGTATGTCCTAAAAGCACTGACTACACTGCTGTGCAATGCTTGCATAAAACAAAATTGCACTTACACACCATAAAATTATTTTGAAAAAAATATTACCATTGAATGCTTCTAATCAACCACTTATAAATGTCACAAAGTGGAATGATTGTGTATATAATAATTTTAAATTTTTTTGTGTGTAGTAGCACATATAATAATATTGGCTGGTTGCTTCTAATCTCACTGGAAAGTGAGGAAAAAAAGGATAAGCTTTGAGATTAGAATTCCCAGGTGAAGTACCACATAAATGACCTGAAAACTTCTATGTGTCCCCGATGAAGACCCCTATCTCTGGTAGCTGCAAGGGTGAGAGTGCTGAAAATTAAACCCAGAATCTCATTCTGTGACTGTCTGAATCACAACCCATGTTGAATTTCAAGTTTCAAAGGGCATCTACTGTTAAAGTGATGACACTGATTAGAAAAGAATGGGATACTGTAAGTCAGAATGGAGATGTGTGAGAAGACCCTGATAAATCTGGGAAAATTCAGCCCCTAAATCCTTTTTTTTCTTTTCTTTGAGATGGAATCTGGCTCTGTCACCCAGGCTGGAGTGCAGTGGCACAATCTCAGCTCACTGCAACCTCTGTCTCCTGGGTTCAAGCGATTCTCCTGTCTCAGCCTCCCGAGTAGCTGGGACTACAGGCACGTGTTACCACGCCCAGCTGATTTTTGCATTTTTAGTAGAGATGGGGTTTCTCCATATTGGCCAGGCTGGTCTCAAACTCCTGGCCTAGTGATACACCTACCTCGGCCTCCCAAATTGCTGGGATTGCAGGCGTGAGCCACTGTGTCTTGCCCTAAATTCTAAGTCAGTCTTAGCTAGTGGAAGAGTTCTCACTCCCCCCAGGAGATGTGGCCTTCCCATTCTCACTGGAAGAAGTTTCCCCATCCCCAGTAGAAGTTGCTTACCTATCCTCAATGGTAGCAACTCCCCCATTCCCAGTGGCATCAGCCTCTCTACCTTTTCTGAAGAAACTAACCTCTAATTGCTAGAGAAAATTGTAATGGTCTTCCCTGAGGCAATTGCTGTATGAGCGACACTGTTGAGTCTCTGCAGGACCCAGCTTTATTATACCTTTTTGTCTCTAGACCTATATAAAACTAGACTCAAGTCTCAAAAGATCCCTAAAGGTGAGATACAATGTGTGACCCCTGGGGAGATGCACTACTCTCCAAAATAACTACCTGAGATTTCTGACTTATACAAGCAGAAATAGGGAAACATTTGGGAATTGATATTAGGGTTGTGGGATAATAGTGGAATAAACATTAACTTGGATCAGGCCACATTGATTGGTATGGGATCACTAAGCAGAAAATTTGCATTTAATGTTGCAGCTTGGGGAGTTAGAAAGGGCCTCTAACAGTTTTGTTGGTGGGCTGAAAGGTGGCCACAGTGAATAAGTTGGAAATACCAGACTTGTCTTGGTTTAACGGAGAGAAAGTGATTCAAAAGTTTAGGAGGATGGAAATATTAAAGTGAATTTGTCATTTAAGACTCACAATAGAAATGTCCAGAAGACATGACATTTTACCAGTATTGTGAGAAATAAATTGTGAGGAGGGCCCCAGCAATTTTGATGAGCTCTGTGATTGCTCTTCTCTGTAGTCCAGACTTTACTGTGGGAACTGCAATCACTGAATTGTAAAACCTAAATGCAGTAGGAGTAATTGTATCCCAGGATGGTAGTGGCCAAGTTGTGGCACTCGGCCACCAAAGGTAAGGTCAGTATGATTGTCATAGTGGATAGCAGAGTCAAAGCAGCAATCAGACTATTCTGACTCATACAGACCTATGGCATTGGATAGTTAATTATGGTGTTCCTAGAAGTGAAATACATAGAGAACCTACTAAATTTTTACTTCATTTGTATTAGAAGAAAAGTTTTAGGTCTATTGAATAAAAGCCTAATCTGAACTATAGAAATAGATTTACTGTTTTTCAATTCCAATAATTGAGCCAGTGTATAGTCCCAGAACCCTTTTAATGAAGGGGAAACCAGATCTCCTTGAGAAAGGACTCTGGTACACTGACAAAAATGCATATTGTTAGTCTTTCTTCCAGCTTTCCCCAAGTGACCTATGGCCTTTTACCAGGGTAACTGTGTATTGGGGAAAAGGAAATAATGAGACCTTTGGGGAACTCTTCAACAGTGACTCTGAACTGGCAATAATTCCAGGATACACAAAATGTCACTCTGGCCTACCAGTGAAACTAAGGGCTTATGGAGTTCAGATGATAAGTAGATTTTTTGTTCTAGTGCATCTCACATTTGGCACAGTGGGCCCCTGAGACCATGCTGTGGTTATTTATGCACTTCCAGAGTGAACAATTGGAATAGATATACTCAGCTGCAGCAGAATCCCCACATTGGTTCCCTTATTTGTGGAGTGAGGGTTATTATGGTTGAAAGGCCAAATGAAAGCCACTAGACTGCCTTTATTTAGAAAAATAGTAAACCAAAAGCAATACTGCATTATTGTAGTGACTGCAGAGATTAATGCCATTAAATAATTAAAATATGCACGGGGAGTAATTTCCAGTACATCCTCGTTCAACTCTTCTATTTGGCCTGTGTGGAAGACAGTTGCATCTTGAACAATAACAGTGGACTGTTGAAAGCTTAGCCAGAAAGTCAGCTCAATCACAGTACTGTACCAGATATGGTTTCATTGTTTGAGCAAATTAACACATCCACTGTTACCTGGTATGGAAGTATTGATTTGAAAAATGCCTTTTTCACCGTCTCTCTGAATAAGGCCCACCAGGAGTGGTTTATTTTTAGCTGACAAGGCCAGAAATAACACTTTTACTCTCCTCAGTGGTATATCTATTCTCCAGCCCTATGTAACA